>NC_000005.10:93443140-93746170 GCF_000001405.40 Homo sapiens | reverse complement strand
GCCTCACTTTGCTTTATACAGTTTAGTAAAGATCCACACAAAGGATTGACAATCATTTCAGTGTATTTTCAGGTAGTTTCCAGTGAACTAAATTGTTGTAATGTGTGATGTTAACTCTTTCACTGTGAGGTGGGAGGCATCATTCCTTAAAGTACTCAGCTGCCAGAGTTTTCCTGGATTACTGACTTTACTCCCTGGATCCAGAGAGGGTGTTCCCAGTATCTAGTCTCTGCATCTTGTCTTCTGCCTTAGCCTTTTGTCTTGCTCCTTAACTAATATGATTCTTGAGGTCCTACATCTGTCCATCTTAGTGGCAATGCCTTTACACCAGAATGCCTGGTCAGTGCTAACTTACTAGGACATCTGCAGAGTGGGGAGACGATAAAGATCAGCACCATCTAGTCTGCCCTGCCCTCTCTCTCTGACTTGGATATCATTCTTAGATCTTCTGGTCAGCTCTGTTGCTTTATTGCAGTCAAAAAGAAAAAAAATTTTTTTTTGGAGACTCTGCTACAGAGAACTAGAGCTTCTTATAGACTCTTGAGCAAAGCCATGTCCTCTGTCTCGAGTATGAGAAGCTTTTGGGAGGGATGCATTTGGAGGAATGATGAAGCAAGGATCACCTTCCTATCCAGTGAAATAACTGACCAACAGAATGACATAAAAGGCAGATCACTCGCACATCCAGATGTTTTCATGGACTTACTATACTCAGAGCACTGTGACTAGCTTGTGCATTAGCATGTTACTTGGCACATAGGTATAAAATAAATGGTATGTCTATAATACGAATTTAGGTGGTTCCATATCTCTTAGCTGGAGAACTAAAACATAAAACTCCAGCTGTTTAAGGCAGCAAATGTATGTGAGTGGAAATCACAGTAAGTTTAGAGGGGAGGGACGTCACTGTGGTCCAGAATATAGGGCAAGACTTCTCAAAACGATGAAATTTGAACCAAACCCTACAAGGATGTTGATTCTTAACTCTGTGTTCACTGTTTCCTGCTTCTTATCATTTGTGGATCATGGCAGTTGGTTATGTCTCCTTAGAATAGGGAATTCTTAAGGAGAACCTAATAATAAAAATCCTGATACTTTTTATTTTTTAGCATTTCTGCTTAAAACAACTCTTTCAGAAAACCACTCTTGATTCCAAAGATCATAATAATAGAAAACTTCTTAACTTCCCTTTGGATGAGTATAGTTGTCCTGCTCTACTGACAGTTTCTCTTCTCCCTCATTTAGATTATAAATACATTGGGGACTGGAACCATGTGTTTCCATCCTTACTCTGTAATTCCCCATGGATAAGACTGGCCTGATTCTTACATTGTAATCTAATCACTTACTAAGAGTGATTTTTGTTGAAGGTGGTGGATTAGCCTTTCAAATGCCCCAGCACAAACAGCACCAGTTGTCTTGGGCATTCCCATCAACTGCCTTCCTCTGATCTCTATTCCTGTTCCAACTAAATATGCTCCTGCTTCGTTTCCCTGCTAACCCCATTTCCATAGGACGTTGAATATACTTTTGAGGAAATGGCAAGACTTCCCTTAAGAATATGGGCTTTTCTTTTTGGCAGTACATGCACATAAACTGGGAGATATGCACATTGGTAGATGAGATCTGACCAAGTACAAAGAAAGCCTTAAGTGAGAGCATCCAAGTAAATTTTAAAAACCCATCAAGTTAATATATAGCCTTACTTTTTTTTTTTTTTTTTTTTTTTTTTTTTTGAGACTGAGTCTCACTCTGTCGCCCAGGCTGCAGTGCAGTGGCGCGATCTCGGCACACTGCAACCTCCGCCTCCCGGGTTCAAGCAATTCTCCTGCCTCAGCCTCCTGAGTAGCTGGGATTACAGGTCCGCGCCACCATGCCTGGCTGATTTTTGTATTTTTAGTAGAGACGGGGTTTCACCAGATTGGTCAGGCTGGTCTTGAACTCCTGACTTCATGATCCACCCACCTTGGCCTCCCAAAGTGCTGGCATTACAGGTGTGAGCCACCGTGCCTGGCCAAGGTTACTTTTTAATTTAGTAAATGTTTTTAGCCACTGTGTTTTAACTCAGTTTAAATATAATAAAGCTTTGCTCACATCTATTTGAACTCATGTTTTCTAATTCATTAAAAATATTTTCATTCAACTATTGTTTTTAAACCACTAATGAACCTTTTTCCTGTTCTTCTCTTATGAAAATGGGCTGTTAGCCAGGCGCGATGGCTCATGCCTGAAATCCCAACACCTTGGGAGGCCGAGGCAGGCGGATCACAAGGTCAGGAGATCGAGACCATCCTGGCTAATATGGTGAAACCCAGTCTCTACTAAAAATACAAAAAATTAGCCAGGCGTGGTGGCAGGCGCCTGTAATCCCAGCTACTCAGGAGGCTGAGGCAGGGGAATCGCTTGAACCTGTGAGGCAGAGACTGCAGTGAGCCGAGATCACGCCACTGCACTCCAGCCTGGGTGACAGAGCGAGACTCCGTCTCAAAAAAAAAAAAAAAAAAGAAAATGGCTGTTTTCAGTATGTGGACCTTAGCATATATATTGCTTTCTCTTCTTTATCCCTCTTTGTGATCCAGCTTTCATTCCGTTTGGCAGATACTGATTGCTTCGTGATTTTGAAAAAAATAGCATGTAAGTATACCTCAAGAGAATAGATACCAGCAAAGTTATTCTTAAATGAACTTCTGTATATTGCAAGCTGTTTTTTATAGACTGTCATCTTAAAATCTAATTGAAGGCAAATATGGAAGTCTTTTTACCATTAATGCTACAGAGATTCACTTATTTAACATTAAATAAATATTGCTTGACTTCCTTCCATGTTCCAGGTATAGTTCCACGTGCTGAGGATCTAGCAGTGAACAAGACAGACAGTGACCCTGCTCATAGCCGGCACACATTCTAGCAAGGGTTGCAGTAGAGATACAGATGACACATAACTAAGTACACAGCCTGTAGCGATGGCAGCCAATTTTCTGATTCTTTTTCCTTTACCATTGCTTCAAGGCCATATCTGCAACCCAACCTGTAGTGTTGGGTTGAATTTAGTCTCAAGGTGCTGCCTTCATCTAGGAAGAGGTATTTAAGGGCCCAGGAAGATGAGGCTAGGAAGGAGATGGTAGACTTCAGATGTTTTAGGAGTCCCAGTACATAAGATTTGACACCCTGTGGAGAACAGAAAAAGTCAAGAACAGCTCCTAGGTTTAAGCTTGGATGACTGAGTTATTGATAACTAGTTCAAAAGTCCCGGGATGAGAGGTAGGTTTAGAAGTGTGGATAATGAATTTGACTTGGGGCAGTGAAAAATACAAAACTGGAAATCAGAAGAGAAGTCAGAACTGAAATACAGATTTGGCTGTTATCACCATTTCATGTAAATTTTAAAAGGAGAAGGAGCAAGAAGAGTTGTCACTATAGCCAGATACAGCAGGATGAGGATTTTTTAAAAGGCCATTGGATTTGACAGCTGAAAAATCACTGATGACTTCAAGAAGACCAGTTTCAATAGATGTGGGTGGGGACAGAGCCACATCATGGTTGGTTTAAAGAATGAAGGGCTATGATTGTCTAGCCAAGGTCATTGTGCTCTTCCTCCTAGGAAACATTGAAACTGAGGTCAGAGCCTCTCTTTCTCCCTCCCTCCTTAGCTTTCTGCACACAGGGCCCACAACTGGATGCCTGAGCTAGGGGCATGATGGAGGGACAAATTAAGATTGTTGGGTTTCTGGTGGGATAAGGGCCTAAGGATAAAGGAGCCTGATGTTGGTGAGTCATATATTGCAGGGAGCATCCTCAGTGGGGGACAGTGGGTCAGGCCAGTTCAGAGACCTGTCTCTAGAGTGGGAAAGAGAAGACACACACCTAGATCTCTGTTGGTTGAGGAAACTCTGGACCAAGAAGCTGGGTTAGAATGGGAAACAAAAGGACCTTCAAGGCTAGGGGAAGAAACATGGAATTAGTTACAAAGTTCTGCCCCAGGGAGGGAGTGGAATCTGGCAGTTTGGGGGTGGGGTCGGGGGTAGAATCTGAGGTAGTAAACTGATGTTAACTAGAAACTCAAGCAGGGTTGCCTAGGTTTCTTAGGGCACAGGGACTGGGGATGTGCAAAGAGGAACTGTTGGCAGTACTTGTGACCATAAAGATAGTAGTGAGGGGGCAGTTTATGAATTGAGGGGTCGTCCCAGCAATATCTGGCATATAGATATTTAATAATTATTTGTGAAGACAAGAGGTTAGGTAGCTCCTGGGGATCAGGGTCCAGAGTTTCTGAACAGGCATAAGAAAATACCTGGGTTCTATTCAGGCAGGGGATGGAGGCAGTGAGTAAGGGACTCCAGACAGCTTGGAGATGCAAATCCCACAAGGGAGCTTTGTACCTCTATGGGAGTTGGAAGCAAAGGTCAGGGTAGGGGGCTCACTCCCTTAACCCTAGGACCCAGGAGTTCCTATGGATCTACCAGATTTCCCCGCCTACGCACAGGCACCCTTGGCTTGTAACGCCTTCTCCGCCCACTGGGGGGCGGGGCTTGAGGGGGCCGGTGGCTGTTCTGAAGCCTCGAGGGCCATCAGTTCCTACCAGAGCCGCTGCGGGTGCCATTCCACCCATGGCCGGACACAGGCCCTCAAACCACTTCTGCCCCCTTCCAGGCAGTGGTGGGGGCGGCCCCAGAGGGCCGATGCCCCTGCGGGTTGACACTCTGACCTGGTTGAGCACCCAGGCGGCCCCTGGCAGGGTGATGGTCTGGCCGGCAGTCAGGCCAGGGATCTGCCCAGGCCCTGACGTGTGGAGGATTCCCCTGGGTCCCCTGCCACACGAATTCCGGGGCTGGATAGCACCCTGCAGGCCCCGTCTTGGAGCTAGTGAGGCAGGGGACTGGTTGCGACGCCCCTCCGAAGGCGCCCTCCCGGGGCCCTACATTGCCCTGCGGAGCATTCCGAAGTTGCCGCCGCCAGAGGACATCTCGGGCATACTGAAAGAGTTGCAGCAATTGGCCAAGGAGTTGAGGCAGAAGAGGTTGAGCCTAGGGTACTCGCAGGCCGATGTGGGGATCGCTGTGGGAGCTCTGTTTGGGAAGGTGCTTAGCCAGACGACCATCTGCCGCTTCGAGGCCCAGCAGCTAAGCGTCGCCAACATGTGGAAGCTGCGACCACTGCTGAAAAAGTGGCTGAAGGAAGTGGAAGCAGAGAACCTTCTGGGCTTATGCAAAATGGAGATGATCCTGCAACAGTCTGGGAAGTGGAGACGGGCAAGCAGAGAGCGACGAATCGGAAACAGCCTGGAGAAATTCTTCCAGCGGTGCCCTAAGCCCACACCCCAGCAAATCAGCCACATTGCTGGGTGCCTCCAGCTGCAGAAGGATGTGGTTCGAGTTTGGTTCTATAACCGCAGCAAGATGGGCAGTCGACCAACCAATGATGCTTCCCCACGGGAGATTGTGGGGACAGCCGGGCCTCCTTGCCCAGGAGCACCAGTGTGCTTTCACCTGGGACTGGGGCTCCCAGTGGATATCCCCCACTATACACGTCTCTACTCTGCAGGGGTAGCCCACTCCTCTGCCCCAGCCACCACTCTGGGCCTCCTCAGATTTTAGGGCTGAGGGGCTTGCCCTTCACGGCACGGTTGGAGAGGGGAGAAGAAGGGAAAACCCAGGAAATGTCCCTAGGGTTCATTTGAGGGCTTTTAGTATTAATTTCTCATTCACTGTCTAAAGAAGTTAAGGATACATAGTAGGGAATGGGGGTGGGAATTGTTCAAGAAAAACCTGGGAGAGAAGATGAAGTTTATTGCAGTTTTGTGTTTTCCCTTTGTTTTTCCCTAGCATTGGTTTAAAGGTACATTACAGTATATAGATGGTTTCGATATTTTGTTCCTTTTTTTATTAAATATTGTGTCTGTTATTCCTTGTGGTTATCAGTAAACATAGGGTTTAAATTTTTTCATAAACACAATACTAAGTGAAAAACTCAAGTCACAGAAGACTACCTTAGTATACAATTTTTTACTTAAAATCAAGCAGAACTCTGTGTAAACACAAACACAAAATCCAGGATAATAGTTATCTTGAGGGAATGACTTGAGAATGTGATAGGGAAGAAACACACAGAGCCCACCTAGAGCCCTTGCTGAAACACCTGAGCTTTCTTGGAAGATTTTTTTTTTTTTTTTTTTTTCTGATTTACCTTTTCATTTCTGGTGCCCCAGCTTCATGTCAGGGTCTCAGTTCCTCTCCCTACTTTATGTAGTCCCATGGGACTATGTCTTGTCCTGCCACAGTCACTGTATTCTAAACTCCTTTGTTACTGAGGTTGGCAAGCTGGACTTCAGAGCTTCGGTCCCAGCTGTAGCTTACTCCTCCTGTTTTCACCTCTATTTGGTTCCCTGGGAATTTCCCTTACTTTCTCTTGATCTCTTATAATGGTTTTGAGAGGATATTTGTAATAGTTTATCCAAACTTCCCTGGTGGTTTTTGCCATTAAACGTCAAATAACTCTTCTAATTTCATCTCTGAAATTGGTCTTTTCAGTTTTCCACTTCTACTTTGGTCAATTTTGGTCACCATATACTAAATGGAAACCATTTAGTACCTCTGTGTTTTCAAATCTGCTGTCACACACCTGCATGCTCTATTTATTGTCCTAGAATTCTATCAGTATGTATTATATCAGAGTTTATGTCTTATTTCTGGATAGTAATCTTGTCAATGTTTGCTTTTTTTGTGATCAGTCTTGCAAATGTTTTATCTATAGGTATTTTCAAAGTATAAGCTTTTTTACTTATTCTACTTACTACAATTTTTATTCCCTAGTTAATTAATTTTTACTTCATTCTTCTTAATTTTTTCCTAGTTTCTTCTGGTTTCTTTCATTGTTCTTTTTTAGATAATTTTTAGATGAGTACTTAGTTTCTTTCTTTCTTTCTTTTTTTTTCTGGTGGCTGTATAGAGAATAACTCTTGTGGGCCCAAGAGTGCAAACCAGGAGCCCAATAAGAGACTTAACTCTGGGCCGGGCATGGTGGCTCATGCCTGTAATCCCAGCACTTTGGGAGACCAAGGCAGGCAGATCACAAGGTCAAGAGATCGAGAGTTAACTCTGATCTTCTGACCTCAAGTCCAGGGATAATTTTACTGTCACACAAGTCAGGTGTGACTAAGCTTTTTATTTAATCTTTTCTTCATGAGACTGTAGAAACTTTACCTTTGCCTATTTTTGTGTGTGTGATAAAATATAAAATTTGCCATTGTAATGATTTTAAGTGTAAATTCAGTGACATTAATTACATTCACAATGTTAGGCAACCATCACCACTATCCATTTCCAACATTTTTCCATCACTCCAAACATAAACTCTTCTCATTAAGCAATAACTCCATTCCCCTATCCCCTACCCCTGGTAACCTTTCTGTGAATTTGCCAGTTCTAAGCAGTTCATATTCATGGAACCATACAACATTTGACCTTTTGTATCTGGCTTATTTCACTTAGCACATTTTCAAGGTTCATCTGTGTTGTAGTGTGTATCAGAACTTCATTCCTTTTTTATGACTGAATAATATTCCATTGTATGGATATATACCACATTTTGTTTATCCATTCCTCTGATGATGGGCACTTAGATTGTTTTCATTAATAGCCAATGGGCTATTGTGAATGATACTGCTATGAACATTTACATATAATAATCTATTTGTTTATCTGTTGTTTCAGTTCTCTTGGATGTATACATAGGAGTGGAATTTCTGAGTCATACAGTAATTCTATGCTTAACTTTTTGGGAAACTACCAAACTGTTTTCCATAGTGAAGGCACCATTTTACATTCCCACCAGCAATCTACAAGAGTTCTAGTTTTTCCATATCCCTGGCAACACTTGTTATTTTTTAAAAAATTATAGCCATCTTGGTAGCTGTTAAGTGGTGTCTCATTGTGGTTTTGATTTGTATTTCTCTAATGACTAATGATGTTGAGCATCTTTTCATATGCTTATTGTCTATTTTGTATCTTCTTTAAAGAAATGTCTATTCAAGTCCTTTGCCTATTTTTAAAACTGGGTTGTTTGTCTTTTCTTCATAGAGTCTGGATATTAAGCCCTTATCAGATAGATGGTTTGCAAGTATTTTCTCCCATTCTGTGGGTTGTCCTTTTACTCTTTTGACTGTATCTTTTGATGCAGACAGACTTTAATTTTTATTAAGTCCAGCTTATCCATTTTTTCTTTTGTTGCTTAGGCTTTTCATGTTGCCAAATGCAAAGTCATGAAGATTTGCTCCTGTGTTTTCTTCTATGAATTTTACAGTTTTATTTATTAAATTTAGGACTTTGATCCATTTCAAGTTAATTTTTGTATACGGTATGAGGTAAGTGCCCAACTTCATTCTTTTGCATGTGGATAGCCAGTTTTCCCAGCACCATTTGTTGAGGAGATGTTCTTTCTGCATTGAATGATCTTAGCACCCTTGTCAAAAATCAGTTGACCACACATGTGAGGGATTATTTCTGGGCTCTCAACTCTCTTCTGTTGGTCTATATGTCTGTCTTTATGCCAGTACCACACTGTTTTGACTACTGTAGCTTTGCAGTAAGTTTTGAAATGGGGAAGTGTGAGTCTTCCAATTTTGTTCTTCCATATATATATATATGGCACGTATATATATATGGCATATATATACATGCCATATGTATATATACACACACACACCATTGTGGGTTACTTGAAATTTCATAGGAATTTTAGGATCAGTTTTTCCATTTCTGCCCAAAACACCATTGAGATTTTGTTACAGAGTGCATTGAACCCTCATATTGCTTTAGGGAGTGTTGTCATCTTAGCAATTTTAAGTCTTCCAATCCATGAACACAGGCTGTCTTTCCACTTATGTCTTCTTTAATTTCTTTGAGCAGTGTTTTAGTTTTCAGTGTACAAGCCTTTCACTTTCTTAAAGTTATTTGTGGGCATTTTATTCTTTTGGATACTACTGTAAATGGAATAGTTTCCTTCATTTCCTTTTGAAATTGTTCATCGCTAATGGATAGAAATACAACTGATTTTCCTGTGTTGATTTTGTATCCTGCGACTTATGCAGATTTAGTTCTAACCAGTTTTTTGGTGCATTCTTTAGGGTTTTCTACATATAAATCATATCATCTGTGAATAAAGATAGTTTTGCTTCTTCCTTTCCGATTTGGATACCCTTTCTTTTTCTTACTCACTTGCTCTGGCAAAAATGTGTAGTACTGTGTTGTATAAAAGTAGCAGAAGAGGACATCCTTGTCTTGTTTTTGTTCTTAGGAGAAAAACTTTTAGTCTTTTCACCATTGAGTATGACATTAGCTCTGGCTTTTTCATACGTACTCTACATGTTGAGGAAGTTCCTTTTTTCTTAGGTTATTGAATGTTTTATATGCGAGGGTATGGGTTTTTGACAGTTTCTCTGGAATAAATGAAAAATGCTTAAGGGAAATATGAAATCCTATGACTATTTCATAAGATTATGCTAACTACCAGTACCACTACTTCCTTCCCCAGTACTACCATCACCATTGCACCCACACCTAAGAGACCTAAACTTTTTTTTTCCTCCGACTCTAAGGGTGGTTATTTTTCTGTTTTGAGGGATCTCATTCTCATGACATCTTTGTGTAAGAGTAAATGACTCACCCGGGGTGATGAAAATAAGTTTTAAACCAGATCTTCCATAGTCCACAACATGAAGTAGCCCAGATGTAGCTCAGCTTTCAGGAATGAACTTTTGGTGAAGTACTTTAAAAACAAAAGTCAAGTAAATATTAATGCTGCACTTACATTCTTCTAACTCTTTAAAAAGATTACTTAATTATAAACAAATTGTAACAACTTTAGTTTTCAGAACACACCTATAAGCTGTATTGTTTCAGGTGGACAATGGAGGTGTATCAAGATTACACATATACACTTGTATAAGATTAGCTTGAGTTCCCAGTTTATTTACTCAAGAATATAGAATCACATTGGAAATATGATGGCCACAAAGCAAGTGTAAATGAACCGTATATATCAGCACAGCTTCCCATGGTCCAGCGTCCTTGATGACAATGCCCAAAATACGGCACTGGATAAAAAGTGTGGAAATGAATTCCACACTACAGCTTTTTTATCCTTAGGGCTACATCAGTGCTCAAGAAAAACTTAATGTCTGCTCTTAATGCTTCCATTTAAGAGAATGTTTGGAGATATTAAGCTTCTTCTGGTTCTTGGACCAAACTCACTACAGTGAATCCACAACATCATCAAGCAGAAGAATCTGAATTAGTGCCTGGGTCTCTGATCCCAGCTTACAACATCACAGTGAGACCATTTCCTCCACACAAGCTACAGGGACCCAGCTTAACAAATGTATGCTTTTTCTTCTTGTCAGTGTCTAAAGGTAGAGCACTGAGGATCCACATAAGTTAGTGAAAATAAAGCCAAATCCTAATTGCTTAGCTTTAGATTCTATAGGTGACTAATCACTTGCTGTTGGATTATCCCATTAAAAGTCACACAGCACCAACTCCATTTCCTCCTTTTCCTAGACAGCCCTTCTGGAAAGCCTTAGAAAGGAGATGTTTCAGCAGAGTCAGACCATGTTGAATGCCAGAATAAACAACTCTGATTGTGTTGTGAACATAAGAGCTGTAAAGAGGCACTGACCTCAGCTGCTCCTTCAGTTCTTCTGCAGCCTCTACAGATGTGGAGAAATTGTGATGAGCTCTCAATCTCAGGGAACAGCTCCTAGAGTCCATCTCAGCCCCCGCATAGCTGCATCATTGACACAGCTGCCCCACCTCTGCTTAGGCAAAGCCTCTATGTGTCACTAATCAGCTTCACATAATTTAAAAGATTTTCTATCACTAGATCTCTTGACTTGCTGTGAAAAGAGAAAAGGCTGGACCTTAGGGAAAACTTCATACTGAAGTGATTTCAGATTTTTCAGAGATTTAAGATGATATGTAGAAACTTTAATCAGAAGATCCCTTAAACAGAAGAATAACTACCCTTAGAGTTGGGAGAAAACCAAGACTATATTGTTAAGTAGTTAACAATGTTAAATGTTACAGAGATCAAGTAACATAAGAAATCAACCAAGATACATTGGCCAGGTGCGGTGGCTCATGCCTGTAATTCCAGCACTTTGGGAGGCCGAGGTGGACAGATCACTTGAGGTCAGGAGTTCGAGACCAGCCTGGCCAACATGGTGAAACCCCGTCTCTACTAAAAGTACAAAAATTAGCCGGGCATGGTGGTGTGCACCTTAATCCCAGCTACTCAGGAGGCTGAGGCAGTAGAATCGCAGCCTGGGCAACAAAGTGAGACTCTGTCTCAAAAAAAAAAAGCAAAAGAAAAAGAAATCTACTAAGCCATATCATTTCAATAACTAAGATGCCATTGATACCTTTAGTAATAATTTCAGTGGCATAATTAGTAAAGGCAGATGTCAAACACTCCAAAGTCTTCATATTTGCCCAGATTTTCCCCTGCCTTAATTTTAAAAATAAATTTCAACTCCCGACTCCAATAGATCTTCACTGTCATTCTGAAAATGTTTCATTATCAAACATTTTGGTTATCTTGTATTTCCTATAGACAAGGCAAGTATTTTTAATCTGAAGATGCTGAGCCCCTTTAGAGTATAAGCAGAATAATGTTTTTGTACATATGTGCATTTTCTTTAAAGATGGTTCATAGCCTTCATCACATATTCAAAGAGGACCGTGGCTCTTCTTTAGATCTACAGTTTCAGAATTTAAGAAGCACCTTCCCTTTTGCCACTTTTTCAAATGATTTCTTTTGACAGTACCTATATAATAGGTAATTTCTGGTTTTCTTTGAATCTATATTTTCTAGATATCACCAGCTCAGTGTCATATGAAGGCCCTGAGTTGCATTTTACATAAGTCTTGTAAGTTCAGACTAAATAATGTATTGATTATTGCCTTTCTTGTTCTTACACTTTTATCAATCCTTGGCACTTTAATTAAAATCTTATCATAAGGAACAATTTCTCTTTTTCCTAGAAGTTTTCTTATTCTCTAAGAAATCATGAGGTGTTTGGATACCTGCCCTTATTTCAAAGCATGATCTTTTTCTTGAATTAGCATCTGTTTCGATAATTTAATTTTTTTGAAAGAGATATACTGTATATCCTTGTTTATTATACCAAGTCTGTCTCATGGGGATTTGTTTTTCAGAATAGCCACTTTTGTTTATGCCTTTCTTCTAGAAATAGTCTTGCCTACTAAACAGTATTGGTTTTCTTGGCAAAATCTATTCAAGATTAATTCTTTTCAGAATGCAAAATGGTGTTATTTATGTCAAACTGTGTTTTTAAAGTGAAAACTACAAAACCATTGCAATTAAACCTAGTGGAAATGTCCTTGACAAAGTGATTCTAAACTGAAAGAATAAAACTTAGGAAGATAGTTAAGGAAATTTCGAAGGTAAAGATTTAGGTGGCCAATTATTTAACAGTGTGACGGTGGTGGTGGTTATGGGCAAAATAACGTAAACAAATATTTATTTATTGGAAAGTGAATTGGTGCAACCTTCATGAAAGGCTGTTAGGTAATTCATATGGAAATCTTTTAAAATGTGCATTTCCATTGGCCCATCATTTCAACTTTTAAGAATTTTTATAAGAAAATAATTGTGTGTAGCCAGGTGCAGTGGCTCACTCCTGTAATCCCAGCACTTTGGGAGGCTGAGGCGGGCAGATCACAAGGTCAAGATATCAAGACCATCCTGGTCTACATGGTAAAAACCCATCTCTACTAAAAATACAAAAGTTAGCTGCGTGTGGTGATGCATGCCTGTAGTCCCAGCTACTCAGGAGGCTGAGACAGGAGAATGGCGTGAACCCGGGAGGCGGAGGTTGCAGTGAGCCAAGATCATGCCCCTGGACTCCAGTCTGGCAATGGAGCAAGACTCCGTCTCAAAAAAAAAAAAAAAGGAAAGAAAAGAAAATAAGTTTGTGTGTGTGTGTAAGGATTTAGCAAAAAGAGTGGTCATGCAGAAATTTTTTAAAAAGTTTAACAACAAAAAATTAGAAACAACCTAAATGTTTAACAAAGGGTTAAGTAAATAAAATTAAACATGATAGAAAGTTAAAATTATATTATAAAACCACAGTTTTGATAGAAAGTTCAGAGTTAATTGTTGAATGAAGCAAAACAACTTATTAAACTTTATACCATTTTTAGAAGATATATTACATAGAGAAAAAAATATAAATGTATGTACAGGTATTGGAATTATTAGTGATTTTTTTTTTAGAATTTTTGCTGTATGTATTTATTATACAATTTTAAACATCCAAGAAATATTTTTAAAGGAAGGCTCTAGGAGATCTAGAGTTCCAAAAGATACACATTCTCCTAGTCTTCTTTGTTTCTAAAGTAGTAATTTCTCTTTACAAAGCCATATTTAAAAGAGTAAATGTGACCTATTCATTTTTAGTCACATTTTTAGTTTCTGTAAAAGAAAGGCAATTATCTAAATGGGGGAGTACGGAGCCATATACATGAGAAAAACATTGCTAAAAATTAAGGTTTGGGTTTTTTTTTTTTTAATCAGAGGCCCATTAATGTTAAAGAGCTTCAGTGTAGCACAGTGAGTGAAGACACCTGCCATATGTCTGTTTTTCTGCACAACATGGTAATTTACAATTACAATTAGTGTGTTTATATACCTCTGTAGTTAACCCATATTTAGAACATAATGTAAGCCCAAATCATTTTCATGTTTCTGAATGTTCACTTTTCAATTTTAAAAAGCATTTGAAAATATCAAAATCCTGATTTTAACACAGTAGAATCTTCTTTGCTTGTCATTTTTGAAGAAACCAAATGAATATAAATGAGCTCTATGGATTTCTAAGTTGGAAGGCAAGGTCAGTTCCTGTGATTACATCCCCAGCCAGATGAAAGATGAACTGTCATGAACTGAATCCACCCCAATACCCAGTGAAATCCTTAAAACAAGTCATTAGCATGATCATGGCGACACCAGTGAACAGAAACATGACAGGAAGCTTTGGGAGAGGCTACATGGTTTATCGAAGGGGCTACCTCTAGAAAACAGTCTGTTAAGCTGCCACTGTGCCACCTCACTTTCCAGCTAGGAGCATAGCTATGAGGCAGAATTAGCTACTTCGGTCTTGAACCTTGGACTTAGGTTTTCTTCCTGCAGCTTCCAACAAAATGACAAAATACAAACTAGCTTCACTTTCTGCTATCAGCTCTTCTATTGCCAAAGACTGTGGTTGGAAAAGGAAACGATGGGGCCTTCCTGAGATTTCACTGCATTTAAAAATCAATATTCTTTTTTAAAACTGTGCAGCCTGAATGTCATTTCTTCTTCAAAGGAATAACTGTATTGCTTAACAAGTAGTCTTCCTTTTCCTTTCAGGATGTGTAATGTAGACCATCTTCTAGGACTAGGTTGAGTGGCCAGGACAGTGTATAAGATGCAATGGGTTGATTCATTATTTTAGAATGGATGATAATGTTCCTAGATCTGCTTTAAAAGTTTGAGTATTATTGATTGAGTAGTGGAAAATCTTAACATATACCTTTTTAATTGAAAGAGAATTTGTTTCAGCATGCCACGCTGTTAGTTTTCTAGGACTGCCAAACAAAGTACCACAGATTGGGTGGCTTGAACAACAGAAATTTATTTTCATGCAGTTCTGGAGGCTAAAAGTCTGAGATGAGTTTGTGGGCAGGGTTGGTTCCTTGTGAGGGTTTTGAGGGAAGGATCTGGCCCAGGTTTTTTTCCTTGGCTTGTAAATGGCTGTATTCTCGCTGTATCTTTACATTGTCTTCCTTCTGTATATGTATGTGTCCCTATTTCCTCTTTTTGTGAGTGATATTGCATTAGGACCTACCCTAATGACCTCATTTTAACCTAATTACCTCAGTAAAGATCCTATCTCCAAATACAGTCACATTCTAAGATACTGGAGCTTGGGACTTCAACACATAAATTTGGTGGGGGACACAATTCACCCAATAACACCTACTACCCCTACTGTAGAGGAAAAAATAGGTGATCAGGGATAGGTTTGGAAAGGCAGAGAGACTTTGTTGTTTCCTACAAAGGAGTTAAATAAGGTGGTATGATGGAAAGGAAAGAGTATTAGCCACAGAGTCAAATAGTCCCAGATCTGCATTCAAATAATACCACCATTCTAGGGTTATCTTCTCAGGAAAATTTTACAAAAAATAAAATTTCTTCTCTCCCAACCAATAACCTTCTGGGCTGAAGAATTACAGTAACTTCTTATTTATCTGTATTTTCGGAGCAGGACAATTGAACTCTCATCAGTAAAATGAGAGTCTCACTTAGGAAGAAAATTTTTATATTTTGATAGAGATATGATTCTTAAATTTCCCCAGAAAAGTTGATATGTGAACTTATTAAGAAAGCTGTGTCACTTTTCGCTAAGAATTGTCAGCCACTAAGTTTATCAAGCTAATGTACTGAACAGTCAGGTGACTTGCCTTTAATTTGTCATTGTGTTTATGAAAAGCAGAGCTAAAACAGAAGAGAACAAGTTTAGACAGTGACTGTTTTCTTAAACAGTTTTAATAATATTGCTAAATCCAAGTAGACTCTTAAGTTTTTTACATATATTTACTGTAAATATTTCTGTAATAATCAACCATTAAATAATACAGATATTATAAATGATCACCTCATTTCAAACATTTTTTTTTGGCACCAGTCTGCTTGCTAAATATGTATTACCTTTGACATTTAAACCAAAGAGAAGAGATGGGGGAAAAAAAAGACTCCCCATACAGGGATTTAGTGTGTTATTCTTTACTCCCCTGAAAAGCCAATCACTCCAACACCATAGGGAAAAAAGAACGTTTTGCTGCTTCTGTGTCACATCATTAAAGTAGTTAATCTGCAGCCATAAATTTTTGTCTTCTGGGCCAAGAAATTTTAAGTAAAATACTAACAAAAATGTAACACTTTAAATGAGAAGTGAAAGCATCTTTATCCTTTTTATTTGAGTTTCCAGAAATGGCATGCTCCATAAAAAATTGTATCATTTTTATTTTTAAACTGAGTTTCTTGCATTAGTCAGTAAACAATTTATTTAGTGAACATTCTCTGTGCACATATATACACCATGTGAACATTTAAGAAACAGAAGGTGCTTGAATTTGCGAGATTTAAATATTTTCTCACAGTTGATCCAGTGATACTACAGTTGAAATAAAACCATATATAAATGAAATACCACTTTCTACTAAAATGTAAGTGTAGATTTTTTAATTATTGTTTTAATGAGGACAACAACGATTCCATGTATTCAGTGGAACATCTTATAAATCTTTAGCATGTTTACTCTCATGTGCATTCTAAGACTCACCATAAAACTACCTATCCTAATTACAGATATGCATATTCATTTTATTACATTATCTAACTAGACATTTTATATTGCTAATTTTCCTGCAAATATTATTAACTTTTAAAACTATAAGCAATTGTTTGATTTCTCATTTATGTTGTTCTCCTAAAAACGTACATACACATATCAGTATACATATTTTAAGTATATTATTTGAAATATGGGCTATGTAGACCATATGTAATACTCCAGGACACAACAAGCAAAATGATGATACTCACCATAGCAATGTTTGGCCATTTCCCAGACATCCTTGCTGTGGTCCCAAACCAACTCCTGATTTTCCGCCAGGCTCTGCATCTTCATATTCATGTAAGCAGTAACATTGTACCTCTATACTTCATCCTCAGTGACCAAATATCTAATTAGCACCTGTTAAGGGCTAGGCACTAAAGATTCAGAATTAGACAAGAAGCACATAAGCTTGAGAGAGGAAAGAAGTGAGAAAATCAAGGATTACATCACCAAGCGGCCAGTGTTAGAGGAATGGGCAGAGGAACAACACAAAGAAAGGAGCAAAGAACTCAGTGGAAATATATGGAAACATTCTTAAGAACGGGGAACAACGTAAAGGATAACTAGGAGTGGAGCGAGGTGAGGAGAGAGAGAAAGACAGACAGAGAGCAAGAGAGACATGACCAAAAGTCAGGAAGGGGAGGAAAAGTGAAGGGAGTTTATTTTGACTGAAAATCTGGACTGTAATTTGTTACTGCAATAAAGAGTTAAATGTAGTGGTAAAAATACAGCCATAGCCAAAAAGTTATATAGTTCTCAGTATATAATTACTTGAGCCTTCCAAAATGCATGAGAAGAAATATTTTCTTAACATTAAAGATTAATATATCAGTCTTTCAAAAAGACATTGAACAACACAATAGATCATTTATTTAATTGTAGTACGTTTGTTAATGATGTTGTTGTTGTCATTCAAGACAAAAAATAATTCTTCCTGTGACTGGTTTTTATATTGACTTATGTCAAATAGCCTAAGTCATAATACTAAGTTCTAAGGTTCTAACGGCCTTTCTTCCAGGAACTAATGTAATTTAGTACTGGTGTAAAGCTTCTCGATGGTTTGCCTTGGCACCATGGATCAGCAAGTCCAGAGAAATTAATGGTTTAGCAGATCCACTGGCCTGTTCTTATCAAGAGTCAATTGTCTCCATCAGGCTTTTGATTTTAAAAAAAACTGTTAATCAGTTTCTTTAAGTTTATTATAATCTCATAAATAAACTACTGAAAAGTGTTGGAAATTGAAGAAACCACCAGACACAAGACAATCTCTTAAGTAAAAGCCTTCTTGCCTTCATTTGCAAAAACATGTATCTGATTAGAAACTCTGTTGATTATCATGGAACACAGTCAAACTGTTCTGTTCACAGCTCATTATATGAGAGAATGCCTAGCACGATACTGGAGATGAAATAGATATCAATACATTTTTATATCAAACAATTGACTTAAGATAATTCTTCTGCATTTTATTCTCATATGAAATTAAAATGATTGATATACTCCTGGTCAGAATCATTCTGAAAACAACAACAAAAAAAAACCAACCACCTTTGTAAGAATTATTGAAAACTATTTAGGCATAAAGAACAATGCAGTTCTTAATTATACTTTTTTGTGAAATGAGAAAACCGTATATATATATCTTTAGTAATTATTAAGTCCGCTGTTGCTTCCATCTGTGAATACTGAAATCCTTAATGTATATATTGATCCTTATAAAACTTTCTAAAATGAGAGTCCAGTTTCTAAAATGAGTCCATATAAAACTGCAGAATTCTGAAAAGATTCATTTTTCCCCCAAGTCATGCAGACTCACTGGTGTCAGTGGCTATGAATAAACACATGAGTCCTGACACCATACTTTGTTTTTAAATACAAGTGACACTTTTTAGCATAAATTGTTTCAGCAGGTGAATTTTTTTGCAGATAGGCCAAAAATCTATTAGAACCCAGCACTGATAGATCTATTTCTTAAGAATATCTCTTACTTCTGATAATCCCCAAAGTGTATATAATGAAACATGTTAGGTGAATAATTTTGAGAGGTCTGCTCAAGGTAGTGGACTCATGTTTAGTGCATTCCACTGGGCAATTGCCTTTTCAGACCCTTACCATCTACAGAGAAGAGCCAGAAGGTATATACCCTCATAGCTTAAGGTTCCTAAAAGTTAAATATGTTGGAATTTAATAAGAATATTTAGAAAATGGAAGTTAAGTAATTATTCTGAGAACACTGAGGGTTTTTGAGTTATTTGTAACTCAACTTCAGGTAGAATATAGCTCATCCAAATCATAATGCCAGATGAGTTGTTTTCCAACCAGCTCTTAAAATGGTTTACATGTTGTAGTTTAAATATTATATTTTAAAAGGGTTAGTAAATGCTTTTCCAGAATGAATTTTCACATTGTCTTCTGTAAAAGCATGTACTAACCCTGTTATTGTCCAATGCTTCTGCTCTCTTACCCAAGAGAGATAGCTATACCTAGTTTTCAGTTGTTTATGAATACATTGTTTATTTGGGAAATTATCCACAAAAAAACCATAATCTTAGACTAGCTTTTCCTTGTTTCCTGGTATATTTTCTATGCCACTTTTTCCCACTACCAAACTAGTATCTTCTCAGCAAATGCAAACTACTTTTAATTATGCCAGGAAAAACATAATCAGGAGAATAAACTCCCTCTCTCCCACTACCCCTCCTTCCATCATTATTATAAAGTATTAGAAAACTGAATATGAATAACTTTGGATTGCCTACCACTTTTAGTGATCTACAGCATTTACATGGATAATCTAGAAACTTCTTGCCCTTAAACACATATTAGCATTTTAAAATGCCACTATTATAATTTACTGTATAGTAATTTTACATATTCAAATATGTAGACATGAATTCAAACATGAATACATGAATATCAAGCTCATGTTTTAGAGCACTGAAAAAGAAGCTGAATATAATCTACTCATTTCAGTTACTGTACTCTAGTACAGACTCTTCATTTTAAGTTACGTAACCCCAATTCAAGCTTCTTACCAAAAAAGAAAAAGTATTGATTCATGTAAACTGAAAACCCCAGATGTAGATCTACTTCTGGGATCAGTAGATCCTGGGACTCAAACTCTGTCATCCAAACTCCTTCCATCTCTCTTTGTACTTTTCTTTGCCTGTTGGCCTCATTCTTTCTTTCTCACAGAAAGGGCTTTTTCAAACAAACAGGCAGAGTACCTACAGGCAGTCGCAGCAACTTCTATTCAGCATAATCCTAGAGAAACAGCCTTCTCTCTGCCCTAGCATCTAATTATCACTGAAGCCAAAGAGGTCACATATTAGGGCAGGCTGTGATTGGCCAGCCTGAGCCAGTACCCATATCTATGAGGGGGTTGGGGGTAGGGCATGGTATTATAGTTGACAGCCCAGTGAAGACTATATGGAGTTGAAGAGAAATGCTTCCCCAGAGAAGAGTTTTGAATATGTCCACCATCGTCCTTGTGTCAATTTTTCCAGTTTCTTGAAAAATTTAATATACAGGCCACAATTAGATCTCAGGTTTCTGATACAGAGAAAAGAGAAAGTGTAGGATATTGCACATAGGAAGATCCAATATTATAAACACTAGAACTGATCCATCACTTGACTGATGTTCGAATCTATGATTCTGAAATAGACCTCAATGTTAGCACAGTGCCCCAAGTCATTTTTGCTGTATCAACCAATTACCACATAAAGCCTGAGGCCTGCTATGTGGAGGGCCTTCTTGCAGTACTGTTCATTTCATTCAGAACCTGTAATCTCTGACATGAGCCCCCTTATCCACCTACCTATATCCTAAGATAGCTTACTGGCATTGGTACCACAGACCAGGAGGACATGTAAGCATACGGAGACTTAGTCTGTTAGTTCTTCATATTAATCCTATTTTATCTTCTGGTACAACCAATTTAATCTTTTTAAGGGAGAGCTGCTAATATTTTGGGGTTATTCTTACCAGTATTTAATTTCTGTCTTGATCATACTTTCATTTGGTATCTATCTTTTTAACAAGTAACAGTAGATTGTAATAATCTGTTTTATAGAAATTCTTTGGGATTAGCAAGGTCCTTGCATTTGTCATCTCATTTGTTCCTAAGCTTCAGGCAAAGGAATCCCTAAAATCTCATTGATAAACATGTTTTATTTTGAAATTGCAGTGAAAAATAAATATCCAGAACCTAGATTGTTATGCATAAATTATGTTTATATCTAATTAAATTCTTACAATGCTCTTGTTTTTGTTCTTTTCCGCAGTTCTGATTTTCTGTTTTTCATTTCTGAAATAACTTTGTTGCTTATGATTTTCTTGTAGTCTGCCTTAAATCCCTAGTGGAAAGAGATAGGGGTATTAATTCGTCCATAAATTAGTCAAGCAAACTAAAATCACTATACCAGCTACTGTTCTTCCTCTTATATCCTCAGAGAAGGTAGAAAATATACGGTTAATGTTCTTTCAGTGCTTTATGTAGAGCAAACTTATTTAATACAGTAGTTCCCCCCTTATTTGCAGTTTTGCTTTCCACAGGTTCAGTTACTTACAGTCAATCATGGCCAAAAAATATTAAATGGAAAATTCCAGAAATAAACAATTCTTAAGTTTTAAGTTGTGCATCATTCTAAGTAGTATGATGAACTCTTACGCTATCCTACTCTGTCCCTCATGGAACATTAATCATCCCTTTGTCCAGCATATTCACTCCATATATGCCAACCTCCCATTAGTCACTTAATAGCTGTCTCAGTTATTGTATCAGCTGTGGCAGTATCATAGTGTTTGTGTTCACATAATCCTTATTTTACTTAATAATGACCCCAAAGGGCAAGAGTAGTGATGATGGCATATTGTGATAATTGTTCTATCTTATTATTACTTACTGTTGTTCATCTCTTACTCTGCCTGATTTATAAATTAAACTTTATCATAGGTATGTATGCATAAAACAAAACACTGTATATGTAGGGTTTGGTACTATCCATGATTTCAGGCATCCACTGGGGGATAAGGGAGGATTACTGTATCACCTAGTGACTATATTTCAAAATTAGCTTGCTCTCACAAAAACAGTTTCATCATTTGATATATTGATAGAAAAGTCAATTTATCATAAAATATTTTATTTCATTAATTACAAGACATAATTTTAACTAGCTAAAGTTTGAATACATCTTGCAATAAGTGATAAGAAAGCATCATGCCATAGCTTAATTGGCAATGTTTTTCTTTTGAAATGATATAAAAAGCAATGATGAATCTTATAATCAATGGTGTCTTGGATGTGATGACACGTGATACTATAATTGACTGTTACAGGACTTTGTTTCCCCCAAAGAGTTCATTTAAGTCAAGTATCTGTTGGCGGACGTCTTTTGAGAAGACTAGGCTTGGTTTAAAGATTCCCTTTTGTAAAATGAAGTTTCTTTTGGTAATGTTAATTGCTCCCTACTGTGTCTATTTTGCATCATCAGATTTTTGTTAATATATTTCTTAACTCGGAGCACCCTTAGGTTAACAACTCCATTCACCGATCATTTTTACTCTTCTTTTTGCATGAAAAAAAAAAGTGTCAGTGTCATTTAGAAATTAGTAATTTATTTTTAAGATTTAGAAGAAATCTTATGTTTCATTCAAAGCAAAAACAGTCTGATATTAAGAACCTGCAATTCTTATACGTGAAGCTATTTACATTAATCTCAATAATTCAGTTATGACTCTTGCTCTAAATCTCTGTGGTATGTTTCTACTCTGATTTAGTGCCTTGTTTAAAGATTAATGTTACAGAGTAATTTACAGCAGCTTCACAGATGGTATTTGAATCTTTGTAAATGGGCTTTGGAATCCTAGGCACAACTCCATGGAATCTTAGGTTAACATCAATGTAAATGTTGAACTTAAAACAGCTCTAAAAGGTCGTGATAGAAATTTCATTATCCCTTTTTAAAAACCATAAATTTTGACGGGATTTCATGGGCCAAGTATTTTTACTTCACTAGCATCGATAAGGTATAACTAGCTCCTTGTATATGACATCACCAGCCACTGTTTGTTGAAAATAAATATTAAAAAATAAAACAAATTACCTTGTTTTAAACCATTCTAAAGTTCTAGTTACAGAAGTTACTGTTCTTATTTTTACAGCTTCCTTTATGAAATGCTTTATAGAATCCACAAACACACATTGCTTTTAGTGTCTTAGCTTTGATGTCTATAAAAGACCCATTCAAAACTGGAGGTAGGTGCTCCTCATGTGCACAACAGAATTTGGCTGAAGTTATTTGAAGCTATTAGAGATAACCTTTCTCTACATGTCTTTTGGGAGAAAAACTGGTGCCAACAATACCAGTTAAGCTGTAATTAGTGTAACTAACAACTAATATGAAAGAGCAGACTAGAGGTCAGTCTTAAGAATTTAAAGGTATTAACAGGTTAAGGTTGTAGGGCATCCTATCCCCCAGCTTAATCTGTTGCCTTAGCTGGTGAGATTTGTTGAAGTCATCAGTGCCCTCTAACCTTGAGGTGTTGCTCTCTCATAATTTGTTGGTCACATGCCAAGTTCCTCCTTCCTGTCTACTGAGATGACTTTGGGAATGGCAAATTCATTTGAAAGCTCTTGTCACAAATGACTACAGATTTTTAACCTCTAAATGTAAATGAAAGATTATGGTTTAATTTGCTTTAATATTCTTGTCCTACCAGCCTTAGACTACATTGAAATTGTCATTTTACTGCATTATAGAATATGATTTGTTGAGAACATTTAACATGTATTGTAAGAGGAACGCTTAAAATCTAACTATTAAATCAGATGTTGTGTAACTGATTGTTATACATGCTGAATATTCCAGTTTTTATGGGCTACTTCTTCAAATTTAATTGCCCACCGGTGGCTTTTGTTTATGTTTACAGTCAATTCTAATGCAGTTAAAGGATAAGAATGTAACAGAGGAATAACCTCTCGCTTCCATGAGGTGTAGTTAACCCCTTTCTTCTAGTATCTGGCTTTGGCTTCCTTCTCTTATGTGATACCAACACATAAACAAGAGGAATGCCCCAGAACTTTAATCACTCTTTTTCTTTTCCCATTAAAGTAATATATGTAATGTTGTTCCTGTAGTTAGTTTCTACCTAGAAAAGCTAGAAAGCTTTTTTTCTTTTAAAGCAACAGGCAGCAAGATAGCACTATTGAGAAAAAGTCAAAAGGAAACTTTTTCCCTTTCAGCTTTTTATTTTGCAGTCTTAATCTCAGGCTGTCATTATTATGATATACGTTATAGATTTTTTTAAAGTACACATTATTTACTGTGCATAAAGTAAGTTGGAGTAGGTCCCATAACTAAACAAAGTTTTAAGATGAGAAGGATCAAACCACACAACCCCAAAGAAAAGAATATTTTAAATTCAGATTATCTAGGTCACTGAACACACATTAAGGACACATTTAAATACTTTAAGAGCACAGACTTTAAATCCATAGTTCTTATTTAAGTACCCAAAGAAATAATAAAGATGTATTCTTCCCATGAATCCTCCGCCTTCATGTTTTATACACACACCACTGGTGGCTCATAGGTAAACTGTTTTTTATTTTAATAGTTATTTGTTTATTCTAATATGTATTAGAATAACACAAAACCCATGTAGTGGATGTTATTGTTTGGGACTAGGCAAATAGAGAAAGTGAGTTGAGGTGAAGGAAATGCTAGGTATTTTAGTAGTGCTGGTAGTTTCTGCATATAGCAAAATACATAAAAGTGTTACACAAATTAATAGGGAAACAATGCTCTATTGAAACATGAAATTCCTATAATTTTTCTTCTATCCAAGAAGTCATAAGATGCTCTTATCCCTTCATTTCTCCATATTATCTATTTATTGTGGTTTATTTAATTCATGTGTATACTTGGCAGTTTGATCTCTTGTTTCCAGAACAGGCCATCTTCTTTGGACTTTGGTCTTGGATTAGATGATGTCTAAGGCTCCTTCCTGTGAATTTTTAACTTCCTGCAGCAAGATTACTAGTCCTCAGCTAATAAGTTCCTCAACGTTGGGAAACACAGCTATATAATTTGATCTCAGCAATACCTAGCATGATAACAAACCCAAATAATTATTCATGTGTATCCTTATTGATTGATTCACATGTTCTAATAACACATGTTCCTACATGTGCATGTACTTGCCTCAAACTAACAAATATGGTAATTAGTGCATCAATAATTTAAAAACTTTTTTAAAAAAAGAGCAGACTAATGCTACACTTAAAGTTCACACAGACACCAATCTTTTTTCATGCTAGGATTTCCTGAGCAATGACACCAAGCACAGTATTAGAAAGCCTTATTTTTTTGCCCCTTCCATACTATCTTACGATTAACTATGAGAGTAAGACATCAAAGCTGAACTGACTTCAAAGCCTGTAACACTTATGGTTTCCAGCTATTACTGTAACCAGCCGCTTCACCCTGACAGCAATTCATCTTACAGAGCTGCCTCGCTAGGTTCCACCCCTCTGCTTCCTGCCTTCCCCCTTTACAAACCTATCAAATTAAAAACTACCCTTTCAATGAAACTTAAACCAGTTGAGAGAATTAGCCTGTTTCCTTAATCTTAAGATTATACTATTAAAGTAAACTATATTATTCATTTATTCAGTTTTTTCAAAATTGTGCCTTTCACAACAAGGCTTTGGGGTATGTTGACATTAAATATAATGTTTTTCATCCATTTTATTTCAGAAGCAGAATATACACATGAAGGTGGGTATACACCTACCAGTTTAGTTAGGCATCACACAATGAAAAAGAAAACAGTGAGTCTGGCACTTATTTGACTTTTAACAAAGTAAAAAGTAGGAAAACCAAAACACAGATTGCTCATCATAAATGCCTGAAATATAATTACTTTTTAAGCAAGAGAAATAAAGTCTCATGGGTATATAGTTTTCTCACTCTGTTAAAGTTAATATATTAGCATTCGAGCTTGTCTTAGACTTTTAACCAACTCACTACCTTATCACAAGTTACTAACATCTTATGCAGACCAGTTTCTTGGAAAACTATAGAGCTAGTATCAGTTGAAGATTTTCATTTTTTCTCTTAATGGTCCAGTTGAAATTTTTATATTATTGAATTATTTGGCACAGTTGGTGGTAAATGTTCAGTACCACTGGGGGAAAGCATCTCTTGAGACTGAATAAATAGCATCCAGATCTTAAAGATATGACACCGAAAGAACTCAGAGAAGATTTAATGATTTAGCTGATCTTAACCCTGAACTATAGATTAGGTTCTAAATAGACATTATGACAAAGGCTTTGATTGTGGATTATGGAAACTAAAGAGGCCCAATATAATGATTGAATTGTTTTAAGAAATGGAATGGGCTGCATTGTAAACTGGCAAGCTTTCCGTCTTTTGAAGCAGTCAAATGAAGGCTTAATAACCACTTTTCAAGAATTTGATAGAGGGAATTTTTACATTGGATAGATTAGAATAAAGCGTCTTTAATATCTACTTCAATTCTAGGGTTCTATGTTTCTAAAATTAAAGGATATGAGGAAACAGAATTGAAGATTAAGCGATAGCTGTTGACTGCAGTCCAGTAATTAGATGGGTTTTACAAAGAATTCATAAACGGGTATCCTGACAGGATTTGAAAAGGAAACGGCATGACGGCCTGAGCAGATAAGGGAAAACAGCAAAAATGATGCACATCTCTTTTGGTGCTGAAGACTGGAAGAGGAGGAACCTACTCCAAAGTGCTTAGAAAAGTAAGCATAAGGAAAATGAGAAAAGAAGCTCAACAAATTTTCGGAGTGCTGAAATAGAAACCAAAGGATTTTCTATCTGTATTACTTAAAGGAAGGGAACCAAACAGATAGGAAACATGAGATGCTAAAATTTTAGGTTTTGGAGATAGATAGTAGATGGATATTTGGAAATGTTCATTTTGACTTAATAAGCAGTTTCTGCAAGGAAATAATGTGATCACAGCAGCTTGTAAGCATAAGAGCCTAGCACACATGTTTTAACAGGCAGATAAGAAAGGGAGAATCAGAGAATCATCACCTTGAGATGTGGTGAAAAAGTGCATGGAAGATATAATAGTAAAAATAGAAGGAATATGCTGGCTGGAAGTGGTAGAAATGTTATCTGTGGCAAATTTAATTGATTGTTCTCCCCAGTTCTGTTTTGAGGAGCATAATAATTGCAGAGGACTAAAAAAGCACATGGTGAGTGCAAAAAGATGAGAATGACTAACCTATATGTGGCTTCGGGCCAGTTGAACGTCTCTGGATCTGTAATCTTTTAAATATTAGATGGTTAGGTAGATGATTTCTATACTTTCCAGCTCTAAGATTCTTTTCTAATGCTTTAATTCAGACAGAATTAAATAAGCACCCTATAGCCTAGGAGCTCAAACAGATCAAATGTTTCAGCTTGTAACAGCTGGTTTATTTTGGCCTACAGACAACAGCCATGGTAGAAAACTCAGGATAATTTTATGAAGGTTTTGACATTTTAAGGAATATAAAAGTTATGGAGAAATCTCCTGTGTGGGCAGGCAAGAAGTGAGGATATCCAGTGATGCTGCAAAAATGAAGGAGTGCTAGAAAAAGTTAAGATGAGCTCCACCCATTGAGTTTAAAGAAATGATAGGATGTCTACAGAAGACATCCAAGAGAGAGCTGTCAGTGTTGCCTAAAGAATGGAAATCAGGCATCTGCATCAGGAGTGAATCAGTAGGTTTGATTTATTGGCAGTAAAGTGATAGGGAAATCTCATTAATAGATGGTTTCCAGTGAAATAGAAAGAGGTACTACCAAAGAACCTTTAGAGAGATGAGAAAAAAGCTAGGAAACATTAAATAAATAAAGGTAGAAAAATAATCTGAATCACTCTTTAGCCAAAAATCAGTAACATGTTAAGGTATGACTTCTCATTAGGAAGCCACTCCTTAGAAGTAAAATGGACAGACGTTGTTGTTGTTGTTGTTGTTACAATTAGACATTTTTCAGAAGTGATAAGTCTTTCATTTCCTGGGAACAAATTATATATTAGGGCCTTACAAGTAACTGGGGATTATGTATGACTGTTAATGTAGTTGCAGACATTAAAGAGTCTACTTTAACATACATTACATTATGATTTGTATGCCTTGATATATTTTTTCTCCACGTTCTGTTATTCTGAGTTTTGGATACAAAAAACTTCCTATCACTATTCTGAGCCATACTTTTTTTTTTGCTGAGACGGAGTCTCGCTCCATTGCCCAGGCTGGAGCAGTGGCACAATCTCGGCTCACTGCAAACTCTGCCTCCCGGGTTCACGCCATTCTCCTGCCTCAGCCTCCCGAGTAGCTGGGACTACAGGCACCCGCCAACACACCTGGCTAATTTTGTTTTGTATTTTTGGTAGGGGTTTCACCATGTTAGCGAGGATGGTCTCGATCTCTTGACCTCGTGATCTGCCCACCTCGGCCTCCCAAAGTGCTGGGATTACAGGTGTGAGCCACCGCGCCCAGCCGAGTCATACTCTATTTTGAAATAAGAATATTGGCCAGGCGGGGTGGTTCACTCCTGTCCCAGCACTTGGGAAGCTGAGGTGGGTGGATCGCGAGGTCAGGAGTTCGAGACCAGCCTGACCAACATGGTGAAACCCCGTCTCTACTAAAAATACAAAACTTAGCCGGGCATGGTGGTGCGCACCTGTAATCCCAGCTACTCAGGAGGCTGAGGCAGGAGAATCGCTTGAATCCGGGAGGTGGAGGTTGCAGTTAGCCAAGATCATGCCACTGCACTCCAGCCTGTGTGACAGAGCGAGACTCCGTCTCAAAAAAAAAAAAAAAAAGAATATGAATTATACAGAAATAATCATTTATAGCAACATTAATATCAGGAATTTATGCCTATTCTTTTTTAAATGCTGCCTTAATCTACGAGTGAAATTCGTCTTATAAATGACATATTAATAGAAAGTTAGGAACAAGTGCAGTTCTCTGAGTATGTTTTATATCACGGTTTATACCTTCAGTACTCATCAGTAACATACTTTTTTCAGCTGTCATTAATCCATTTACCTCTGGTTATTAGAATGAAGAGAAATTACCAAAGAATTTTTCACAAGTGTAAATAAATTCCTCTGCGTATGTGTATTGTTGCACTTTTCTCTTTTCTATGTATATGGCCCTTTTAAAGATTCCAAAGCCAACTCTTCCTTTACTTTAAAAAAAAAAAAAAAAAAAAGCAACTGTGGTAACAGTTCTGAATAGTTTGGCTGAACTCCAACTTTCTGGTTGTTTTGCCACACACAGTTCCACAGCGCTGAGTTGAGAAGGCAGAAGTGGCACCGCTTGGTGCTGACCTATTGGTCATGACCACTCCTACCTCATTCTCAGCATTTTCATCCTAATCTACTTCCACACATAATGTACTTCTGCAGCAGTAAAAGACGATGTAAAATCTAGAATCAATTAACCAATGCAGTAGCTCAGGATCCACTGGGATTTTTTTCTTTGTGTTATACTTTAAAGCATTTGCTCAATAGATACCATCTCATCATATATTTCACATATGAAAAGAGAAATTAGAAAAAAAGTCTCCAAAACCTAAATTAAATATGTATATCAAAGTATTATCATAAATAGTATACATTCTTTGATCTAAAGAATATACAGTAGTACTTCATCCTTCATCAAGAAAAAAAAATATGCCTCTGAATGGCTGATTATACTATGCACATTGAATCAGAATGTCAGAATCTTCTAAATAAATTGTTATTATGGAATAAGGCAGAACTTCAACTCTGAATTTATATAATTCATTCCATTGTAGATTTTTTTTCAATTGAAGAATACATTTCTCAGCCATAAATTGTACTGAGTATGAACAGCAGAGTCATTTGAGGTTGATTGAAAATATAGGAGAACATCATGTTTCCTGTCCTTTTGTTAAACTTGGCATATTGATTTTTTTTTTTTTTTTTTTTTTTTTGCACAGCTTATAGTACAGAAATGTGATATACAGCTATGGCAAGACAAACTAACCACATGTGAATTTGTTAAGTACTGCTGGTTTAGCAGAAATTGTCTGACTGTGCAAATAGCAAGATTTGACTTTTCCAGGAACTCTTTATGACTTAATCAATTAAAATAACAAGTTTTGATTTTATTGCTCAGAATAAATCATTAGCAAAACTCATTTTCTCTTGATCACTCATTTGTAGGATGTTTACATTCATTTTGCTTCTGTATTTCAAGCAAAGTAATAAATATGTAGAACTTGAACCAAAAGTTCAAAGTCAAATACAGGAAGATAAAGATGTAATAAATGTTATCTCTTAATAGTAGTTTATAAATTTTGCTGAGAAGAATATTCTAGATTTTTATTTAAATTTGCCATTGCTATTCTTTCTTATTCTCTTTAGTGTTCATGATTTTGTTCTCTTTAGACTCAAAGGTAGCAAGATTTATACGTGGCTAATACATCTTTCTGCATTTAAATATAGAATCTTGTAGAGGGTCTCTGAAGTAGGACTAGTTTGCTCTTCTCTTCACCTTATTAAACCTCCTTCGTAAATACATCTATTATATAGTTTACCTTGCCCAGCTTCAAAGAGTAGAGATGGAGAAATGATGAGCTATCACTCAGCAGAGAGGGTTCCCATGGTTTCTTAGAAATGCTAATGTGTTACCTATCATGTTTATAAAGTTCTCTGAAGCAGATAAGCCATTGTGTGGTTTTCTGCAAAACAAAACTGACAGTCTGTCTAAAGCTAGGAAGTGTCCATAATATTGTGTACATGTGATAATGTTGTCACCTGCCTTTTGTGAAAATACTTCCTTTAAAAAATCTGTCTCTAAATGTAAATTTCTTTTCTAACAAGCATTTTTTTTTCAAAATTTTCTCTACATGTTCTCATTTCTTTTAAAGAAGTGGACATCTTAGGAAATTGCGTGCCAAATTTATTAGGAACAAGTCTTTCAAAATTATCTGGTAAAAGCAAAAAGCATGAGTTGTTTCCCTAATAAAAAAAAAAAAAAAGGCGGGGGAAAGGATCAGTGCAAAGAAGAAAGTGCCACTGGTTTGTGTTAGGTGACACTGTGCCCTGCTTGTCTAATTTGATTACACAGAGCCCCTGAAGCCTCAGGCAAAGCTGATTTTAGCTATAATCAGCTTCTTAACCTTTTGAGAACTAACGTAAACACTACCTACCAGTGGTTAATTATGGTGCTCTGCTGCACACTACAAAGTGCAAAGGTAAAAGTGTAGAACTGCAGTAACACATGTTATGACAAAATTTAACAAGATGACTTAAGGGGACTGCATCAGAATGCAGTTGTGTATTTGTAATAAATTTTAAATTAATAAAGAGTCTTAAAGGTGCTTTAAAAAAATTTAGCTATAGTTTTTGCTTAAGTTCTATCCGTAAGTGCTAAATACTCACGTACTACTTTTTCCTGTTTGCTGTCCTCACGTTTGTACTTTTCTCTGAAATCCTCTTTTGATTATATATACATTTTAGAAAAAAAGTGTATTTGTAGATTTTTTTCACAAAAGTAGTTGTAATGTACATATAAGTAGAGTACAATCCTCTTGTTTCACTTTTATAGATAGTAAAAGTTAATTAAGGGAGGAATGGAATTTCTTTATAATTAAATGGAATATTGTGGATATATAGGCAAGAACCTAAATTTTTTATGTAAAACAGGAATTCTTGATGCAGGGATCTGATGTGCCATATGGGAAATTAATATGTAAGATGATTTTACTGTCTATAGTTGGTGTAACTCCGGTGCAGTGATATGACTAATGGGGTAAAGAACCATAAAGATTGAATAATGTACTTATCAAGACTAGATCTTCAAAGTCATATTTATTGGGAAAGCTCCAATAGGAATATTCTCCTGTGTAAGAGTTGCAGGTGACCAGGAGACTATGTGGAGCCATAAGCCATAGCCCTTATTGGTGGGTCTCAGTACCAGCAATTTTACCTGAAATTTCATGCCTTGTAAAAATTCTGAAGGGTAGAATCTTAATGCACTCCAGTGACACACATTAGAAACAATCACCCTGTGTGGAATTAACTTAAAATGAGGGGAAGGAGAAGGTTCAAACTAAAAATCATCTATAATTTTTTTTAATCTAAGATCACTTTCTAATAAGTAATGTGAATATGTGATTATGCAGTGTAGTTCATCTGCGCTTACAGTGAGCTTAAAAATTGCATGTAAAGAAATGGATTTGTAGAAGGGAGGCTTTCAGAGTTTCTGAAGTGTTGGGAAGCATATTTGCACCTGGCAGCACCACCAGTCCATTTGGCCAAACTTGGTCATGTGGTGAATAAAGCTGACCTTGTTAATAAATAATTTAAACTCATTAACATAAATGCCACCTAAAAGGAGTTCAGATGCATTTAGTAGCCACATATAATACTATGGGATAAATGAAGCCAGACATCAAATAACTGGACATCTTTGGCCCTTGCAGAAATGTTTTAACGAATTGTATTTCTGTTTTGTAATCAGCTTGTTAAAAGAAAATGATATGAAACTGCATGTTACAGATGTTACAGATACCTTTTAGACAAAGTGCTTTTTATTTTTTGGCACATATTACAAAAAAATATATTTTTCCAGCATCCTAGTATAGTTGCAGGGAACTACTAAAGGCTGGAGGCCACAGGCACAGGGCTTTAGCTGCCCCTAGTCCTATTGGCCCCTGAGGGCTGAGGATCACTATCTCCTCACCCCTGTAAACCATTCAGGGCTCACCATGGGGAGAGGGCTGCTATTTTAAAGGGAGTAGTTCCCTATATTTCATGAGGTCCTCTCTTAGGAGGACCCACAGGAGAAATCTTCCCTAGAATTCAGTGCTTCACCAGTTCACCAGTTGTTTCTTTTTATCTTATGGACAATGAAAATTTTATAGTATGTTTTTACAGTGAGAGTGTAGATATCTCCTCAATATACTGACTGCCTTTCTTTGGGGCATATACCTAGCAGTGGGATTGCTAGATCATATGGTAGCTCTATTTTTAGTTTTTTGGGAACCTCCACAGTGGTAGTGTTATTTTACATTCCCACCAACAATGTACAAGGGTGTCCCTTTCTCCACATCCTTGTCAAAATTCATTATTGTCTGTCTTTTGGATATGAGCCATTTTAACTGGAGTAAGATATCTCATTGTAGTTTTGATTTGCATTTATCTGATGATTAGTGATATTGAACTTTTTTTTATGTACCTCTTGGCCATCTGTATGTCTTCTTTTGTGAAATGTCTATTCAGATCTTTTGTACATTTTTAAATCGGATTATTAGATTTTTTTTTTCCTAATGAGTTGTTTGAGCTCCTTATATGTTCTGTTTATTAATCTCTTGTCAGATGGGCAGTTTGCAGATATTTTCTCCCATTCTGGGGATTGTCACTTTGTTGATTGTTTCCTTATCTGTGCAATGTCTTTTAAACTTGATCTGACACCATTTGTCCATTTTTGCTTTGATTGCCTGAATTTTTGAGCTATTACTCAAGAAATCTTTTCCCTGTCAAATGTCCCGGAGACTTTCCCCAATGTTTTCTTTTTGTAGGCTCATAGTTTTGGCTCTTAGATTTAAATCTTTAATCCATTTTGATTTGATTTTTGTATATGGTGACAGATAGGGGTCTAGTATCATTCTTCTGCATATGGATTTCCAGTTTTCCCAGCACCATTTATTGAGGAGACTGTCCTTTCCCCAGTGTATGTTCTTGGCACCTTTGTTGAAAATGAGTTCAATGTAGATGTATGGGTTTATTTCTGGGTTCTCTATTCTGTTCCATTGGTCTATGTGTCTGTTTTTATGCCAGTACCATGTTGTTTTGGTTACTATAGCTCTGTAGTATAATTTGAAGTCAGGTAATGTGATCCCTTCAGTTTGGTTCTTTCTGCTAGGGATGGCTTTGGCTATTCCATGTCTTTTGTGGTTCAATATAAATTTTAAGATTATTTCCTCTATTTCTTGAGTGGAATTCTTTTCTTATTTCAATTTTGAATTGTTTATTGCTAGTTTGAGAATTAAAATTGATTTTTGCATATTGATTCTGTATTTGTGACCTAGCTAAAACTTGTTTTAGATTTTTTTAATAGAATCTTTAGGATTTTCTACATACAGGACCATAACATCTATGACTAAAACCGTGTACATCTTCCTTCTTAATATATATGCCATTAAGTTCTTTTCTTGCCTTACTGTACTGGCTGCAACCTCATGTACAATGTTGAACAGGAATAATGAGAGCAACTGTAGATTCTGATTCATTTGCCTTGAGGATCTTTGTTGCTGCTTCTGGTCTTTTGTTTTCTTCTGTTTTTAGAAACTTACCTGGACTTAATCTGCAGACTCCCCTCTTCAAAATGTAGATGTTGATAGCTTGGTGGGTTTTTTGTTTTGTTTTGTTTTGTTTTCAATTTTAATTTTATTTTAGGTCAGCTCCTAGATAATAACCTCTTTGCCTACATAGCCTAATGGTCAGAGTTTTTGTTCAATCACCCCAAGCTAGTAAGACTCTGTGGATGGATCCGTGTTTGAGTTACAGAGCCTATTCAAAGTTTCCAAGTCTGCCCTAGCTTTCCTTCTCTACCAGGCTATCCTGGGACTTCCGTCCCAGCACTCATCCTCTCAGTCAGCTAGGAATGTGCGGGAGTTCATCTAGTCTCTCAGCCTCTCACTCATTTCCAGAATCTCCCTGTTGAATTTCTAGCTAGTCTACTGGTCTACCGCTCGCCCCAAGCAAGACCACAACCTCAGACTAGCAGGGCCGGGGCTTTTGTGGTTGGTTTCCCACTGAATTTGCTTTACTTGAGGATAACATGATTGGGCATGGGTTTCTGTCCTTCTACTGTAAATCAAGTCAGCCCCTTCTAGCAGCGAAGCTGCAGGTTTTCACAGCCAATCATGCTCTGGAAGCACTGCTGTGCTACCGAGCTGCTCGCCACAGATTGCCACTGTCCTTACCTGTAATACAGCAGATTTCCTTGAATAAACATTTCTCAGTTTGTTTTTTTGCTTTTGGTTGATTTCTGGAGTGCTGAAATGGTTGTACTTGACAATTTTGCCACCTTTTTAGTTGTTCAGTGGAAGAGGATTTGCCAACTTCTTCACTTGCCATCTTCGGAAGTCCTGCCTGGGTTCATTTTTGTACATCCCCAAACCCTTTATGGAACAAGATGAAAGAGCAAACAAATAAAATAAAACAGAAAAGTAACTGAGGGTAAAGGAAACATAAAAATAGGAAAATAAATTTTTTATGGAATAACAATAATTTTTAACTCTTATGACAGATGTTCCCAGTGTGTGTAGGAATACAAGTTCTCTTGATATTACAATAGAGTTTTACCCCATCAGAAATTTTTTTTAAAAAATTCAAATCACCCTTGGCAACTTGTCATTGAGATGTGAAATGGGGTGGGGGGAGATATGTATGTGACCAAAAAAAAAAAAACAAAAAAAAAAATAGAACCAGTTGGATCAAAATGCTACCCTAGGATCCTTTTTGTTTCATTTTATTTTGTTTTCTCCCAAAGGTCAGATCCTAAAATTTGTATAACTTTAGGCTGTAGGAATGCTTTCAAAAATGTGCAGTGGTAAAACTGCCAGATTGAAGGTTTCTTAAGTGCTACTGTCCAAAATCACCAGGCATGCTTGAAACTAGTAATTCTTGTCAGAATATACACTCTCAGTGTGTGACTTTTATCTGCAGGTGGCAGAGCATATGTTTTAGCACCAAAAAGTGTAAGGTGGCAGAGGGAGGATATTTAATGTGTTGTAACCTATTTTTATTTTTAATTTTTTTTCTTATAGCTGCTTAGTTCAGGTCAAAAGCAGACTAACTAAAATGTTTGCAGATCGTAAGGGCTATATTTAAATTAAGGGAAAAAATATTCCAAATAAAGTTGTGTCATTTGTTTTTATTTAACATATGAATCAAAGTTATTGAACCAGTATTTTCCCATAAAAGAAAAATACATTGGTTCCTTATGTAACTGAACTGTAGGGAGTGGGCTCATCTCTTTAAATAGATTTTCTGGTTAAATTCTAGTTACCCTTTAAATACTACAGTCACCTTTATTTTTATTCCTTATAACAATCAATTTTTCTAATTTAGGAAATAGCTATGTGTGTGTGGCTTGCAATTAGATATGGTTAGCAAATATCACTTAGTATTTTCTGACTGATGTAGCTCTTACTACATGATTCAGTCATCATTTTGTACATTAATCATAATCAGGACTTTAGCAGAAGGGCAGGAGTTGGAAATTCAAACCCCAACTGATTGGTGACATGGAGGAATGCAAGCCCAGTGTTGTCAGATTTCCCGGTTTTCCCAAAGAAGTTAAAAGTCTCAATATTTATTTCACATTTCTATAATTTTAACCGTTGCAACTAACTAAAAATTTTTAAACTATTAAAGGGGTCAAATAAAATGGCAGCCATTTATATCGGGCCCATAGGCTACCAGTTTACCTGTTCTGATGACACCCTCGGGCTGATCTCTTATTGTGTAACTCTTGCTCATTAAAGAATGCATAACATGCTCCTGAAATGGTTGTCTTTACTGTGTTACTGTAAAGTTCTGAGGTAATGTGTTTTACTGGAAAATGCACTGAATTAGACATCCAACAACCTTGATTCTGAAGCTAAGAATATTTCTTAAGCCCTTCCTGTATTAACTAGGCCCTGGTATAAGCACTTATATGCATTAACTCATTTAATTATAGCTTTAGTTTTGCTTCTTAAAAGTTTTATACTGTGAAGTCAATCATTTAACTTCTATGGGTCTGTTTCATCACTTGAAAAATTATAGGGTTGGAAATACATATATATGTGTGTGTATACATGTATGAGGTTAGATTCAATGGAACAAAAATAAATTGTCAACTAGACTATGGTTCTAATTTCTATGGATTTATAGCACCTTATTCTATGTAACACAATAAAACTAAATATATATAATCTGCAATTTATTTTCTTTTTATTTATTTATTTATGGTTTTTTTTTTTTTTTTTTTTTTTTTGTGACAGAGTCTCACCCTGTCACCCAGGCTGGAGTGCAATGGTGCAATCTTGGCTCACTGCAACCTTCGCCTCCTGGATTCAAGCGATTCTCCTGCCTCAGCCTCCCAAGTAGCTGGGATTACAGGTGCACACCTCCACGCCCAGCTAATTTTTGTATTTTTAATAGAGATGGGGTTTCACCATGTTGGCCAGGCTTGTCTCGAACTCCTGACCTCGTGATCCACCCTCCTCAGCCTCCCAAAGTGCTGGGATTACAGGTGTGAGCCACCGCGCCTGGCCCTCTGCAATTTATTTTCTTTAACCAATATCATACTATGAAGATTTAAATTAAGTTGAGAAAGAATTTTAGTATCTACCAACCATGGGGTAAAAAAATCTGGGACCCTGTCTTGGAGGACCTTATGATTTCATTGAGGCAATGTAGCATGCAAGTAAAATGCATTGTTCCTCAGCTTTATTGGGGCATAATTGACAAAAATTGTATATATTCAAGGTATACAACATGGTGATTGACATGTGTATACCTTGTGAAATGATTACCACAATCAGTCCATATTAATTCCATTACATAGTTACCATTTGTGTGTGTGGTGGGGTGGGGGTGGGTGGTAAGAACACTTACCATCTACTTTCTTAGCAAATTTCAAATATATAATACAGTAGTTTACTACAGTCACCATAGTGTACATTAGATCCCCAGAACTAATAAATCTTATACCTAAACTTTATATCGTTTAAATTTAAATTTCAAGTTACAGCAGAAAATAGGTACCCAGATGAGAGGGTTACACACAAGTGCTTTAACTATTCCAAGGCTAATGGAATAAATGTATAAATATGTGTGGTGTGTTTATGGAAGACAGGACTTGGAAAAAAGAAGATGAATTGGAAGGTGCAGAGCGAGGTTCCCCAACCCAGAGGCCATGGACCAGTACTGGTCCCTGGCCTGTTAGGAACTGGGTCACACAGCAGGAGGTGAGCGGTTAGCAGAGAGCCAGCATTACCACCTGAGCTCCGCCTCCTGTCAGATCAGCAGAGGCATTAGATTCTCATAGGAGCGGAATCCTGCTGTCAACTCCACATGCGAAGGATCTAGGTTGAGCTTCTTATGAGAATCTAACGCATGATGATCTGAGGTGGAACAGTTTCATCCTGAAACCATCCCCCACTCCCCATGTGTGGAAAAATTGTCTTCCACAAAACCAGTCCCTGATGCCAAAAAGGTTGGGGACTGCTGATGTAGGGGACCCTTCAAGGTGAAACAATAACTCAAAGTCATACATGAGACTGTTATCATACCAAAGAAATAGAAAACATGTCGCCTTCCTAGAGCTTATAGTATAGTGAGGAATTTTACAGAAAAGTCAAGATAATTATAGTGCCTTTTTAAAACTTTTATGAAGGTGGATGACTATAATTTTAAAAATGTATCCCAATATGACTCTTGTGACTTTGGCATTAAATTCAAATACATGAGGTGCAGTTGTTAAATTATTTTTGTTTGTAGCTCTCAAATGATTCAGAGGAAAAAAAATACATGTACAGGGAATGAAAGAGATGAAATGAATGTGGCAAAATGTTAACAATTATTGAATCTAGGGGAAAGGCATATGGGCATTCATAGCACTACTGAAACTCTTACACGTTTAAACATTTTTACAATAAAAGTTGAGGAAAGGAGTAAATGGGTAGAGAAGAGATTAAAGTAAAAGTCTTCCAAATAATTTAAAGATCAACAAAGAAATTTAGAAAATACTGGTCGAGCGCGGTGGCTCATCCCTGTAATCCCAGCACTTTGGGAGGCCAAGGCGGGTGGATCACCTGAGGTCAGGAGTACAAGACCAGCCTGGTCAACATGGCAAAACCCCTTCTCTACTAAACATACAAAAATTAGCCAGGCGTGGGGGCGGGCATCTGTAATTCCAGCTATTTGGGAGGCTGAGGCAGGAGAATTTCTCAAACCCAGGAGGCAGAGGTTGCAGTGAGTCGAAATCTCACCACTGCACTCCAGCCTGGGTGACAGTGTGAGACTCCGTCTCAAAAAAAAAAAAAAAAGAAAGAAAAAAGAAAAGAAAAGAAAAACTTTTTAGTGTAGCTAGATTACTAAACAGAGAAATTTGTACCCTTGTATACTTATTTTAAAAGAATAAATGCCAAAAAATAATGAATTTTTTAATTTAAAAAATTGAGTATAATATTAAAAATTAAGTGTAACATAATGATTATTGTACAAGTACATAACTAGATGCTTTATGAATATTTGGTAAACTTACTTCATTTCAGACTTCCCCAATCTTACCAAGTAGATCTTGCATTGTATTATGTAGGCGAGAAAACCTGGCTGCTTTTGGACATCGTGAAAAGTAAATACAAAAAAGTAAATCCTTTATTTTTTGCCAATTTAATCCTTACATTTCAGTAAAATTTTGTTGACAACACTTCTAAAGCAAAACAAACTTGTTCAGCCTCCCAATGAATTCTGGGCAAAGAAAGTTTATTTTCCCATTTTTCCTTGTCTTGTTTTGCCAGAATTATAAATACTGTATAGACTTATGAGAATATTCATAACTATCCAGATGATTAATTTCCCACTTATTGAGGCACAGCCTACTCAAACACACATGGATATATTATGAGTTTAAAAAAGAGCTCTTATGATCATATCCAGTGTTTAATTTCAGTAGAAATTGATTTCATTAGTGTCTTTCTTTACTAGAATCATAATAAATAAAGTGAAAAAGAATCCTGGCCACTTTTTTTTTTTTTTTTGACGGAATCTTGTTCTGTTGCCAGGCTAGGGTGCAGTGGCGCAATCTCAGCTCACTGCAACATCCACCTCCTGGGTTCAAGCAATTCCCCTGCCTCAGCCTCCCGAGTAGCTGGGACTGTAGGCATGAGCCACCACGCCTGGCTAACTTTTTGTATTTTAGTAGACACGGGATTTCACCATGTTGGCCAGGATGGTCTCAATCTCCTGACCTTGTGATGCGCCAGTCTCGGCTGCCCAAAGTCCTGGGATTACAGACGTGAGCCACCGTGCCCGGCCTCCTGGCCACAATTTTTATGGAAATACACATAACATGAAATTCACCATTGTAGCCATTTAAAGGAGCACAGTTCAGTAATTTCCAGTATATGCGCAGTGTTGTAGCCATCACCACTGTTTAATTCTGGAACATTTTCATCACTCCAAAAAGAAACTTTAGACCCATAAAGCAATCACTCACCATTCTCTCCTCCTTTCAGTCCCTGGCAACCACTAATTTGCTTCAGTGATTCTGTGCATTTGCTATTCTGAACATTTCATATAAATTGAATCACAGAATATGTGGCTTTTTGTGGCTGGCTTCTTTCATTTAGCATAAGCTTCTCAAGACTGAACCATGTTGTAGTATGTATCAATTCTTTATTACTTTTTATTGCCAGATAATATTCTATTGTATAGATACACCACATTTAGTTTGCTCATTCATCAAATGAAAGACATTTGGCTTGTTTTCACTTTTTGGCTACTATGAATCATGCTGCTATGAACATTCATGTATAAGTGTTTGTTTGAACATCTGTTTTTAATTTTGTGGGTTCTATACCTATAAGTGGAATTGCTGGGTCATATAGTAATTTTCTGTTTAACTTCTTGAGGAATTATCAATCTGTTTTTCTAGCCATATTTTTAATGTAAGGTTAAAAGGCCAGTTTATGGGAAAAGGGCATTATACGTTAAGAACTTCCAATCCCCAAACCCCCATTTAAAAATTTAGCAAGTAATCTCAAATACAATGTTATTTGAGTTGAAATTTCTCTTTTGACATTACTAATCATTTCTCTGCAAGCTTAATTGAGTTTTCAGTGAAGGGCATTTACTCTATGCTCTCTGACCAATAGTTGCTTAATTGAAGTGTATGTGGAGGACTGGTAACCAGAATTTGAGCTTTTGAATACACATATACAAAGTCTTTATACATATATATATATATATACACACACACACACACACACACACACACACACACACACACACATTTTTTCCCAATTTTTTCTTCAGTTAAAGAGGACAAATGCTTTACCCTACAATTTAGAAGCATAATGTCAGGAAGTTTCAGACCTTAATCTGATGCGCCTTAAAATAGTTATAAATTAGGGAGGTGTTCTTCTCAATAACTATGTTTTAAATTTGCCAGTGTGTCCCTGAAAAAAGATCAACAAATCTCCGTTAAAATCTGTGCCAAAATACTTCTCAAGAACTGCTAGCCCTCTATATTTAAAATGTTTGCACCATTAAAATTTCAGGAAGTTTGAGAATTTCTTAAGACATTAAAATATTGGACCTTTTAAAATACTAAGTGAATTACATATATGCCTTGAGATTTTGGCCTATGGTTAACTTTCCCCATGGAGCTGAAATATTTTGTGCTTGGAATTAAGCCAAATCTCCCACTTGCATGCATTTAACTTATGTTGCATGCATCCAAGTCCTGGCATTTGAATGGTCTTTTTTCTTTATCTGAATGCTTTCTAACTTGAGGGAAAATGATACTTTCCTTTTAAAACTTGCCTCTCTCCTCTCCTTCCCCTCTTTACCCAAAGCAGATGTCTTTATACTATGTACCTACAGTCCTGTGAGGAAAGCAGGCATCTTGATATTTTCCAACACGAGAGGATTGATTGCCCTTGAATACCCCCAAGGCCTGGGGGATTTATGGATGAGCTGTAGTGAGTTATATGAACCCTTTGAAATTCTGTGTCGAATTGGTAGATTAGATACAATTAGTATATGTGGTGGAGAATCATAGCTCTTCTCATATTCTCAAAGGGGTAAATAGTCCCCAAAAAGTGAAGATCTGATGGTTCTAGCAGTGGCCTGGAGAGCAAAGGGGACACACTCCGTGTGGTACCACTGACACATTGGATGGTGTGTGATTAAATCAGGTGTATGTTTCAGTCAGGCTTTCCACTGCAGAGCCAGAGTAATAGCAGTGCTAAGGGAGTAGCAGAGAATCAGTGATGCCAGGGTTACTAGTTTTTCTTGTTTGGGGTTTTCTGTTTGTTTGTTTTGGGGGGTGGTTTTGAGACAGGGTCTCGCTCTGTCACCCAGTTTGGAATGCAGTGGCATGATCAAGTCTCACTGCAGCCTTGACCTCCTGTGCTCAAGCGATCCTCCCCTCTCAGCCACCCAAGTAGCTGGAACTACAGGTGCATGCCACAAGGCCCAACTAATTTTATTTATTTTTGTTTTGTTTTGTAGAGACAGAGTCTCCCTATGCTTGTAGGCTAGTCAAGTGATCCTCCCGCCTCAGCCTCTCACAGTACTAGGATTACAGGCAAGAGTTATAAGTTTGTTGCAAGTCCACTACATACTTGGGCAGAAATAATAAAAAGAACCATTTCTCCTGTTGGCATACTGGCCTTTCCCATCATCTCATACTTAACAGTCCTTATTTCTAAAAGTAAAAATAAACCTTTAAGAAAACCTATCATTATCTTTAATATTTTGTTGATCTTCCCTCAGATGCACATCCCCTAGCAGGTAACCTTTGCCTTCTTTGAAGCCATTTTGAGTCATCATGCAGTATGATGCCACTTTGAAAGGACTAGCCTAGCTTACTGCCTCTCGACCTTTAACAGCCCCATGAGAGCTCATCCTGAGCCTACCAGCTTTGCAACTCCAGAGCGACAGATAGACATCAGGAGTCTCAGTGAGTGTTCAAACAGAGCTGCTGATAGGGTGCTGTTTTCAATAGCAGACTGAGGGTAGATGTTTATGAAACTGAAGGTGGCTTCCAGGAATGGATTAAGGAGTGTGAGAATATTAGGGTACTGAGGGCACCAGACTGCTTGCAGAGATGGAATAGCCAGATGTAGGGGCAAGTGGAAGAAAGAAATGGCATAATCCCTGCCCAAAATGTAACATCACTTGCCACCCTTCGGCCACTGGTGCTTGTGTAGAGATACCTTCTCTAGTAACTACAGTACATCATTTAGTGACTTGATCACATCTGTCAGTTCTTTGAAATAGTTTTACCTTCCATTCTGCCTCTTATTGATTCGCAAAAACCATTAGTGATCTCACATAAATATCTAAACACTTTTTCAGTGCACTAAGAAAGAGAAAGCATTAAGTTAGCTATTTTTTCCACAAATGTGTGAAGGTAAGAAGGGAACTAACCCTGTTTGCATCCCTGCTTTGTGCCATTCACTTTATGTGCATCTTATTTGCTCCCAACAGCTTACCTTTATAGTGGGTGTTATGATCTTTTTTTACAGATGAGTAAACAGAGGTTCATGTGGTTTGTAAGTGGGGGAGTTGAGATTCTAATCCAGATCTGATAGTTGCAAACCACACTACTTCGCCGACACTCGCCAGAGAACGGCAGCACCAGAGGCAGTTCCTGAAGGTTTGCCATGGTAGCAGCCTCTGGAAGAGGAACAGGGAATTTGTCTTCAAGCTGTATTGTATACTTACAAATATATTGTGTATGTGTTTAGGGTAATTTGGGGAAAACTAATAAAATTCATGAGGAGGCCAAAGTCCCTGCACATTTGCAAGTTATACCTTGGTGCTTTTCCAGAAGGACTATATGGGAGTGATTGTGGTAGAAATGAAATAAGCAGCTGATAAATGGGTCATTTTTAATTTTCATTTTTTATTTAAACTATCGATCTTTTTATTGCAATAAAATGTCACAAGTAAAAATAAAGAATTTATGACAGTTTTAACGTGGTGGAAGGTAGAGCAAACAAATGGAGAAAAAATCCAGGTGAAGGATTAATAATTAAATAATGAAACTCTTAAACTTGAAAATATCTGTGAACTTTAACAAAAATATGTATAATAGATATGGATGCAAATTCCCTTTGATGCTTACATCTGAGAACCCAGGGAAGTGAAAGGAACATATTAAGAAGGAGACTTCATAGCAACACTGGACTGAGAGTTAAGAGAATCAAGCCCACTTCACCCCTACCCAACCCAACCCTTCCATTAGTGGATCTGGCTCCTTCTTTCCTTCATTTATTCAGAAATGCTTATTGAGCCCCCTGTATGTCAGATACTTTTCTGAATACTAGGGATTTGGCTATGAAAAGGATAAGCAAAATTCCTTTTCATAGCCAAATGTAAGCTCTGTTGCATAGAGCTTACATTTCAGAAGAGAAAATAGATACTAGGTAGACAAATCGACATATAAAGTTTATGTTTTAGATAGTGATGTTAGGATAAAAATTCAGTAGGCTAAGTGGTGAGAGAGTACCTGATGGGGCCCAGTGGTATGTTTTATATAGCGTGGTCAGGAGAGGCCTCAGTGAGGAGCTCCTTGTGTTGTCTGTACCTTTTAGGACCTTAGTCTCTTCATACATAAAATGAGAGCATTGCTAGGTGATCACTAAATGGCTGCAAAATTCTGTTCTTCCTTTAAGGGACATATCTTCGGATCAGATAATCTTTTGTATGTATAAGTTACGGTCTTTACTGTCAACTGATCTCAAAATGTAATAAGAATGTTCATTGATTCCCAAGGTTAATTCCATTTTTACATTTGGGGAATTTAAACTGAGAATAAAATGCCTTCCCAAAGATTGCATAATAGTAAAAGAAGGATTAAAGCTCTCAATTCCTGCCACTCTTAGTCTGAAAACGTCACCCCACCATGTGCTATAATGAGAAGTTGAATTGAAATGTCAGGGCAGTTCAAAGTAGATTAAAGATGTGTAAGCTGTGATGGACTACATATTTACAAATAAGGAATTGGATAAGTATATCCCACTGCACTCATTTACGGCAGGCAAGTAAGCCATGTGATATGCTTTAAGCCAGTAAAATAGCAAATTCCCCCCAAAAGATCTATAATTTTAATCAAAAGTTTGTTTCAGTCATTGAAATTCTGTTATTGCTGCTTACCAACATTAAAGTCAATCAAAACATCAGTAGCTTTGCAAGATCAATATTTTTAATATGTTTGCATTGCAGTGCTGCAGATTTTTGGCTAGTGGATCGCACCTATATTGATTTCCATGGGAAATGTTAGTCTGATACTGAAATAATTAAAAAAAAAAACAGGGATTATTGGTTTGGAATTTTGAAGGAGATAGAACTATAAAAATTGGTTATTGACTAAATTGCTTGGGGTGAGTGAACCTTGGGCACTTGCAATAAACTTGTAGCACTCATTCATTACTGAATACTACCTTAGTCCCTTAAACTGAAAAATCAGTCAATAACCTATTATAACAATGCAAATTGTGGTGAAATAACATACTATGCATATAAGAATCACATTTTATCAAAACAGATATGCGTAAGTATATGTATGGGCGTATTGAAAGTGTCTGCTAAAACATAGTGACTGATTTTGACTTTGAGATTCATGCTGAAGCTCATTTGAATAGCATTTTAAAAGAGATAAACTGCTACAAAATAACAGTAAAAAGAAGCATACAATTATTCTATGAACAATAATGAAAGTGCAAACACTACAGCACGTCAAATGACAGATTCTGTTATTTTGATTCAGAGCAAAATTACAATTGTTATTCTGTTCTCAAAGCATAGGAATAATGTATGCAAGCATTAGATTAGATACAAACACATTCCCCACAATATGAATCTAGTGCATATTACATTGCTCTTGTTTTTCAGCATTTGGTTAGGAGAGCCGTATTTTCATCTAGAAAGTTTACTCTGCGTTTTCATTTGGTTACCATTGTAAATTTATGAATTTTTTATCTCTCAGAGGCAATCTAGTGTTTTACAGAGAGAGTGTTTTTAATGTCTCAATAAAAGTTCTATCCAGGATAATAGTAAGTACTTAGGAGTACCAGTTACATATTTTGTTATATATTTTTATTTACTGAATTTTAAAATCTGTATGTTATTTACATAATATGGAAACGTTTATCTGCTTTGAAGGAAACGGGAATAAGATAAAACTAAAAATTAGTAATCACAACTGTTGCATTTTGTTGCCATCTCTATAAGCCTGGTCAGTATTTTCCTTTCATAATAAGTAGTACTCTCTTTATAAATAGAAAATTGATTATGATTCCTTCTGCTGCAGGAGATAGTAACACTCAGATAATAGCATTGGCATTCTATTTCAATTTAGCATTAATCTTTGATCACCATTTTTTTTTCAAAATTCCTTTATCCTATTCTGACTACTTTTATCATTATAACTACCATTACCCTAAATTCAGTTGATAAAATCATTTTTCTTCCTTTTCGTTTAAAATGTATACCTGAATCTAACTTTTCTCTAATATTCTATGTCTCCCCATCAGTTAAGCTGTTAGGATATTCTGTTTTGATGGATTTGCCTTAGGGATGATTTATGAGACAGGAAGCTTCAATGTTATCTAACATTAGGTACATCATACCTGAAAATAACCAAGTTGTACAGTAAAGATATATGCATGTAAGTAGTGTAAAAATTCATACAATATTTGCTAAATCATTCAATGGCTTTCTGCTAAGAATATTATTAGAAAAGTATCCATGGTCTTAAAAATGATAGGATTCTAATTCCCAAGCCTGCTGTTTCCATATAATTGTATATAAATATACAATTATTCTTCCGTTTATGTCTTTCTAAGAATTTCACCTGGAATTTGTGTTACTTATTATTGTCAAAAAATGTTATTTCCTCACCAGATAGAATTTGTGCAATCCCAGTTAGAATCTCCAGGTGTCTAACTAGTCAAGGAGCAGGACAGAGCAAATACATAGTTCTGCAAGGCTCCGTAGCCCACTCCTACAGCCACATGGACCTCTGGGCCTCTGTTCTGATCTCATCTAGATTTTTCATCTAGTATACTAGTGCCGTTTCTACCTAGAATGGCTGTCATCTGACAACTTTTTAGTAGTTTAGAATTCACGTAACTTGAAACTTGGTACAGAACATCCCTGTTGTCTTTACTGGCAGTCGCAGCAGAAACCAGGCTGTTGTCTAACTGTGAAGGTAGTGTCTGAGCACAAGCCTGAAGCTCCAGGGGAGGACAGATTTTTACATTTATTTGTGGACTCTGGACATTTGGCAAAATCCATTGCACTCAATAGACAGCAGTCAAATTAACAGGGAGATTGTTCTCCACTTATCGAAACTGTCAAAAAACTGAGGGAAGGGGGGATTCCAAAGAGCTGCTCCTAGTGCATTCTTTTTATATTAATGGTTAGTGAATACCAGTGTCAGAAGTTCACATCACAGTACGAATAAGATGATTGGATTTTAATTTTTAGACAAAAATAGTCTTTCCACATTCTAGGTCATGCTGATAAAAACTTTTTTGCGAACCAAACTATTCAGATAGTCTGTACCAAGCCTTACCTATACGCAGCTAGAAAATACCTAGAGGGCTTTATTCATTAACAAATTATCACACATGCATGCTGCTCAGAGAGTATGTTTAAGATAGTGGTTAAAAGCACAGGCTCTGAAGCTATACTGCCTGAGTTTGTTTCCTTTCTGTGCCACTTTTCTATCTCTGTATCTATTGTCAAGTTGCCACTCTCTCTGTACTTCCATTCCTTCACCTGAGAACTGATAAGAGTAGGGCTTACTACATAGGATGTTGTGAGGATGTTGTACAGCATTTATTATTTGGTTCTATATTCAGTCTATTCTGATAACTGTGCTGTTGGGAGCAGAAATGAAAGACTTTAATTTCTAGGAGTTTTATCTCTGAAATTCTATCTCCTGTAACCTGGAAGAGCTTCTATTCTCTGCCCCCATGGCACCCTGCATGACCCCCACCATAGCATATGTTACTGTGCAGTATCTATTGCCTCTCCTACCTACAATAAACTGTAAGCTTCATGAGGACAAAATGTGTGTCTATCTTATAATCATTATTGCTTCAATGCCTAACATATAGTTTGTACTCAGTAAATATTTATTGGATGAATGTTAAATAAAATGTAATAAAAGAAATATCACAAATATTAGAGTGTTCATCTGTAAAATTTTGCTTCGATTAAATTACTTTCCTGGTATTAGCAGAGGCTGACATGCAATGAGTTATTTCCACTTCTTTGCATTGGCCTCTGCCTAGAATGAACTACCCTTAGATAACCACAGGCTCACCCCTCATTTTCTTTGGATCTTTGTTCAAATATCACCTTCTCGGTGTTTCCTATCCTGACTGCCTCATTTGAAACTGCATTTCTATCCCTTCTTCTGTTCTGTTTCATTTTTATATGGCATTTATGGCAGTCTAGCCCTGTATATATTTTAGTTATTTGTTATATTTATGATTTGTTGGCCTCAACTTCTCCTCACTAGAATGTAAGCTTTGTCAGTTTGGCTCACTTATACATCCCTAGCACCTGGAACAGTGCCTGGCACAAGGTAGACAGGCACTTTAACAAATATTTGTTGAATTAATTAATAAATGTAATGCATTGGGAATGCCAACTTGGAAATAACCAAAAGCAAAATTACTATTCAAGGAAAATCAACAGAGAATTAGAAACAAAAAACTTCAGGCTCCGTCTTGAGATCAATTATATACAGTTTTTTACTTGCTAAAGGTACATACTTCAACCTCCCTGAGCCCTTTAACCCAGCCTCCAAATTCTGAAAATCACTCTTACCAAAATATTCTTCCAACGGTTATTCTGGGGACTGTATTGCATTTTTTTAATAAAATAATATATGTCTGAGACTATATTTTTCAAGTTATGTAAGATTCTAGTGTTAGAGGCATTTTATAAAAGGGTTAAACCCTAAAGCAAACTGCTTCTTTAAATATGTTATGAACTTTCCATAGAGCACAAATACAAGATCTCTGCAAGGCTTTAATTAAGAATAATTAAAATATCTATATTAAAATATGTTTCATTCTACCAGCTTAGTAGAGGTTTTTATTTCAATAAAAAAGTTTATTTTTTACATGTTAACAGCATAAAACACAACATTGCGCTCGTAACAGCAGGGAAAATGTGATGTGCTGAAGCGGTAAGAAACAATGTGATTTATAAATTAATTCCCTGCATTATTTTTGTTAAAAATTTTTTTCATTAAGATTAAACTTTCACTTTGGTGGTTAGTTGTTTGAATTCATTATGCGGGCATCATACAAACAAATTAAACAAGAAAATTATATAAGAAGTAAAGAAGAATTGCATTGGGGCAAAATATTTTAAAAGTGTAAAGGCTTGGTGTCATATATGAGGTGAGATTTTTATTCAGTCTGCTGTTTGTAAGATTATTTAACTATTTAATTATGTCATAAAATGAGTTAATAAGAAAGAATGTTTAAACAAAAAATTTAAAGAAGGCAAGCAATTGTTACAGGGATGGGTCAAGAGAGCCAGATATTGTATGTAATTCCCAAGCATTCATAAAGGGGAGAGATATAGAAAGGGTCAAAACCCAAAGGGAAGAGAAAACTAGTAATTATTAGGTCTGATGAGATGAACCTATCTCATTAAAAAAAAGATTTGAGAAGAGAACAGATGGGAAGATAAGTAAACACTAAATAAACTTGCTAATAGGGAGATGGATTATCATTTTTCTCACTACGACGGGAAGATCTAACTAAACTTGTCCGCCAACCTTTTTTTTTTTTTTTTTTTTTGAGATGGAGTCTCGCTTTGTCACCCAGGCTGGAATGCAGTGGTGCAATCTCGACTCACTGCAACCCCTCCCTCCCAGATTCAAGCGATTCTCCTGCCTCAGCCTCCCGAGTAGCTGGGATCACAGGCACCCACCATCATGCTTGGCTAATTTTTGTATTTTTAGTAGTGATAGGGTTTCACCATGTTGGCCAGGCTGGTCTCAAACTCTCGACCTCAGGCAATCCACCCACCTCCGCCTCCCGAAGTGCTGGGATTACAGGCTTGAGCCACTGCATCCAGCCACTTGTCCTTTTTAAAAAAGACAGTAATGTGAAGAGAGGAGAGCCATGAATGTGGCAGGCATTGTGGTATTTTTGACTCATACCAAAAAAAACACTTCTATCTCTTACTACTGCATTCTCCACATTAGTCTCAAAGACAATGGTAAGATCTAAGTATTACCAAGAATGAGTGACACATTGAATCAATAACATCCCCATTCATGCTCTAATATAATACTTCCAGGAGAGAGGGATGAGGATTGCAAAGGAGCTATTGATCTAAGTAATAGAGAAATTTAGGAGAATATGGGATTCTATCTAATCATCAGATCCAATAAGACGTTCAGGGATTGAGAAGGAGAGATCCATTAAACTGAACCTTGAAAGATGGGTAGGATTTGAAGATTCATAGAAGGGAAGAAGACTATTTCAACTAGGGTTGTCAGCATGAACTAGGGCTTGAAAGTACAGGACATGTGACATAAACATTTGTAATAGCAAAAAAGGAGGTTGACAGATGCATCACTGATGTGAATGGAGAAGGAAGAAAATAAAAGTTATAAGTGTGAATGAGATGACAGGGAACAGGCTGTCATTGTGTTTGTGGGTTTTTTTATAGATACCTTAAATTCTGGGATACATGTGCAGAACGTGCAGGTTTGTTACATAGGTATACACGTGCCACGGTGGTTTGCTGCACCCATCAACCCGTCATCTACATTAAGTATTTCTCCTAATGCTTTCCCTCCCCTAGTCCCCCACCCCCCGACAGACCCCGGTGTGTGATGTTCCTCTCCCTGTGTCCATGTGTTCTCATTGCTCAACTCCCACTTATAAGTGAGAACATGCAGTGTTTGGTTTTCTGTTCTTGTGTTAGTTTCCTGAGAATTATGGTTTTCAGCATCATCCATGTCCCTGCAAAGGACATGAACTCATCCTTTTTTATGGATGCATAGTATTCCATAGTGTATATGTGCCACATTTTCTTTATCCACTCTGTCACTGATGGGCATTTGGGTTGGATCCAGGTCTTTGCTATTGTGAACAGTGCTGCAGTAAACATACATGTGCATATGTCTTTCTGGTAGAATGATTTATAATCCTTTGGGTATATACCCAGTAATGAGATTGCTGGGTCAAATGGTATTTCTGGTTCTAGATCCTTGAGGAATTGCCACACTGTCTTCCACAATGGGTGAACTAATTTACACTCCCACCAACAGTGTAAAAGTGTTCCTATTTCTCTACATCCTCTCCAGCATCTGTTGTTTCCTGACTTTTTAATGATCGCCATTCTAACTGGCATGAGATGGTATCTCATTGTAGTTTTGATTTGCATTTCTCTAATGACCAGTTATGATGAGCTTTTTTCCATATGTTTGTTGGCTGCATAAATATCTTCTTTTGAGAAGTGTCTGTTCATATCCTTCACCCACTTTTTGGTGGGATGGTTTTTTTCTTGTAAATTTGTTTAAGTTTTTATAGATTCTGGATATTAGCCCTTTCTCAGATGGATAGATTGCAAAAATTTTCTCCCATTCTGTAGGTTGCCTGTTCACTCTGATGATAGTTTCTATTGCTGTGCAGAAGCTCTTTAGTTTAATTAGATCCCATTTGTCAATTTTGACTTTTGTTGCCATTGCTTTCGGTGTTTTAGTCATGAAGTCTTTGTTCATGCCTGTGTCCTGAATGGTATTGCCTAGGTTTTCTTCTGGGATTTTTATGGATTTAGGTCTTATGTTTAAGTCTTTAATCCATCTTGAGTTAATTTTTGTGTAAGGTGTAAGGAAGGGGTCCAGTTTCAGTTTTCTGCATATGGCTAGCCAGTTTTCCCAATACCATTTATTAAATAGGGTATCCTTTCCCAGTTGCTTGTTTGTGTCATTTTTGTCAAAGATCAGATGGTTATAGATGTGTGGTGTTATTTCTGAGGCCTCTGTTCTGTTCCATTGGTCAATATATCTGTTTTGGTACCAGTACCGTGCTGTTTTGGTTACTGTAGCCTTATAGTATAGTTTGAAATCAGGTAGCGTGATGCCTCCAGCTTTTTTCTTTGTGCTTAGGATTGTCTTGGCTATGTGAGCTCTTTTTTGGTTCCATATGAAATTTAAAGTAGCTTTTTCTAATTATGTGAAGAAAGTCAGTGATAGCTTGATGGGGATAGCATTGAATCTATAAATTACTTTGGGCAGTATCACCATTTTCACCATATTGATTTTTCCTATCCATGAGCATGAAATGTTTTTCCATTTGTTTGTGTCCTCTCCTATTTCCTTGAGCAGTGGTTTGTAGTTCTCCTTGAAGAGGTCCTTCACATCTCTTGTCAGTTGTATTCCTAGGTATTTTATTCTCTTAGTTGCAATTGTGAATGGGAATTCACTCATGGTTTGGCTCTTTGTTTGTCTATTATTGGTGTATAGGAATGCTTGTGATTTTTGCACATTGATCTTGTATCCTGAGACTTTGCTGAAGTTGCTTATCAGCTTAAGGGGATTCGGGGCTGAAACGATGGGGTTTTCTAAATGTACAATCATGACATCTGCAAACAGAGACAATTTGACTTCCTCTCTTCCTATTTGAATACCTTTATTTCTTTCTCTTGCCTGATCTCCCTGGCCAGAACTTCCAATACTGTGTTGAATAGGAGTTGTGAGAGAGGGCATCCTTGTCTTGTGGCGGTTTTCAAAGGGAATGCTTCCAAGTTTTGCACATTCAGTATCGTATTGGCTGTTTGTCATAAATAGCTCTTATTATTTTGAGATACATTCCATCAGTGCCTAATTTTTTTAGAGTTTTTAGCATGAAGGGGTGTTGAATTTTGTCGAAGGCCTTTTCTGCATCTATTGAGATAATCATGTGGTTTTTTTTCATTGGTTCTGTTTATGTGATGTATTATGTTTATTGATTTGCGTCTATTGAACCAGCCTTACATCCCAGGGATGAAGCAGACTACATCGTGGTGGATAAGCTTTTTGATGTGCTGCTGGGTTTGGTTTGCCAGTATTTTATTGAAGATTTTCGCATCGATGTTCATGAGAGACATTGGCCTGAAGTTTTCTTTTCTGTGTTGTGTCTCAGGATGATGCTGGCCTCATAAAATGAGTTAGGGAGGATTCCCTCTTTTTCTACTGTTTCGAATAGTTTCAGAAGGAATGGTACCAGCTCCTCTTTGTACTTCTGCTAGAATTCAGCTGTGAATCCATCTGGTCCTGGACTTTTTTTTTTGGTTGGTAGGCTATTAATTACTGCCTCAATTTCAGAACTTGTTATTTATCTATTCAGGGATTTGACTTCTTCCTGGTTTAGACTTGGGAGGGTGTAAGTGTCCAGGAATCTATCCATTTCTTCTATATTTTCTAGGTTATTTGTGTAGAGGTGTTTATAGTATTCTCTGGTGGTAGTTTGTATTTCTGTGAAATCAGTGGTGATATCCCCTTTATCATTTTTTCTTGCATCTATTTGATTCTTTATACTTCTCTTCTTTGTTAATCTGGCTAGCAGTCTATTTATTTTGTTGATCTTTTCAAAAAACCAGCTCCTGGATTCATTGATTTTTTTGAAGGGTTTTTCATGTCTCTGTCTCCTTCAGTTCTGCTCTGATCTTAGTTATTTCTTGTCTTCTGGTAGCTTTTGAATTTGTTTGCTCTTGCTTCTCTAGTTCTTTTAATTGTGATGTTAGGGTGTCGAGTTTAAATCTTTCCTGCTTTCTCTTGTGGGCATTTAGTGCTATAAATTTCCCTCTAAACACTGCTTTCACTGTGTCCCAGAGATTCTGGTACATTGTGTCTTTGTTCTCATTGGTTTCAAAGAATGTATTTATTTCTGCCTTAATTTTGTTATTTACCCAATAGTCATTCAGGAGCAGGTTGTTCAGTTTCCATGTAGTTGTGCGGTTTTGAGTGAGTTTCTTAATCCTGAGTTCTAATTTGATTGCACTGTGGTCTGAGAGAGTGTTCGTTATGATTTCCATTCTTTTGCATTTGCCAAGGAGTGTTTTACTTCCAATTATATGGTCAGTTTTAGAATAAGTATGATGTGGTGCTGAGAAGAATGTATATTCTATTGATTTGGAGTGGAGAATTCTTTCTGTAGATGTCTATTAGGTCTGCTTAGTCCAGAGCTGAGTTCACGTCCTGAATATCCTTGTTAATTTTCTGTCTTGTTGATCTATCTAATATTGACAGTGAGGTGTTAAAGTCTCCCAGTATTATTGTGTGGGATTCTAAGTCTCTTTGTAGGGCTCTAAGAACTTGCTTTATGAATCTGGGTACTCCTATATTGAGTGCATATATATTTAGGATAGTTAGCTCTTCTTTTTGCATTGATCCCTTTACTATTATGTAATGCCCTTTTTTGTCTCTTTTGATCTTTGTTGGTTTAAAGTCTGTTTTATCAGAGACTAGGATTGCAACCCCTGCTTTTTTGTTTGCTTGTTTTGTTTTGTTTTTGTTTTTGTTTTCTTGGTAAATATCCCTCCATTGTTTTATTTTGAGCCTATGTGTGACTTTGCACGTGAGATGGGTCTCCCGAATACAGCCCACTAATGGGTCTTGACTCTTTATCCAATTTGCAAGTCTGTGTCTTTTAATTGTGGCTTTTAACCCATTTACATTTAAGGTTAACCTTGTTATGTGTGAATTTGAGCCTGTCATTATGATGGCTAGCTGGTTATTTTGCCCGTTAGTTAATGCAGTTTCTTTATAGTGTCGATGGTCTTTACAATTTGGTATGTTTTTGCAGTGGTAGGTACCAGTTTTTCCTTTCCATATTTAGTGCTTCCTTCAGGAGCTCTTGTAAGGTAGGCCTGGTGGTGACAAAATCTCTTAGCATTTGCTTATCTGTAAGGGATTTTATTTCTTCTTCGCTTATGAAGCTTAGTTTGGCTCGGTATGAAATTCTGGGTTGAAAATTCTTTCATTTAAGAGTGTTGAATATTGGCCCCCACAGTCTTCTGGCTTGTAGGGTTCTGCAGAGAGATTCACTGTTACTCTGATGGGCTTCCCTTTATGGGTAATCTGATCTTTCTCTCTGGCTACCTTAACATTTTTTCCTTTATTTCAATCTTGGTGAATCTGACAATTATGTGTCTTGGGGTTGCTCTTCTCGAGGAGTATCTTGGTGGTGTTCTCTGTATTTCCTGAATTTGAATGTTGGCCTGTCTTGCTAGTTGGGGAATTTCTCCTGGATAATATCCTGAAGAGTGTTTTCCAACTCGGTTCCATTCTCCCCGTCACTTTCAGGTACACCAGTCAAACGCAGGTTTGGTCTTTTCACATAGTCCCATATTTCTTGGAGGCTTTGTTTGTTCCTTTTCATTCTTTTTTCTCTAATCTTGTCTTCATGCTTTATTTCGTTAAGTTGATGTTCAATCCCTGATATCCTTCCTTCTGCTTGATCAATTTGGCTGTTAATACTTGTATATGCTTCACGAAGTTCTTGTGCTGTGCTTTTGAGCTCCATCAGGCCATTTATGTTCTTCTCTAAACTGTTTATTCTAGTTAGCAATTCCTCTAACCTTTTTTCAAGGTTCTTAGCTTCCTTGCATTGAGCTAGAACATGCTCCTATAGCTCAGAGGAGTTTGTTATTATCCATCTTCTGACTCCTACTTCTGTCAATTTGTCAAAGTCATTCTCCATCCTGTTTTGTTCCCTTGCTGGCCAGGAGTTGTGATCATTTGGAGGAGGAGAGGCATTCTGATTTTTGGAATTTTCAGCCTTTTTGCACTGGTTTTTCCTCATCTTTATGGATTTATGTACCTTTGGTCTTTGATGTTGGTGACCTTCAGAAGGGGTTTTTGTGTGGTCGTTCTTTTTTTGGATGTTATGCTATTCTTCTGTTTGTTCTAACAGGCCCCTCTGCTGCAGGTCTGCTGGAGTTTGCTGGAGGTCCACTCCAGACCCTGTTTGCCTGGGTATCACCAGCGGAGGCTGCAGAACAGCAAGGATTGCTGTCTGTTCCTTCCTCTGGAAGCTTCATCCCACCATATGCCAGCCGGAGCTCTCCTGTATGAGGTGTCTATCAACCCCTGCTGGGAGATGCTCCCAGTCAGGAGGCACAGGGTCAGGGACTCACTTGAGGAGGTAGTCTGTCCCTTAGCAGAGCTCAAGTGCTGTGCTGGGAGATCTGCTGCTCTCTTCAGAGCCAGCAGGCAGGAACATTTAATTCTGCTGAAGCTGCACCCACAGCCACCCCTTCCCCCAGGTGCTATGTCCCAGGGAGATGGGAGTTTGATCTATAAGCCCCTGACTGGGGCTGCTGCCTTTCTTTCAGAGATGCCCTGCCCAGAGAGGAGGAATTTAGAGAGGCAGTCTGGCTACCTCAGCTTTGCTAAGCTGTGGTGGTCTCCACCCAGTTTGAACTTCCCGGCATCTTTGTTAATCCTGTGAAGGGAGAACTGCCTACTCAAGCCTCAGTAATGGCGGACACCCTTCCCCCCACCAAGCTGGAGCATCCCAGGTCAACTTCATACTGCTCTGCTAGCAGTGAGAATTTCAAGCCAATGGATCTTAGCTTGCTGGGCTCCATGGGGGTGGGATCCACTGAGCTAGACCACTTGGCTCCCTGGCTTCAGCCCCTTTTCCAGGGGATTGAACGGTTTTGTCTCACTGGCATTCCAGGTGCCACTGGGGTATGAAAAGAAACTCCTGCAGCTAGCTCGTTGTCTGCCCAAACAGCCGCCCAGTTTTGTGCTTGGAACTTAGGCCCTGGTGGCATAGGCACTCTAGGGAATCTCCTGGTCTGCAGGTTGTGAAGACCATGGGAAAAGTGTAGTATCTGGGCCGGAATGCACCATTCCTCACAACACAGTCCCTCATGGCTTCCCTTGGCTAGGGGAGGGAGTTCTTCAACCCCTTGGGCTTCCCAGATGAGATGCCCCACCTGACTTCGGCTCACCCTCCATAGGCTGCACCCACTGTCTAACCAGTTCCAGTGAGATAAGCTGGGTACCAAAGTTGGAAATGCAGAAATCGCCCACCTTCTGCATTGATCTCACTGGGAGAATCACTTGAACCCAGGAGGCAGAAGTTGTGGTGAGCTGAGATTGCACCATTACACTCCAGCCCGGACAACAAGAGCGAAACTCCGTCTCAAAAAAAAAAAAGAGAGAAAACAAGTTTTCTAGGGTGAAACTTTTAATTTTGTTTCTAGACAAATAATTTTGAATATCTGCCACATATCCACATTTCTGACCCATTTCTGCTGGATTTGAAGGTAAAAGAAAAGAGCAAAAGGTGAGTCTAAGGACTGGCTTGACTCCAGATAAATATCTTCCTCAGTTATGCGGTCAGATCTGTAGGAGAATGCTGCGTCTTAGCAGTATGGGAAACTAACTTGGCCTAGTCTGGTGATGGCAGTAAAACTTTTAACAATTCATCAGCCCTTTTAATGCCAGTTTTTTATATAATACCCTTCACTTATATTCAGCCACTCAGCACTTGCCATGTGCCAGGTTCTATACTAGGTGCTAAGGACACAACCTTCACAACAAGTACAGCCCCTGCTCTTGAAAAGTAAAGGCCCAAAAAATGTAAGTTAGCCATTCCAGGTCAGTGAGAGTAAAATTATGTGTAGGGGATGAGGGTGGTGGCACAGAAATTGTTTTGAGTTCCAAGCAAAGGCAAGAGAATATGTGGTACATTTGACAACCGAAAAAAAGTCCGGTATTGCTGGAGAATAGAGTATGAGGGTAGGACAATAAAAAGAAATAACCCTAGAGAAATAAGCAGGAGCCAGGTCATGGAGAGCTTTCTCAGCCTTGTAAAAACTTGGAAAAGGGATTCTAAGAAAGGGAATATAATATGATTAGATTTGAATTTTTCAGTGAACAGTCTAGCTGTGATAAGGGTAATGGATTAAGAGAGTTACAGGACTAAAAGCAAGGCTGGTTAAATCATGATGACCTGGATGAGGCAGTGGAGATGGAAAAAATCATTTGATGTGAGAGCTATTTAGGAAACTCAGTGGGTCCTGAATATTGATCAGCTTTCATGGGTAATAGGGCAGAAGCATCAGTTTGGTGTCCAGGCTTTTGGTTTGGGCAATTGTGTGGATGCCTCTCATTAACAGAGAAAATATTTTTAGGAGAATGATGAGTTCAGTTTTGGCATGCTGAGTTTGAGGTGCCTGCAAAACCTCCAAGTAGAAATGGACACTAAACTATTAAATATATTGGCTGAGGCTCGGGAGAGAGATTATTATATAAATAAACACAATTTTTTAAAAAGAAAAGGAAATGACTATGAAGGAGAAAGGAAAACTTTTGAAACAACTGGAAGAAAAGGAGGAATCAACAGAGGTTTTAGTTTATTTGTTTAAGATGAAAGAGACCTGAATGATTATAAATTGTATAAATAGCTAGTCCGAATGTGAAGATGCAGATAATTAGGCTATAGAATGGAAATGCGTTTGAAGATAAGGCAGGATTTGATTGAGAGCTTAATTTGGGAGAAAATTTGCCTTTAGAAAGAAGGAGCACGAGCCTAATGCTGACAGGTCTTCAGATTTGGTAGTGAAAAGTTAAAGAATGGCCAGGCGCGGTGGCTTACGCCTGTAATCCCAGCACTTTAGGAGGCCGAGGCAGGTGGATCACCTAAGGTCAGAGGTTTGAGACCAGCCTGGCCAACATGGTGAAACCCTGTCTCTACTAAAAATACAAAAATTAGCCAGGTATGGTGGCGCACGCCTGTATTCCCAGCTACTTGGGAGGCTGAGGCAGGAGAATCACTTGAACCCAGGAGATGGAGGTTTCAGTGAGCCAAGATCATGCCACTGCACTCCAGCCTGGGTGACAGAGCAAGACTCTATCTCAAAGAAAAAAAAAAAAGAATAGAAAAGAAAAGTTAAAGAATTCCATTCTGATAAATTTTGGTTTTGCCTGGAAGTAGGAGACCAGGTGAAGAAAGAAAAGGGAAGATTGCAATCTGAGGTTTAAAAAGTGAAGAATGTAAGTTAGGCTTCGTTTTACAAATAAAAATATCTACATTTTTTATTTTAAAATGGCCATTCTAAAAAAAATTCAAGTGATGAAATTAAATTCCCTAAGCATACCACCCCTGAGAAATAATCTGTTTCTATTAATAGCAGTGTGCACAGACTTCCAAATAAACAGACTCATATGCACATTGTCCTATAACTTGATTTTCCTTTTATTGCTTTTTTCCAATTATAAAAATAATACGTTCTATTTACCAAAAAAATGTACATATTGCCTATTTTAGTTTGGATATTTTTCATGTAGTAGTATGTAGATACAACTTTCTTCTTTTTAGCAACCATATTGCATTTAATTAATTGACTATGCCACCATTGGACAGTATCTATTGAAAGTTACTCATTTTTCTTCCTTTTTTGGCTAATATTAACAGTTTTGAAGTAAGTATCTTTGTACATTTTTGCTAGTGTTTCTGTAAAATAAATTTCAAAAAGTGAAATTTCTAGGTCAAAAGGTAAACATGTATTTAGTTTGGAAAATTATAGCCAAATTGTTCTGCAAAATAGTTATACAAGTTTACATTTATGTCTTAAGTGTTATTTTAATCTTTGTTATTCTGCAAAAAATCAATTAAATTTGTATTTATTTGGTAAGCAGTGAGGTTGAGCATATTTTTATTAATTATTGACCATTTATATTTATCTCATACATTACCAGGTCTTTCTTGTCAATTGAGTCTTTGTCAATTCTTTATTGATTAGTAGGAGTTCTTTATATATGATGGATAATAGTCCTTATTGTATGTGGTACATTTTTGCCTAGTTGCCTTTTTATCTTTTTGCTTTGCTTATGGAGTTTGTTAAGGTTTTTTTCTAAGCCAACGTTTTTCGTTTTTATGTAGCCAAAAATGCAGTTTTTTTTTAGTTTCCACTCTTATTGTCATGCCATAAGTCCCTCCCCACAATTATGCATATGTTCTCTTTTATTTTCTTTTAGTGCCTTTATGATTTTTTTTTAACTTTTAAATGATAACATTTGGAGAGTTGTCTAGAATTACGTAGTACAATGGCTGAACAATGTTGAGGGCTGAGTTGTGGTTGATGATGATTTGTTTGTAGGAGCAACAATCTGTTAGCCAGGGACAAGCCAGTCAGCTGGGTTTATCCAACCTTGGAGTGTTTCAGGCAAGTACCTTAAATGGACAGTGGGGCCTAGCAGATTAGGAAAACACAATGAAATGTTGGACCATGATCTTCCAGCAAAGGTTGAGAAGTGAAAACAAAACAAGGGCTAATAGGAAGAAAGGAAAGGATAAATGGACTGGAAGCCGTAAAGATTTTTTTTAAGGTAAGAAAGGGAATTATTTTAGTAAGATGGTTAAAAAGATAGGAGGTTGTGGTCAAATTGGGGGAATGTCTAAATTTATTGTTTCAAAAGAATGCTGCAATGTCCAGAGTAAAATGTCAAGAACAGGCAGGTGAAATAGACTGGAAGAAAGGGGCATTGTAGATCAAGGAATCTAGCAGTCAGACCCTTGGATAGGTTATTCATGGGAATGTTGAAGACTCCCAGGATTACAGTTGGACTTGAGTAGAAAGAAGCATCTTTTGAATATCTGAGACTTCTTTCACCAACACCTTTGTCAACCTTTATTTATTTTTGAGAGACTCATCCCCAGTTACTAAAGAATAAAAAGTCAGTTTATCAAAAAATGTGAATGAAGTCAGAATCAGAATAATACCACCCTCCCCACCTCCACTTGCTTCTGGAAAAATATTTGTGTTTGGGTTCTTTTTTAATATGTGATAGCAGCTAATAATATATGTAAAGCACTTAGCTGATGCCTAACACATAGTCAGTACATTTTTGCCTTTATTATATTAGAGGGAGATGATTTATATATGCTTTAAAATTGGTATTTGTTTAGTATTTCTTTCAAGTTAAGATTTGGAATTTTGGCAGCCTTGGTCCAGAATAAATGACCAGGCAGCTTCAACATGAACTTGTTTCTAGAACCCCAGAAGGGTTGGGAATACATATAAGAAGCCCATACTCAAGGCCTGGGAAAGTAGAAAGAGGCAAGGAAGGAGAGAAGAAAATAGAAAGAAGTTGGATTAGATAGATGAGCAAATACTGGTTAGTTCTGTTTCCTCTCACCTTGACACATGTGTCCATTCAGTCACCAAGACATGAGAAGCAGTAAATCCTGGGTGAGGCTTAAGCACCCTCTGGTTATTTTGTAGTGAACAAACTAACAGCTAAGATTTTTTAGAACCACTCACTTAGAGAATCAGCTTTTAGAACTTGCAGTTCTTTTTTTCAGTACATTGGTGGGAAATGTCATGGGGAAGAGGAAGGGCTTGTGAATATTTTATAAGATTTTTAACTTTTTTTCAGTCTGGAAAATACAGTGGAAATGGAAAATAATTGTACAAAGAATGTAAACAAGTAAATGGAGGAATTTAAGATTATTATCAGAGTCTTTTATCCTTCCTTTCTTCACCCACTCAAATTAATTATTCATTACTTATGTTGTCTTTAAAAAGAGAAAACCTAAATTCTTTGCTGCTAAAGTTTACATTGATTTTATAAATTTAAAAAAACTAATATAAGCCTTAAATATAACCAGGCTATTTTATAATCTGATAGCATCTTTGCAGAGTGAAGCTCAAAATAAATTAGAAAACATATCAGTACTCTTTAATATAGGACATTTCTGATGAGAAATATTACAAACATGAGATCTAAAAGGATGTAAGTCATTGATGAATTAAATACCTCAGAGCCATATGACCTGAGACTTATTTCTGTTGTCTGCTCACAATGAGGCACTTTACAGAAATATAACTCTTTAGTTGCTACTTGCACAATTTCAACTGAAGTTTTAAATTAGAAGGTGTAAAAGCAATGATCCTCACTATAACACTTCAACGTACAGCAATATTGTAACAAATATAAATGCTACAAACTGGTTTGTTAAGATAAAGTAGTTAAATATCATGAGAGTGGCACTGTTTACCCCCTCTTTAGTCTGTGGTCATTTGTTTTAATTTTTACCTATGTGACTTGGTTGCTAACTAGGATGTTTTTTAGTACAAATGATGCAAACATCTGTGTTACATATACCAGAAATTCAAAAAGGAAATAAAAAGAACTCTATTCTCCAAGGGACTGTGTGACTGGATCTCTTAAAAACAGATTCAAATAAATAAAACTCAATCACACTAACTTTAAGTTGTGCTTTAAAATTTTTTACTATTTGTCTGAATCCTGACAAAATGTATACTGAGGGTAGCAAAACATATTTGTGTATACAGGTAAGCTACACTTCATTGATTCATTTCTCTATTTAACAAATTTTTATTGAGCATATGTTATGTGCTTAAAACAGGAGATAAGTAGTAAACAAGAAAAATGAAGAAGATAGTGATGATGTTGATAATGATAATAACAGCTAGCCTGTATTGAGTGCTACCCATGTGTCAGGTATTTATGTCGATTAATCCTCACGTAACAATATGAGTCAGATTCTAATATCATTCCACTTTGCAAGTGAGGGAATAGATTTAGAGAGCTCTCACAGCTAGGAAATAATGCAGCCTGACTCAAACACTGCAATTCTGACTCCCAGGGCCAGATTCCTAACTAACAACATGCAAATACATTCATTTTCCTCATGGAGCATATGTTCCAGCTACCCATTTATTTAACAAATATGTATCAAGTGTCTGCTATGTGCCAGGCACAGTCCTAGGCCCTGAGTTACAGAGAAAAAGAGTTTGACACGGTCATTGCTATCATGGCTTACACCTTCCAGAGCCTCTAATAGAGGTTTTGTAAAAAGGGAGAAAGTATGCACGTATTAATGCAAGTACTAGACATAATTAAAGTAATTAATAACATTGACAAGAATTACTAAACTATTGAAATATAATACAGTTTCTTTAAAAATACATACTGTATATTCAGAAAGGGTAATGTTATTTTTACATCTTAAAAAGAATTCATTTTCATCTCTGGTTCAAAATATATATCTTTAAAAAAAAAACTTTTTGCCTGGTGTGATTCCGTCCTGCGCGGCTGTTCTCTGCAGCAGCGTTGTTTTATCTCCGTCCGCCTTCTCTCCTACCTAAGTGCGTGCCGCCACCCGATGGAAGATTCGATGGACATGGACATGAGCCCCCTGAGGCCCCAGAACTATCTTTTCGGTTGTGAACTAAAGGCCGACAAAGATGATCACTTTAAGGTGGATAATGATGAAAATGAGCGCCAGTTATCCTTAAGAACGGCCAGTTTAGGGCTGGTGCAAAGGATGAACTGCACATTGTTGAAGCAGAGGCCATGAATTACGAAGGCAGTCCAATTAAAGTAACACTGGCAACTTTGAAAATGTCTGTACAGCCAACAGTTTCCCTTGGGGGCTTTGAAATAACACCACCAGTGGTCTTAAGGTTGAAGTGTGGTTCAGGGCCAGTGCATATTAGTGGACAGCACTTAGTAGCTGTGGAGGAAGATGCAGAGTCAGAAGATGAAGAGGAGGAGGATGTGAAACTCTGAAGTATATCTGGAAAGCGGTCTGCCCCTGGAGGTGGTAGCAAGGTTCCACAGAAAAAAGTAAAACTTGCTGCTGATGAAGATGATGACGATGATGATGAAGAGGATGATGATGAAGATGATGATGATGATGATTTTGATGATGAGGAAGCTGAAGAAAAAGCGCCAGTGAAGAAATCTATACGAGATACTCCAGCCAAAAATGCACAAAAGTCAAATCAGAATGGAAAAGACTCAAAACCATCAACACCAAGATCAAAAGGACAAGAATCCTTCAAAAAACAGGAAAAAACTCCTAAAACACCAAAAGGACCTAGTTCTGTAGAAGACATTAAAGCAAAAATGCAAGCAAGTATAGAAAAAGGTGGTTCTCTTCCCAAAGTGGAAGCCAAATTCATCAATTATGTGAAGAATTGCTTCCGGATGACTAACCAAGAGGCTATTCAAGATCTCTGGCAGTGGAGGAAGTCTCTTTAAGAAAATAGTTTAAACAATTTGTTAAAAATTTTCCGTCTTATTTCATTTCTGTTAACAGTTGATATCTGGCTGTCCTTTTTATAATGCAGAGTGAGAACTTTCTCTACCGTGTTTGATAAATGTTGTCCAGGTTCTATTGCCAAGAATGTGTTGTCCAAAATGCCTGTTTAGTTTTTAAAGATCAACTCCACCCTTTGCTTGGTTTTAAGTATGTATGGAATGTTATGATAGGACATAGTACTAGCGGTGGTCAGACATGGAAATGGTGGGGAGACAAAAATATACATGTGAAATAAAACTCAGTATTTTAATAAAGTAAAAAAAAAAAAAAAACTTTTTGCCTAATCAAAATTTATTCAAGAGCTGTTCCTTTCTTTCAGTTACTAGAAAAAGAGAAATTCAGGGAAATTTTATATCTAAAAACTGGGACTTTTTACAAGGTGGGAAGTCACCAAGACCTTGTGTTATCTGAAGTTAAATTTTATCCAAATTTCAGGACTAATATTGCAATGACAAATATTAGTAAGCCACACACATTTTTTCCAGTGGGCAAGATCAAATGGCTTGTGAGAAATGTTTTTTTTTTTTTTTTTTAAGTTAGACTGTATCCTAAAATTAAGGGACAAACTATTTAGTACTTTGATGTTTTGCCAAATTTATTAATTATAACAGGTAATATTTTAGAGTATTTGTTACTGAATCATCCTCCTAATTTAAACCTTCTGCATTGGGATAAAAATCTCATTTTGAATTAAAGCTATTTCTTTATGTGAAATAAGCTGAAGCCACTTAAGAGAATTTAAATGAAGAAAACATTAAATAATGGAATTTCAATATTTACCAAATATTTCACTTATATTCTACATTTAGGATATGTCAGAAATCAAAATTGAAAGCTCTTGCCTGAGCAGTTACCATTTGACATTTGGAAAAATTAGTTAATATTTTTGTAAACCACTCTGTATTTGGTTTGTAAATGACCATTTGGACTCCTGGTTTAGATTCCTCTCTTTTCTTCTTATTTTTACTTTGTCATCAGTAGTCTTGTCATTGTCATCATTTAAAATGACACTATTAAGTACAAAAGAATATTCTAAATTCTGGAATGCGAGGCTTGTGCCTGGCCTCGGTGAACTTATGCAATGTAGCCACAAGGGGCAGAAAATATATACTTAAAAGAAAAATAGCAATAAAAAAGATAACAATTTTACAAAATGTGGTTCAGGTAGCTTAGAGTTTGCATACTGTGCTAATTTGTTGAGAAGATAGAGCCCAAACTGGGTTTTATCAGAGAAGTAACTGGTAATTTTGTGGAGAGGGGAAGGCATTCTAGGCACAGAAAAGTAGTGGGTGGGAACTAAGGCAGACGACAGTAAACTCAGCAGCATTGTGACTGGAGTTTAAGGAAACTGTGAGAGAAAAAGTTACAGAGAAATTTACAAGCAGTATCTCTAGAGAGTCTAAAGAGTTTTAAGTTTAATTTATAGGCCACATAGAGTCACTGGAGGTTTTGGAACAGGGAAATTTGATGAAAGCAACTCTTTAGGGGGATTATCTTGCCAGTGCATGTGTAGGACGCGTTGTTTCAGAAGACCAGTTAGAATATTACAACAGTCTGGAGCTCGTGTTTCCCAAACTATACAACTGGGAATAGTAATTCTGAGAGCTCAAAATAGTAATAAAAGCACCTATTTGGGGGATTTTTTTTTCTTGACTGGAAAAAAAAGGAAACATTACATATAAAATCTTCTTCTTGGAGATACACTACACATTAACACATTAAAGGCCTGTGCCAGAGAAATCCATAATTTCACAAACTTATTTGCAGATAAAAGGCTTTGTTCATTGTGTACCTATTCATAAACATATCACTGTGTTCCACTGAAATTACTGGAAATTTTGGTCTTATCAATTACCTACTTATTTATAAATCTATCTAAGAAACAATAGAAGAAAGGGAAAGATAAAACTCAAAACTTCATTAGAAAGGTACTGAGACATCATTTAGTCCAGACCCTGTCTTTAATCTTGGTAATCAGAAACCGAATGTTACCTTTGACTTTGACACCTTTCTGGTCAAATTAAGTAGTGCCTTTAATGATACTTGTTTGCCAATCCTCTTTCCCTCATGAGACCATAAAATACCCAATAATCAGATTAACCTTTGTCTTACCATCATTGTAATCTCTAAATCTGGCTGATAGTAGGTGGTAGAAAAATACTTGTTGACTTGAAAGTGATGAGAAAACTAAACAGTTTGTGGCATACCTGTAATTACATGGATGATAGCAGGATACATTGAAAATAAATGAATTCCAAGAATTATGTTGAAAATTTTAGCTATGAGAGTGAGGAGAAACTTGAAGACAAGATACTTGGTATATTCCAGACATAACTCTAAAACTAACTAGCAATTATGATCTTGATCAAATCACTTAAGTTCTCTGAGACTCTGTTTCTTCTAGTTATAACTCTAAAATATTGGGGGAATCTCCATTTTTTATTATGACAAATAATCAAAAATTAACTAGATGTTGTGATTTACATTGGAAATATATTCTTATAAGAGACCACCTTTAAATACACAAGAGTTTTTAAGTATTTACTTCTTTATATTTATACTTAAACAGTATTCCTGAACCTCACAACTTTTTGTTTTCTTATTTTCCTCTTCGTTCCAGGCCTATCAAAGATGATGGAATCTTTGAAAGTGTGTCGATGTGTATGCTTATGTAATATTAGGACTGAAATTTTTAAATCTTAAAATGTGAAAGCTCCAGTTGTCAGAAGATCATAAGTCTTTACTTTTAAGGACTGTTAAAAATCACCTTCTGTGAGATCTCAGCTTTGGGATTTTTTTTGACATTTCAAGACTTAAATTTGAAAGTGTAGAATCTCTATAAATACAACATTACCACAAGCCCAAAAAAGTCAAGAAATGCAAAAGGTTAGATTCTTACTAACTCCTCTCCCACATTATGCTCTAAATTGAGTTATGTATCTTTGAGTTAAATACGTAATCAGGAATACTTTATATGAAATACAGTTTAAGTTATGACATATTAAGTTTTTCTCTTTGAATTTTGGGGCATAAAATTGTGTATGTAAATCATGCAATATCACATTTTTTGCATGTGCCCTTAAGGCTTTTTTATGTTTTCTTCACATAGTCCCCTCATTTACAACTTTATCTTGCTGTGGACTAACCATATGGGAAATCCACTATTTTAAACTTAAGCTATTTTTGTGGTGTTACTGCATAAGAAAATGCCTTTAGAGTAGAAAAATCATATATTTTTTAACCAGATTATATAAATAAAAATTAATTTTTGTCTAGTGGTCATTTCTTAGTTCAATTTGAAGTATATCATTTTTAATTCCTAAATATTTCTAGAAAGCCTCCATTGCCATGGCCAAGTGAAAAATCGAAGATAATAAAGAAGTGCCATGAGACCTGGACATTTTCGACGTGTTGAAGATTTAAAATTATGTGTAATTTACATGAGACATATAAATGAAAGGATAGACTTCACTAAGATTTTTTTTTTTTGCTTTAAAAATAGGGTATTTCTCTCCTGCAGCAGCATCTCACATCTCATACATATGTGCATATTTAGTTTTCTATGTAGCATTCAGTCCCAAGAACACTAATTATAATTTTAAATTATCAATAAGATATAGGCTTAAAGTACAGTAGATGTTGAATTTCATATCTCTTATAAGATTCCCTATCTAAAGAAAGCAACTACTTTATGCTTTTATTTTCATTTTTTAGAAATTGTTATGAACTTCATAGTCACTTATATTCCACTTTTTACGTTAAAAGCACTCTTTGAATTTGTAGTGTGCAAATAGGTATATGGTTTTTATGTCTAAGAAAAACATTGCCGATGGTAATTCATCTGTGTATCAGGAAACAAGTGAAAACCAACACACAATCCTCAGTTCACATGGGACCATCTCAAAGTGTTTCTTTGAAGTCCCTGTTGGTAATATTTACAAAATGGCTTGCCATTAACTTGTTAGTATGCTCATTACTTTTGTTTAGAAAAAACCTCAGTTATATTGCTTTTTTTTTTTTTAGACGAAGTCTTGCTCTGTTACCCAGGCTGGAGTGTAATGGCCCGCTCTCTGCTCACTGCAACCTCCGCCTTCTGGGTTCAAGCGATTCTCCTGCCTCAGCCTCCCTAGTAGCTGGGATTACAGGCGCCTGCCACCACACCCAGCTAATTTTTGTATTTTTAATAAAGACGGGGTTTCACCATGTTGGCCAAACTGGCCTTAAACTCCTGACCTCAAGTGATCCACCCACCTCGGGCTCCCAGAGTGCTGGGATTACAGGCGTGAGCCACCGCACTCGGCCACATTTAGATTTTTGCTTGTTTATTTGTTGTCTTTGAAATATTTCTTCTGCCCACCTTGATTATGATTGCCCCAGCAAGAGTTTACCAAACAGTAGTTCCTTAGGTGTCCTGCTATTTTCCTAAGAAATCTTCACTTGGAATTTTATATATCTCTTCTGATGGAAGGATAACTGAATTCTATAATTTTGTTGTCTTTTACATTTGATACGATACAGACAGTCATGTTGAAGCTTCTCAGGAACTAAAATGCGATTTCTATAGTAGGTTCAGCTTTGGGAACCATATAAAAAAGTTAACACTTCTCTGTATAACAAACAGTATTGTCTGGGATTTGGTGCCATATTAGAGCCATCCCTTATCAGTGAATTTCCCAAAGAATATGCTGCTTTTTTTGCATAATGGGATTATTTCTAGGAATGGCTCTCTTGACCCAAGATGTGCTACCCTCTCAAAACACATTTGGGTCTTTTAAGCATTTTCAATGTGCTTTGCGATCATGCTCACTCAGTATCCACTCAGTTGTTCTGTTGTTATTTTGATATACATAAACATTCGGCTACACAGTGGGTAAGAGGTAGAAGTAGCACTGAGATCCCCAGGACAGGGACCAAGGCCCAGTTTGGTCTCTCCTTGGCTAAATTCCATTTTGGACAGCTCAGTTTTTCTTTGATGTGTAGGGTTTAATTGCTTATCCCTAAGCATAAGGCTCAATTGGTGGGAGCTTGCGCAGGGAGAGCCATTTGCCCTTTCCTGAATTAAAAAACTGAACATCATTAACAGTTTATTTTTGCAGAGAACCATGCTGCAAGTGGGATACAAAAATGTTATTTTTGACTGCCCAGTTTTGTCCAGGCTAGTCCCTGATGTATCTCATGACCTCACAATAGCCTCTCGTGCCTGCCTGGCCACAAAGCTTGATTATTTTGTAATTTGATCTTAGTGGGGATTCCAGCCGTGCTTCCCTGCTTGTGGGCAGCAGAATGTGGCAGCACGCCTGCTCACTTGCCTGAGCGGCTATGATCAGATTACGCCTTCTCAGCGTTTTTTATATTGGCTGCCTACAAAGTTCAGAGAAGCTTGAAGTCAGCCCACTTGAGTTTTACAGCCCTTAACAGAGGGAGACAGAATAGGAATCTTGGTCTCATCTGTGTATACTGTTAAGACAGTCAGAGAGTCACTCAATGCTGAGTATCTGTATCTTTAATTTTTTTTACATGAACTTTTGTGCATCATGTGATTTCCAAAAACCACTTTTCAAACTTTGTTATTTTTAGAGCTGGCAGTTGAGTTTTAACTTTTATCTTTTAGACATTTTGATAATATGTTATGAATCTGCATAAAAGATGGGGAAGTTTTACTTTTCATTGTTGTTAATAGCAGATCATTGCAGGTCATCATAATTAGGAAAGCACCCTTTTCTCCATACTATTCTTTCAGCCAGATATTCGTAGGATGATGATATTTGTCAACATCTTTATGAGATAACATGACTGCATCCTATTGAGGTTACAGAAGGAAAACACAGTGTCCAATCTGGCACCGTGACATGGCGTGGGAAATTGAGAACCCATACTGCTTTCATTTCCTTCACCCGACAAGCAGTCATTGAGCACCAAAAATGTGAGGCCCTCTGTGAGGCACTGGTGATGCAGCAGTGAGCTGGATACATGGTCCCTGCTCTCCTGGAGCTTAAAGTTTGTTCTTGGAAACAAGATTTCTTATACGGCATATTTGTTTAGCAGCTTTTAAGAATTATATTAGAATAATTTCAGATTTTTAAAATGTGAACTAGAGAGTTGAAAAGGTCTTAGGAGTTCATTTTATCTAGGCTCCTTCCTTGTACAATGAGGAATCGCCCCGCTATGGTATTTGTTCATATGAGTGAACAGAATATGCAATTCATGTTTCATTGTTCAGAATGAAGAAATCATGATTATAGGTTAAGATATAATTTAAAATCCAGCCAAAACTCGATTAAAAACAGTTTTGTTTTCTGACATTATCATTCATACGTTCAGTGGACCAGCAAGAAAGCTTGCAAAATGAAGCATAAACAATGTGGTGCCAGTTTGCTTTAAAATCCCTAATATATGTTTGTAAACAAAGCTTATAAAACTTAGTACTCTACTAATTAAATAACAAGAAAGATTTTATGAATACATGAAAAGCCAGAATGTAAAATGTCTTCAGGGGAACAGGTGCTGTAATGACATCACTGTGTGTCACACAGCATTTTTTTTTTCTTGATACTTGTACTTGGTCATAATGGAAAGAAATTGATTCCAAATGTGTTTTCTTGACCCCCTTCTCCATTCATGTTAGTGCCTAACCTTAAATGATGTTTCTACAATCTTGGTTGTATTTACAGTAATTATATGCATAATGTAGCATATTATTGTCCAGACTTCCTGTTTAATCAGTACAGAGCTTCTTACAAGTGCAGCTGAAAAGGGCAAACAAAATTAAAGCTTTATATACCAAAACAAGTTTGATTTGCTAAGCTCCCAGCATTCCAAAGTACACAAATTTGTTCCACTAAGTTTTCCGATGGCTTGCAGATGGGCAATGATTAATCAGAGAGCTAACTGTGAAGTAGTTTGCAATTAAACTGGAAAGCTCTGAAGCATGCTAATTGAATCAGAAAATTAGAGACACTGAACAGTAATTGGCTATTTCTCATGCAGCAGGTGCCAGGCCACTCATCTGTGGAACAAGGTATTTAAGGCACATTAGCACTAGTAAAAATACTTCTTGATATGGAACAGTTAGATTTTCTGCTCATTTTCACCATGGATGTCAAAACATACAGCTGTGCTATCTGGTACTTGCAATTCATGTTTGAAGAATTTAAGTTAGGTAAACATATGGGAGAAAAGTAGTGGGCAACCTCTAAGCACTCAGGAAGCATTTTAGAAGAGAAACCAAAAATGAGGGGCTGAGTGAGGTTTTTGTTTTTTCAACTCAATCACTTTTGCTTTCTTATACATATTTAGAAGTTGAATTTTCTGTTTAGTGTTAGTTTAAAGCAACAACAGTATAAATCTAGTACTGCTGTGAGCTTAGTAGATACATAAAGCCAATTCATATCATATCTCAGCATGAGTTTATATCTTCTAATTAGTATCACTATTTTATAGAGTGAGCACATGCTATGAAAGTTTGTTTGCCATGCCAACAGGGACCAGGACATGTAGTTTTTCTTTAGTAGAATGATCTGCTGTAGGATCGTGAACAACTGTAACCTAGCCAGTGGGTAATCAGGCAAGTATGAGATTTAATAAGTTCAACTGTAGAGGTTTGTTTTAATAATAATCATTTTCATATTATCAAGGGTGGGGCATATGACTTCTGGTTCCCATTCCTTTAATTAGCATTCAGTATTGTTATTAGAAAGTGAAAAGTACAAATGAAAATGAAAATATACTAAACTGTACTGGTTGAGAAGCAGAATATTACAGTATTCACATGTTAATCATTACTTAGAAAATAGTGAGTTTGAACCAAGAGACATAAATTATAAATTATAAATTGTAAACAGTGCATAGGGGATATGTTATAACTGTGTCTCATTTAAATTAAGACAGGGAGTTTTCTCTGCACAAATAATGTTCCTTCATTAAGTTTTAAAGTCTCCTTTATAATGCTTTATTGAGAACATTCAGCAACATGTTACCAAAAAAGGTTTTAGGCTGAACACACAGTTTGTAAAAAAATATAGCACACTACAAGCATAATGCTTTATGTCTTCAAGCTATATATTTTTTTAAGTTAAAGCAAAAGCTCCTCTTTGGCAGGCCTCCTTCTCTACCCCCAATAAACCATGTGCATTTTGCATTATTGAGTCTGAAAGCAGTTCTGAAACATTTACATGATCAATGTCTTTGGCTTGAGGGATAAAGTTTGCTCTTCCATGGACAAGTGAGAACATATTGATCATTTTATTCTATTTGCTATTTCTAAATTCAATATACCTCTTGAGTCGATAAGTGAGATCGAGAGCATATTCTTTTTTGTGTGTGCCTGGTTGTAGCTTGTTCTCAAGATCCAAGATACATTTTTGATTAATCACGAATGCTCTGAGGTCATGGAGAGCAAATGTGTTTGTGGAGTGTCAGCTGATGCTGTCAGATAAATGTCTTAAGCTTAGCCAGGGTTCATGCCCCAGCTTTAGGCTGTGCCAAATGTCTCCCCTTGTTGAGGAAGATAACAGCTACACTGGAGGCGACTGAGCTGTTTGTTCACTGAAAGGGCTGACCTTGCCATATGGGGCTACGATCAGGTGAAAGAAAGAGTGTAGATGTTTTAATTGAAACTTTACAAATTTCAGCTTTCCATTTGATTCCCATGATCTTGTTTCCACTAACTTACATTCTTGGTGTTATATGTCTTGTCTGATTATAACTATGTTGCTTAAGTGTTTCCGATTAGACTCCTTAAGATAAATGATCCCTCCAATATTGTTCTTGGTGTATTCTGAGAGTATTTTGGCATTATCAGTATGTTATTAAAATACTGAAGAGTCATGAAAATATTTATTAGAATAAAAGGGATATGTTTCTCTGTGAGTATGTGCAGTAGAGATTATTCTTGCTTTGCAGTTTTTTTCAAATCCACTAAATTAAAAAAATATGTTCTGGCAAAAAGAGGTCATTTGTGTTAATGACCCTTGTCCATGTAACTTCTTATCTTCAGAGGACTCGTTTAATCACATTTACCCCCACTTACAGTAATTTGTCTTCTTTTACTAGACAGAGTCTATAAATAGGAAATAATGACAAACCTAAACTAACACCTGGAGAATGCTTTTTGCGGAGGCTTTCCCTGTTTGAGACTAAAGGCAGTCAGAATAATCATATGGTGATGCATAAATAAGTGAACTCTCTATGGGCTGTTTGTGGGCATTTACTGCAAAATACATTCTTTAAACGAAGTGTCTTTCTTCTTTCCTATGCCAATTTGTTCTTTTCTCTGAAGAAGCTGTTGTACTTTTCTTTCCTTCCTCCAAGAAGTTCATACTGCTATGGGTAAATCATCAGTGCTAATTTGACACAATAATGCTGAAAGAGAAAAGAAAGAGAGAGAAAAAAAAAAGAGAAGAGAGAAAGAAAGAACACATCTGTCGTGAACTCCCACCAGATCTCTAGAAAATGAGACATTTTAAATATTTTATGCTGAACACAAAGATTCTTGAGTAAATGGCTTTATATTCTGTGTCCCAAAACAAAACTGTCAGGGTCAGTAAGCAGTGCTGCTTAAAAACTCTCTATTTTTAATTATTTCATTTAAAATTACCTCACACTTGAAATGTAGATTCTGTTGGCTATCTATAAAATCTACAGTGTAAAGTAGAAAAAGGAAATAGAACTAGAAGAAAATAGATTCTATTAACTTCAGAAACTTTTCCTTTATCAAGTGATACTTTAAAAAATATTATATTTCATTATCTAGAGACAATTATGTTTCATGTGTGTTGGCATTAGTGAACAAAATGAAGTTTGGTTTGGTTTGGTTTCTGCAGTAGCTAAAGTTACAAATAGACCAAGTAGAAATGCGAGAAACTGAGGATAACATCCATGGTTAGACATTAAACTTCTGGTGATATGATTAAAAGAGCCAAGTCACATCCTGGTTTTCTATAATTTTCTATTAAAGACTAATAATAGCTAATGCCAAAATCATATTTGTAAACCATAATTTTAAGTGTAAATGTAGAATTTTAAAATTCTATTTTCTTCAAATTTAAGCACAGTTTAGTTCTGGACTAAATTTTGTGGGTTTTAAGTATTCCTTACCCATCATTAATTGTTTTTTCTTCTTTATCTCATTAGCTTAAATTTTTTAATGCACTAAAATATTAGTGATGCATGCTGGGCATGGTGGCTCACGGCTGTAATCCCAGCACTTTGGGAGGCTGAGGCGGGTGGATCACAAGGTCAGGAGATTGAGACCATCCTGGCCAACATGGTGAAACCCCGTCTCTACTAAAAATATAAAAATTAGCTGGGTGTGGTGGTGAGTGCCTGTAATCCCAGCTACTCAGGAGGCTGAGGCAGGAGAATCGCTTGAACCAGGGCTTCAGAGGTTGCAGTGGGCCAAGATGGCGCCATTGCACTCCAGCCTCGTGACAGCGAGACTCCATCTAAAAAAAAAAAAAGAACATTAGTGATGCATACAGCAACATTTCTATCACTACTTTTTTAAGACTACTGCCAAAAGATGGTTAACCCTTTAGTTAATATTATTCTCAGTCCCCATCATTTTAAAAGTATTGAACATTGTCATGCCCAAGTCAGATGTAGGAAGAGACTTGGGATTGTTTGACTTTTCATATGTAAATATGTTGTGTTATTTAGAAGACTGATAATTGATAACAATACAATAAAATTCTTCTTTAAGATTTGGAGCTAATTCTCAACACGACTTAGACCCACCTTTGGAAGGGAATAGTAAAATAAACTGATCTTAAGCAGAACTCACTCAGCCATTCCTCAAAGTTACTATCTCCTTAGACAGTACTTACTAGCATGCTTACTTACTTACCAGTTCTTTCCATTGAAATAAATGAGTTTTAGTATGTCTGTAACATTTCTATTTTTCTTCACACTATCTTCTACCTTTATCCTCTTCCAAGCTACTTTGTTTTCCTTCCATTTAAAGTTTTAAGTCTTAATGATTATTTATTTCAGTGACCAACCAATTATAACAATCTTAAAAATGAGTCAGTACATTAAAGTGGTATTTTTTCCAAACTTTTTTTTCCAATCCTCTTTTTTAGTGTAAGAGCTCATTGAAAAATTGAGGGGTCATCTCAAAAATTCTGGAAAGAAGTATTAAATGTCCAAAAATTTTTTTGTAAATCAAATTTTGCTTCATTTTTTTAATAACATGAAGTCTGATGGTATTTCCAATTATCAATTAGAATTGTAAATCCTACTTTTTATTAATCAAATATTGGAAATGATTTCAATATACCTAAGGGTTTTTTAAGGATGTGAATCCTCAGCTCTTATTATTTGACATTTAGAACAAATTTTCAAGTAATATTGTAATTCTGTGTTAGTTCACTGTATCATCTAAAATGACTTATTTACATTTGGGCTTTTATCTTTATTCTTTACTTCATGTATTCAAAAAAACAAGGCTGGATTTTATACTGTGCTTCTTTATATTCTGTACTTTTTAGTTGATTACAAAATGGATGGTAAAATCATTATTGACAATTATTACTCAGTAACAATTGATACAACAGAAATGATGACAGTGTATATTTATTTTATTAGACTAATCTGGCTTCTTTAAGATTCTGGAAAGTTTTTAATTACCAGTACCCTGTTGAATAAAATATATGGAAAATATCTTGTTTTGAGGGTTTATAATGCTTCCCTTACTAATGAGGAAAACAATTCATCATTTTCAAGTGCATAATCAGTGTCAGCATTTTGTATATCACAATGAAAGTCCTGAAATAGTGGCATTCTGGATGCTCCTGTGAGGAGACAGACTAGTCTATTATAAGAAAATCACTTTCCTCTTATACTTTATAAAAATTCTAGCAGGAAAAAATAATTAGAGAATTATTTTAAATAGTACAATTGTAAATGAAAGTAATTTGGAACATTTCAGCATTGTAAAGTGTATAATCACCATTGCATTTTTATACATAAACAGAGGACTGACTATAGTCTTTGAGAAAATCTGTCCCTTTCTAGACTCATAATTTTTTCATAATCAGAAATGTACAAGAAATATTATGTTTGTAAGTTCTCATTACTCATTAGGCATAACTAAATGCAACATGTAAAGAATGAGATTGTGCTTTTAATTGTTCCTATGTGAATGAATATTCATTTTGTGGGAATTTAATCTGCTGTTTTTTTCCTAAACTTAACAACATAGAAGGTATTTCTAAGTGAAAATAACAGACATGGTACATGGCCCTGAGTTATGCTGAATATATTTCCTTTACCTTCAAAAAAGGCTACTGAATTTACTTAAGGCTTGAAAATCATAGAATCACTCTAGGCAGACTAAGGAGGGGCTGCTCCTGTTGAAGGAACAAACGAAGGTGAGTGAGCCTGTAGCAGGTAGAACAAGGAGATCTAGGCAGAAGCCACATTGCTTAGAGCCTTGGAGCCTTGGAGTCCAAATTTTTATTTTCTTGTAAGTACAGTGGGAAACCACTGAGGGTCTTGAGTTGGATAGTGATCATATCTATTTTAGATTAAAAGTGGATTGGTGGGGGAACAAGTGGGTAAGCAGCTGACCACTTAAGAAGCTGGCTCAATAGCCTAGGCAGGCAATTATGGTGACTTGGATTTTGGTGGCAGGAGTTGGAGATGGGAAGAAGTGTCCAACATAATCATTTAGAGATGGGAAGTGAGGGGATAGGAAGGATGAAAAATGACTCCTAGATTGTTGGCTTGAACATCTGGGTGGTGTCATTTACTAAGATAAGGAAGTCTAGGAGAAGAACAGGTTTGGGAGGGAAAATTGGGAGCAAAATTTTGGCATTTAACCATGCTCTCTTTTTATGTTAGAACCTTTATTTAAGGAAATAGTCTAGAGATCAGAGAGAAGTTTCAGGATAAGAAAGAAAAAATAGCAAGTGCATAACTTTAAAATTTCTTTTTTACCAACGTGTGAAACTTCTAACATGACCTAGAAGTTATTTGACTAGAATGTAAGGGTCTAACAACAGTGTGTATGATTAGAATATAAAAGTCACCGTTGACTAACAGGCTGTGTACACCCTCCAAATTAGCTACTTCTGACCAATGCAGATTTCATTTGTAGTATGCAGGAGTTTGCCTTCTGCATACTGCAATGGGGAAAGGTTTTCCATAGCCCCAACATGACAACAACACGTAATTTGAAAAACAAGTTCTCCTTCCCTTGATTCTCTATTAAAGAATTTTAATAACATTAAGAATCCATAATGTTAATGATGCCTTACAAATGTAGGTACTCTGTTTTATACTTTTTTTAAATGGCTGAGTAACCCTTTGCAAATAGGTTTCTCTAGTTAGCCCCATTCAAACCTGAAAACAGTGCCTCTCATAACTTGTCTTGTCAGTCAGGTATGAAGAAGACATGTCCCCAAATATTAACTAGTTCTTCCCACTTCCATGACAGTAGATTTACCATTTAAGTGTTACATTTGTCTGGAAACCACATCCTTAATTGTTGAGTTTTATCACCTTTTAAAAAGGTACTTTGTGTGTGCTTGTTAATTTGTTCATTCACTCACAACTCTAAAGAGCAAAGCTGTCTTCTTTGGCAGACTGGTTTTTATTTTCACTTTGTATGGTGTGGGGAATACAGCAGTGGTAAGAACAACTAGAATTAGGAAGGGATAAATGTGGTATTTCACGTCAAACATACAAATTAGGATGACTTTTAAAGTTATAGTTCCGTCAACTTATTTTAGATACTTTAGAAAGTACTTTAGAAAGTTCCAAAGTCATCATTCAGACATTTGGGGATCACAGGTTTTGTTGTAATTATCAGCTTGCTCTTGTGAACAAAATTATAGGCCAATCCAGTTTTCCCCATGGCAGATCGACAGACCTGGTAGATTGAGTAGATGCAATGTCTGCATTATATATTGACTCTGGTAGAGCTATCCATTGTCTCTTTCATGGTCTGATGATCAATAAGGAGGGAACTGGATGAATGATAAGAAATGATAAGATGAAGAGAGAAGACTTTGATAAGAATAGCTTTTATCAAAGTAAAGTGGTAAAGAAGAATAAAATACATAGTGAAGTGAAGAGGAATATTCTAAATTCAAGTACTTATCCTATCCACTGTTCCTAAAACTCAAAAAAAACAAATACCATCTTAAATGCACTGAATTAAGTGGACTCAAATTTGCATTTTGTTCTTTGTCTGCCTCTTTGGTAATTTGGAAAGCTTCTGATTTCTTTGTCCTCATGTTGCTTTTAAAAAACACTGTCAGCCAAGGCCCTATCCCCATTCTTTTGTTATTCTTATATATGTGGACTGCCATCTGCCTTGCTTTTATAGATCATAGTCATTTTTGCCTTACTAATTAAATAGCTTTAACAAGCCAGGCATGGTGGCTCACGCCTATAATCCTAGCACTTTTTGGAGGCTGAGTTGGGAGGATTGCTTGAGGCCAGGAGTTCAAGACCAGCCTGGCCAACGTGCCGAAACCCTGACTCTACTAAACAATATAAAAACTAGCCAGGCATGGTGGTGCATGCCTGTAGTCACAGCCACTCAGGAGGCTGAGGCACAAGCATTGCTTGAACCCAGGAGGTGGTGGTTGCAGTGAGCCGAGATCAGGCCACTGCTCCAGCCTGTGTGAGACTGAGACGCTATCTCAAAATATAATAATAATTTTTTTAAAAGCTTTAAGAACATAATATTTTTATATTGCTTTTCAAATTAGAGTAACTTTTTCTTACCAAAAGAAAAAAATTAGTAGAAAAAGAAATTTAGTGATTGAGATTAGATTGTATAAAATTAAGTGTAGCATCATGAACATTCTAATTTAGTCATTCCTTACTCCTCCTTCACATCCAAACTTTATCTCTTTAAAGTCATTAAGAGTGTCATTGAGATCTTGTCTTTTGGCAGTGAAATTCACCTTTCAGTTTGCAAGAGCTGTGATATGAATTTACCTATAAATTGGCCCAAAAAACTAATGAATATCACTAGCTAAATTGTGGCTTGACTTTTAAAAATGCATTCTTAATCATTTCCAGGCTGAGAATGGTATCTCATGCCTGTAATCCCCATGCCAGGAGGATTGCTTTAGGCCAAGAGTTCAAGACCAGCCTGGACAACATAGCAAAACCCTGTCTTTACAAAACTAAATAAATAAGCGAGCTGGACCTGGTGGCACATGCCTGTAGTCCCAGCTACTCAGGAGGCTGAGACTGGAGGATCACTTGCACCCAGGAGTTTGAAGCTGCAGTGAACGATGATCACACTTCTGCTCTCCAGCCTAGGCAACAAAGCAAGACTCTGCCCCCACCCACCAACCAAAAAAAGAGAATTTTCAACAGTGGGCATCTATCAAGAATACTCTGAATAGCTAAAACTAGTTTAGGCACTATAAGAGTTTGTAGATATGTAAAAATGGAAGGTATGATTAGTACCCATTAGGAGCTTACGGTTTAAGGAAAATGCAAATTTTGACTTCTACAACTACTAAACAGCCAGAGGTGGGGAAATTAATACTGTAATTTAGAAGAAAGGGTACAAGGAGGTTTCAGCCTAAAGGAGGATGATGTAAGAAGAAAGGTAAGGGAAGCAATTGGAAGGTTAAGAAAAACCTCATAAAGGCAGAGAGGAATAATTAAGGAATATTCAGAAACCTGTCGCTGCAAGAATTTTTGATGTATGCACCTCATCACCAAGAACTGATAAGACTTAAATCCTACCACTCTTATTATTTTTGGCATTTTCTCAAAGTATAGATTGTGATCTACAGTTTACAGATTCATTTCTGGACTCCAAAGGAATAAAAATTTTAAATTTTCTTTTTATGGACCACAAATTATACCACATCTCTTATATTTACAACTCATGAATAAAAGTTGTTTTTATGATTTTGGTCTATTGTTATGTGTTGACAGTCCATGTACATAGTTAGGAGCATCTACCACACCAAAACTGGAGCTTTAAGGGAAGGTTTCCTGAACAGTGAGCCTTGAGCCAAACTTAAAAGAAATCCGGAATATGCATTGTTAAGTAGGCAGGTAGGTATTCCAGGGGGCAGATGGAACGTGACTTGCACAAAACTATGGACGTGGTAATAGGGGAATACAAATTAATTTTATTGATTTGGTTAGTACCTGTCATTAGTTAGAACATTATAATAATCACCTTTGGAATGGCCTGTTAACACAAATTTAATAATAAATCTCCTTTTCTCTGTTAAATGGACCAGGACAAGTATTGTTCATTGCAAGTTCCTATATTTAAAAAAAAAAAAAAAAGGATATAGCACTATTTTGATCCTTTGATTAATTTATAAAAGTTGACCTAAGTACCAAGGGGGTCTGGGTTGGAGAATATTAAATACATTTTTTTTCACAAGTTCCATGGCATAAAATGTGTACCCAGTTTTTCATGAACAAGCTTTTGTTAAAAAATCATCCTGACCAATTCATTTCTCATTTTCAAAGTGGGCAATACACCTTCCATATGTCATTCATGTGAAATAACTGTGTGTAATCTGAATAAGATGTAGGTGAAAGGATCCATGAGTCTACGTTTATTAAAATGAAGGTTGAAGTCTTTAAAGATACCTACCCTGGTATCTTGTGTAATCTTCTATCAGGATTGTATCTCCATTTCAGTTTGTATGACACTACCTGTTTTGAATAGGATAAAGACTCATTGTTACTGTCAGGCCTGTTTTCAAACTAAATATTCATCTAGTCCTTTGTGGCTGCCATTTTTATCACGCATTCAGAACAGCTTCCCTTTGCTGATCTGCCATTTTTCTGCAAATCACTGTTTCACTTGTATGATTTCTAGTGAGACAAGCTTAGACCTGGCTGCCTTTCTCTCAATAACAGAGAAAAGAACGTCTCTGGTGCCTATGCTGCAGAGAAAGTTGATTCATGTGTAAATTATCATTTGGCCTTTATTTGCTTGGCCTGTGGAGAGTACACATGCAGATAAAAAGCTCGGTAGGTCAGGGCTCAGTACGTGCAGGTTTCTCCAGTGGCCACAGTGACAGCGTTAGAATTGTTGTCACAGATTATCAGACACGCTATGATGTCTTATCATTATTTATTTGCAGTGGTCTGTGTTAAATAAACTCTAACACGGAAAATGCATCTATAGTAATAGAATGCCATGTGCCTGACCCCTGTTTGTTTTATCAGCTCACATTCTAAATAATAAAAATTGGTTTGGGTTTTCTTGATGTTAGATCTGACACCTATATGTTTCTGCCATCAATGTTTCTGTCTTTGGTCTATCTCTTCTTTCTTCTACATTATGCTTTAGTTTTATCAGACTTGACTGTTGTCCAAGTTTGTTGTGAACCCTGGGTACTATCTTAGTGACAAATCCTATCAATTAAGGTAGATGTAAAATGCTGTTTGGGGTGTGTATAGCAGCTTCTAGGCACTATGTGGAAATAGTTATATAAGCTACAGAATCTCTTATCTGTGACTCAGTTGGTTTTCTTATAAGTAAAATCATTTAACACAGACTCATTATTAACTTCACTATTAAAAGAAGTAAATTGTGATTTCTTTTATTTTTTAGTACATCATGTCAATTCTCTAGGTGTAATAGCTAAATCTGAATTTATAAGGTAAATTATTGAATATACATATGAAACTGAGAAATGCGTTGAAGGCCAGGTGCAGCGGCTCATGCCTGTAATCCCAGCACTTTGGGAGGCCAAGACAGGCAGGTTACTTGAGCCCAGGAATTCAATATCAGCCTGGGCAACATGGCAAAACTCTGTCTCTACAAAAAATACAAAAATTAGCCAGGCATGGTAGTGCATGCCTGTAGTCCCAGCTACCTGGGAGGCAGAGGCAGGAGGATCATTTGAGCCTGGGAGGCGGAAGTTGCAGTGAGCCAAGATTGTGCCATTGCACTCCAGCCTGGGTGACAGAGCGAGACTGTGGCAAAAAGGAAAAAAAGAAATGCATTAATAAATCCCAAAATGATACGATGACTTCAGTCTGCTTTTACTGTTAAGGTCTTGTAATATCTGTCGTAAGTGTAGAGCTAATATATTATACCTATTTGTGCAACCTTTATTTATTTGTATAATTCATATTATGTATATTTGTCACATTATAAGACATATTATTATTATTATATATATATATATATATTTTTGAGACGAAGTCTCGCTCTGTCGCCCAGGCTGGAGTGCAGTGGCGCTATCTCGGCTCACTGCAAGCTCCACCTCCCGGGTTCATGTCATTCTCCTGCCTCAGCTTCCCGAGTACCTGGGAGTACAGGTGCCCGCCATCATGCCTGGCTAATTTTTTGTGTTTTTAGTAGAGATGGGGTTTCACTGTTTTAGCCAGGATGAAGCCATATTATTTTTTAAAGTATCTTATAGCCCAGGTGTGATGGCCTCTAACATACTTAAAAAAATAATATGCCTATAATGTCAGCATTTTGGAGGGCCAAGGCAGGAGGATTGCTTGAGGCCAGGAGTTTGAGACCAGCCTCACCAACATAATGAGAACCTGTCTGCAAAAAATTTTAAAAACTTAGCCAGGCATGGTGGCACGCACCTGTAGTCTTAGCTACTTGGGAAGCTGAGGCGGGAGGATCCTCTGAGCCTAGGAGTTTGAGGCTGCATTGAGCTATGATCATACCACTGCCCCCCACCCCCGCCCAGCCTGGGTGACAGAGCAAGACCCTACCGCTAAAAAAGTATAAAAATAAAAAAAAGAGTATGTTAGAACCAATGGAGTATGTTTTATAAGGCCTACATTATCAGAACACTATTGATACATGAACCCTTTGGAAAGCGTTCCTCTTATTATAATAAAATTAAATGAGTTAAATTATGCAGTTAATATTACAAAATACTACCTTTATTTCTTTCTAAAGATAATCACTATTGAAGAAATTATATTTAGAAACAAATTTATTTCACTTGGCCAAAAAGATATAATATTTCATTGTAACTTCTGATATTCCATTAGGGAAGCAATGCACTATTTATTTAGAGTATACTTGTAATTGTAATTAACTATATGGAAATTACATTTAGCTAATTATCACCAAGACCTGAACAAATAGGATGATCTTCCTTCCTTTGCTTTCTGCTGTGCCTCTCACCACCAAAGCCCAGTTGAGATGTGAAGGGCGCCCAATCCCATTCCATCGTCGTACATGCCCTTAGACAACTCTTTCCCTGTGCAGTCTATCCGATAGCCTTTTTTTATATTCCATGTGGAACAAGGGAGAGATGGGTGTATATTCAGCCTACCCATCTATCTCACATGATCAGTTGAAATAGCTTCTTTCCTCATTTCCTCCCAATTTCCCTACTCCTCTCCTCCTAGGCTGAAATAATTTACCAAGTTTAGCCCAAATGGAAAAGAAAAATACAGGAGGAAACTTTTAGCTTTCCTTCAGGGGAAGGGGAATGTTAAAGCTCACCTACCTTACCTTTAGTCTCAAATAATAACTGTATAGAAAAGTTTATGTTTGTAACCTGTAAAAACAGTTTGGCACAGGTAAGCGAATTGTTTTATCACTTGATTGACTGCAGTTTATATAGTTTGGTTTCAACCAGGAGAGAGACTGGAGGAAAATAGAAGGGATTTGCTGACAGAATAAGAGAGTTGGTGCTGTGATTTGAATATGTCCCCTCCAAAATTTAGGTGTTATCAGTGTAACGGTGTTGAGAGGTGCGGATTTTGTGGGGTGATTGAGTCATGAGGGTGGGGTCCTAGTCAATGCAATTAGGTTCCCTTTATAAAAGGGCTTGATGGAGGGAGTTTGTCCCTCTTGTCTGCTTTTTGCCACATGAGGACACAAGAGTTTCTCCCCTCTGGAGGACACAGCCCTCGTCAGACAACCAAACCTGCCAGCACCTTGATTTTGGACTTCCCAGCTTTCAGAACTGTGAGAAATAATTTCTGTTCTTTTCAAATTACTCAGTCTCAGCTATTTTGTTGTAGCAACACAAACTGGTCTAAGACAATGGAGTAAAACTCAAAAGATGGAGTTACAAAAGAGCAGCCTTGCTTAACGCCATCTACCATCTACCCAGTGATCATCACTACAGAGTTGGAGCGAGGGAGGGACAGTAATTGTAATGGGGGTTGTCCTGTCAGTGCTCCTGGCACACATGAAAAATTGTGAGAAAAACATATAATTCTGTTTGTACATTGGTTAACTGATGTCTTACTAAAGACAGGTGTGTAGGTGTGTATAAATATATTTTATGTATATGTGTATGGTATATAGCATACAAACATAACATTTAAGTGTAAGTATCAACAGTTGTGGCAATTTTCCTAAGATATATCTTAACGCATCTGTGTTGAGATAGGCATGCTATAATTATGACAATTAAAGACACTTAAAAGTAGCAAGCAGATTTGTTTCTATGTGTAATAATTTATTTACCCTGGTAGCTGAACTCAATACACTATCTCCTTTTTAGTTTACTCTTATCCAATATGGGATAACCTGTTTTCATGGAACCCTTTTATCTACAAGGAACAGAGACCTACTCAGCTAACCCAACCCCTAATACTTGGAATGAATTTATAGTTTGTCTCCTAAAGAAGATTCTCACAGAAAATATGTAAGAACTAGATTTCACCCTGAAATCTTAACATAAGCCAATTAGACTTCATAATGTTGCTGTAACGTGAAATGAATCTGGTATGGGGTATTGTGAGAGTACTCATTATCTTGTGATTAGAACGCCATTGAAAATTGATATTGATCTACAAAACAGCTACTCTTGCCACTTAGCTCTCATGCGACATATGGTATATCTCTAGAAGAGTGGTCTCTGTTTATCTCTGATTCCATGTTTTACTTACCTGCTGACCAGCTTCTTCCCCTTACTCTTTCTGCCCACTCAGTACTTTAGGAAATGCATGGCCTTCAGGTCCCTCTAGTCTGACTTGACTTCCTGACTTTTCAGCCACAATCATCCACCGGTCTCTTGGTGTCACACATTTAAATTTTTAAGAAAATTATTTTTTCTCATCTTTTTCCTCTAGAGCAAGCTTTTCCAACCTGCAGCCCAGGATGGCTTTGAACGTGGTCCAACACAAATTCGTAAACTTTTTAAAAACATTATGAGAGTTTTTTGTGATTTTTTTTTTTTAGCTGATCAGCTACCATTAGTGTTAGCCTATTTTATGTGTGGCCCAAGACAATTTTTCTTCTTCCAGTGTGGCACAGGGAAGCCAAAAGATTGGACACCCCTGATAGGTGATGACTCTCTGAATAGGCTATACTTAGTTTTGTGTCCCTTCCTGGTTTCAACAGCTGTGCATAGGAGGTGTAGGGTAATGTGAAACAAAAGATGACCCCTTACTCCTGTCCCTGAAACAGGTCATAAGCAATGTAGCTTCACTAAAAGGAGTGATTGGTGAGCAGGTACTATGATTCATACTTCTCATATATAATCTACCTTAAACAAATTACTATCCCTAGTTTGGGGCACCAAACCATTAACATGACCCATTGCTTAAATGTTAACTTCCTCGAAGAAGTCCCAGACTACCCGCTGTATATGCTGCTAGCATATGCTCCCATAGTACTCTGTATTTCTACGAGCATAAAGCTCATCAGTGTTATCTTACTACTTATGCAATGCCTTTCTTCTCTCACAAACTCTCGAGGCCTGTGAAAACAGGGGCCATGTCTTTCCCATTCACCATTCTGTCACCTGTACCTGACCTAGTGCTTGGCTCATCATCAGTGTCCAAACATTTGTTAAGTTATTTAGTTATTAAGTGCCTTAACCCTATAGGAATCAACTGTTTTAAATTATAGGCTTAATAATCTTCCAAAACCCAGCTCTCCCTCTAGAACATTTCCACTTCTGACACTGATATTATCAGTACCCCTCAGACAGGGCAGACTCTGACTAATCTCTTTCCAGCATCAAGGCAGTCGTCATGTTTTATTGGTTTGTTCTTTCTCTCTTATCTGTGATTTATTCTCCATTCCCAGTGCCACCATCTTAGTTCAGTCTCTTCCTCTTCACCTAACTGGTACCCCTGTCTGTAATCCCTCACTTGCTATTAAATCCTGTACATCTTCCTAAAAAGCAGCTTTTCATACCTCTTTCTCTATGTAAAATACTTCATTTGCTCCCCTTCATCTAAAGAATGAAATCCAAACTTCTGTGTCCATCACACTCTTGTTCCTGCTAAATCTCTAATTAGGTTTTCTACTACTATCCTGCACAAACTTTCATTCTATCCAAACAAGTCTAACTCTGTTCTCCAAATAATTATAAGCATTTCTACTCACTTCTTTGTTCACTTATCTTCTTGCCCCTTACTCATCTCTGGTCTTCTTTAAAAACCTACCATAAGTTCTGCTTTCTTCATAAAGACGTCCCCACTACCCAGTCCTCAGCAATCATTTCTTCTTCTAAAGTTAGAGGACTTATTACCTATATGTGCAGTATGATGATGAAGAGTCTAAGCCACAGTCAAATTGCCTAGGTTCAAATCCTGCCTCCACGAGTTACCATCTAGGTAACTAAGCAAGTTATTATACTTAACTCCGGTAAACTTTAGCTATATCATCTCTAAATGACAGCAATAATAGCACTTACATATTGTGAGAATTCAATGTAGTAATGCATCTAAAGCATAGTGAGTATTCAATAAATGTTTTCTATGAAATTATTTGTACACTATTGATTAACTTTTTAAATTCCTGTTATATGCTAGATAGAAACTGTATAAAGAAGTTAAGATTTAAAAAAAAAAAAACTCTATTCTATCTCCCAATTAGATTGTAAGACCCTTACAATTCATTCCTTCTGTCCATACATATTATTGAATAACTGATGCCTTCAAAACACTGTGCCAGGTACAAGGAATTACAAGGTGACAAAGTGGAACTTCAGGTGCATTGTGAAAGAAGAGTAGGGGTAGTTTAGTACTGCGGAAGCAAGAATATAAGTTAACAAATGAGTGGATAGACGTGTTTATAATGTATTTAAAGAAAAAAGCCTCTTATGTATTGAAGGAGTGTCCTTGACCTTCAAGACCATTATAACTACAGCCCTTGTTACTGTTTCTTGCACATGGTAAGAACTCAATAAATGTTTATTGGCATCAGTGAGCATGGTGGTGATGATGAAGACTTTAGAGCACCACAATTTCCAGCCTCTCTTTAGAGCTGTTAACTTTATTTGGCTTCTTTGCTTCTTCATTTTCCACTGAATGAATGCCAGAAAGTCTTTTTCAAATTTTTTTCTGTCTGATCAAGACTTAGATAATGTCTGCTTCTTTTGGTAGCTAAACATCTCCCAAACTCAGTTTCAGGCTGCAGTGAGAAGACACTGTATTATGGTATTGCCAATGGAAACCACTTCACATTTGGGCAACATCATGATGTCTAAGTGGCTCAGATTCAAGTTTAAGGATAGATTCTGGTTCCTGCACATTTGCTGTCAAAAACCACTTTATAAGAGCCAAACTGTGGACTCTTTCCAAGTGTTAGGCACTATTAGAAGTACCATTAAAGTACAGCAGAGTTTCAAAAGATTATGAAATTCTGATTTTTTTTAATATAACATGTTTAACGATACTTCCATGAAATTTTACTCAGTTGTTTCTGTCATGGAGCTAAAGGTAGTTGAAATCTCATTTTTATATAGCATCACAGGTTTTCTAGAGAACTCCAACTTGGAACTTGATAAAAATTGTGTACTGTTTTATACAACAGTGAATATATAGAACAATTCTGGTTTTCAAATGAAACTTCAAAATAAAACTTCAAGAAGACATATAAAATTGTTTTTTATGCCGTGTATCTTAGTTATCCCCACCCCCACCCCCACGTACTAACCATACCCTATCCCTGTTTGCTTCCTTTGGTCACCCTACAGGAAACAAGACATGTAAGACATCATAGTTAAAATAAAGATTTTTATAGGACCGGAAACTGTTTAGAAATAAAGATAATTGGCCATCAGCCTATGATATGACAATTACATTAATTTAGCATAAAATTTATCTTTGAGCTTCCTTACTTTCAAGGCAAAAAAGGAGATAAGTGGCTGACAATATCTTTCTCACTTGAAAAGCAAAAACATATAAGCTCATCTGAAAAGATATTTTTCTTACAGTAAATGCCAAAGAAGTCATCACATATTATTTCCTTATAAACAATTATTTGTGAAATGATTTATTTAGTTTCTACTTTCCCCATTAGAATATAAACTTTTTGAAGGCAGTGACCACATCTTTTTTGTTAACTACCATAATCTGCAGCTCATAGAAAAAATGTTGATTGAAATGAAATGAAATGAAATGAAATCACACAGATTCTCGTCAAAGAAACATAGACTAACAATGGCCATATCTTCAACCCATTTTTTATATCAATGATCAGTAAAAGACTGTAATGTAACATTAAATCATGACTCACATGGGAGGCCACATTGATTTTTGTTATATTTATCATAACTTTACTATGACCAAAGATGGAAAAATCTAGAAAATTGACCATTTAAATGTACCTTAAACTTATCACTTAAATATTATTGTCTTAACCACATTTTTGGCAGGAGCTGAATGTTCAAGAATGCAAGGGTAAGACCTCTAATGAGAGTCTTAAGTTGACCATGTCTTGTGTTTTGACTCAGAGAGATCTCAGACAAGCTGATAGTACAGTTGGTATTATTCTGCTAGAAACATTAAGAAGTCTAACTTAAAACTGAATGCAAGGCCATCCAGCCTTCACAGAGGAAAAAATAGGTATCCTTGTACTTGTCTAATATAGATAATAGCCATTCATTTACAAAAAAAGTATCAAAAATAGGAAGCATTATTTTAAAGATAACAATGCATATTATATAGCAAATTTGGTTACTGTTGTTTTTAGCTGAAAGATTTCTATATTAGTTTACTGTGCCAAGGGTACTGTGTAGTAGAAATACAGCCTGGGGATTGAATCAAAGTTTGTAATGCAATGTCATTTTCATTATAGGCAGAATTTATCTAACAATGACTTCTCATATAACACGCTGAAATTTCATTTTAATGCCACTTACATAAAGTGCAATTTGGAATAAGGCAGGTGAGTCTTGGATTCTTCCAAGGGAAATTAGTACTGTAATCTCCTCAAGGATGACACCTATGTCTTGTTTTACTTTATATGCCCATTGCCTAACAGTGTCTGGCATATACAAGGCACTTAGGAAATGTTTGGACTAAAATTAACCAAGCTCATATAAGGTTATGGCATAACCTGTATTCTTCAGGACAGCATTGTACTTAGACCACAAGGTACTGATTTTTTTCTAACATTTCTATATTGGGATGTAATTATCATAACCATTTTTCTAATATATTTGCTGTTGATTGCTGACAAAGTATAAGACATGTCATGAAAGATCAAATATGATAGGTCTAGAAGAAAGACAGGAAGGTCTAATGGAACTTACTATCCAGCTTGCTTACTAGCATTAGGCCAGTAGCCTAATCCATCTATCTTACCAACAGTAACTGCATCCCAGTTTTCCCACTTCATGTGCAGTTTTTCTGAGAGTAATTGCGGATGCCTAACAAAATCAAAAGGAAGCAGTTTGCTACTGCAAACTAGTTGGGAGTTTGCTACTATTATCTGTGGCCTGAGAGAGGCCATCGTCTTTATGGTATTGATATTCCATCCATCTTATCTCAGATCTACAGATACTGGAGAGTGTTAACTTACTCCCATTTACAATTTTCAGTCTTCTCTCTGACATATGGAAGTCGCACTTTTTACAGAGGCTCATCTTCCATATCCGCAGTTCACACTTACTGAGGCATGACGCATGCTAGGCAACTAACCCCTGGTGGGGAGTGAGGACAGCATGGAAAAATGAAAAAGACATGGGTGGTTCCTGACCTTAACAAGCTCTAGCTAACAAATAAATAGCCCTGGTATCCCCTAATTGAAACACAGGGGTCCTCCAAAACTAAGTTTAAAAAAAAAACAACTTATAAATGATTGTGCAAGGGCCTAAGCTACATCCTGAACAAATTTTAAAACTCTGCCATATAGTGCTGTGGGTAGTGTTGGTCTGTCTTTGTTTGGGGAAACAAAAGAAAGATGTGTGGAGTGTTGCTTTTTTGTTTCTTTTAAAAATCTATTTAAATGTGAAGATATGGTAAAAATCAAAATAATGAACAGTGTCTTATTTCTTCCTTTTACCATACTTTTCCAAAGTAAGTGTGAATAGTACATGAATCCTTAAAATTATTTCCATGGAATAGAGATAGAGCTTTTTCGTGAGAATACTATTAATACAGAAGCCAGAAAGTGGCATTGAATTCAGTTTTTAACCAAATACACAGTTAAAATTATGTTTCCTCTATTTCCAAAAGCTTTTAACAATCATGTTTTTTATGATCGTTTCACTCAAATGATTGGGTTACTGAGAATAACAGGCTTATAGCAGGTTAGAAGCAAAATGTGCATTATCTTGTCATTTTTTAATGTTTGGAACTTAGCACCTACATTTTTTTAAAAGCATTTAAATAATTTTGAAATTTTAAAATTTTTCATAACAGTGTATTCTTTTCTCTGGAAAATATAACATTTGAAGTTAACTACTTATCTCAGAAAATGTCTGTAATTCATTTTTAATTCAGTTTAACATTTATGGAGCTCCCACTACATCAAGACTTTACCAGTCAGTCAGTCAACAAATGTTTATTGCATGCCTCTCTGTGTGAGGCACTCTTCTAGGCACTGGGAGGAGACACAGTGCAGACATAGCAAAGTTCCTGCCCTGAAGGAGTTTACATTTTAGTCAGAGGAGAGGGACAATAAACATGAGCCAAGATACAAGCTAGTGAATAAACACCCAAACAAATAAATGATTTCGTATATTAGTAAGTGTTACAACAAACATTTAACAGGATAATGGGATGAAGAGTGACTGAGACAGGAATTGAGGAAGTAGGAAAGGTGGCTCTCCTTTAGCTAAGGGTGTTGTCATATGTGGCCCTTCCATTTTTTTCATACTTTGAGGGTGTCTAGTCCCTAGTCCTGTGGCTGCTACTGCACTTCATTTAACTACTTAAAAACAATATACAGTCTTTGTACTGCAGAGTAATATAACATCACTGACTTAGGTTGTTTTCTCCAGGAAAATTGACAAAAAACACACTAATCCAACCAAATGTCTTGCTCTTTCCCTTGCGTATTACTAACTGGTCTTTAAAGGTGAAACTTCTCTAAGCCATGGAAGGGGAATGAGATGCTGGGCACCAGAGGAAAAAAATAACAAGCCCTCACTATAGGCCCTAAAGAGAGGAAATTTGAAGGTGACACAAGGATTAAGGACTCAGATACTTAGTGACAGAGTTATTGACCATAGTGAGAAAGTGAGGAAAATGGATACTAAGGACAGTATAAAGTTTTCCATTACTGGCATATTGTAACTGTGAAGGTGTCCTATACATTGGTTCAAGCCAGCTTCTAGTTTATATATTTACATGGTCATTTATATGCAAATGATAATATTAACTAAAGAAACAAGCTCTTAGAGATAATCTAGAGAATGAAGAACACAAAAATCCCATATATCTGAAATTGACAATTAATATTTCCATTTAGATGGTGCTTCAGAATGTATAAAATCCTTTCACAAATATTATCTCATAGAGTCCTCAAGAACAGTGGTGTGAAATGGTACTATTATTATCTCAATTTTATACGTGAAGAAACAGAGGCTCTGCAAGGTGATTTGTGCAGAATCAAAAAGCTAGAAAGTGTTAGGACTAGATGTCTCACCCAGAGATTATGTTTACAAGTCCAGGGTGCTTTCCACTACACTGCAGCTACAAAAGATATTTTCAAAGGGAACCAGGAACCAGACACAAAAAAGTAGTAGTCAGAGTGGTGATAGGATTGTGAATCTGAAGCTATGACTAACATGTCAGTGAGAAAGTAATCGGCAGTATCTTTTGGCAACAGAAGGCTGCAGGCATAAGACGGGAAAAATGGTTCTCAGAATGCAGTCAGAAAACTAATCAATGATTTTTTAAAATAAAGTTTCTACACAGCAAAGTAATGATAAGTTTTGCAGGTAACAAGGAGGGATTTGATAAGGAGGAATGGAGGGGTCTTATGCCAAGGGTGTCTTCAAATAATTTTATGAAAAACAGACATTAGCAATTAACTAGGTAGTCAAGATAAATAAGAAGTTTGGAAAAACATAGTATGCTAAAAGGAATGGGGGAATATCATTAAAAATATCATGATATCTAAGAGGAAAATGACATTTTTTATGTGATGTTCCCACAACTAGGCATTCTGAAGTAGAAAGAACATTTCTGTGATCTGTTGAGAAAGAAAGCATGGACACAAATAAGGGAAGACATGTCAGGCTGAGGAAAGAAAGATTATAGAAAAATATGCTCCTATAGCATTCTCCCTTACAGTATGGCATAGTGTTAATGACTGTAAAATAAAGATAAGAAGGACCACAGGCTTCACCTTAGAGGGAGTTCTTCAAATTTCAACTATTACACAGAGCCCTTGCTTATGGTCACCATAAACTCTTTTCTGGTGGCCACTGGAAAACTAGATGCCATTAAGCCTTTCAAGAAGTTAATTACCATAAAAAGTGAGTCAGACTCACCGGTTTTCATTTTTTTCTGTTTTCTGATTTTCTGAATAGCACTAGATTATAAGCTCTTCAAGGACAGACTATGTCTCATTCATTTTTGTATCTTCACACCTAGCACAGTGTCCAGCATACAAGAGTAATTCAATAAATGTTTATTGAACGGAACTAAATTATTTTAAAATGCAAAATCAGGAGCCCCTATCTGAGTCAGTCATTCATTCAAGTGACTCAACATACTCACCCTAGAGCCAAAAACATGGATGTGAGTCCAGTCACTGGCACTTGCCAATTCTATGGCCTTTGGCAGTTCATTTAATCTCTTTGGTCAGTTTCTGTGTCTATAATTTAGAGGTGATATTTTCTGCATCACCAGTCTCACTGGTTTTTTATAAGGATAGACTCTAATAATATATATGAAGATAACCAGAAACTATCAAGTGCTATACAAATAACTATATTTTTCTGTGAAACCAGTAGTGCCAAGATGCTCCAGTAATAGACAGACTCCTTGGTCAAATGCTGGGTTCAATAAAGATAAGCAGGCTTCTTATGAGCAGGCCTTCTCAGAATCTTTCACTTGGAAATCAATATTGCAAAAGAAGAATTAATGTCTTTTTTTTTTTTTTTTTTTTTTTTTTTTTTTTTTTTTTTTTTTTTGAGACGGAGTCTCGCTTTTTCGCCCAGACTGGACTGCAGTGGCGCTATCTTGGCTCACTGCAAGCTCCGCCTCCCGGGTTCATGCCATTCTCCTGCCTCAACCTCCCAAGTACCTGGGACTACAGGCGCCCGCTACCACGCCCAGCTAATTTTTTTTTTGTATTTTTAGTAGAGATGGGGTTTCACCGTATTAGCCAGGATGGTCTCGACCTCCTGACCTCGTGATCCACCCACCTCGGCCTCCCAAAGTGCTGGGATTACAGGAAGAAGAATTAATGTCTTTTTATATGTGACCAGAAGAAAACATCTAGTTCATATAAGTTGTACCAAAATATTCAAATAACAATCCTCACTCTCATTTTTCAAACAGGATCATGTCAGGCACTATACTTGCACTTTACATACATCAATTTTAACTCTCATTACAAATCCTATAATGTAAGTATTATTTTTATTGGCCCCATTTTTACATATTAAAAAAAAGAGAGATTAAATAACTTGCACAGGGTTAAAGCCGATAGAAAACATCTTACATTTAAGGAAACTAGCACTGAGAAATGGGACATAAGCAACATATGCTCTTTCTCATTTTTGTTCTCTCCTTTTTTTCCACCTGCTACAACTCTAGTTCATGTCTACATTACCTCTAGACCAAAATTTTCCAAAGTGTGTTTTTAAAGTAAAAGTCCTCAAAACTGTCCCAGGAGAAACTCATTGGTCAAATATGTTTGGGAGATGGTACACATTAAATTCCTTCTGTGTGTCATAGTGTACATCAGCACATCGAAGCCTTTAAATCAGAACTTTAAATCAGCAGCTGTTGATATCCTACAAAGCCAGAGTTCCATGGAATAAACTTTAGGAAATGGTGACTATTGAATAAGTCAACCAGTTATATACCATCTGACTACCAACAAATCTAGAGTACCATCTTCACCATGAACTATATGTAAAATTGTTGGAAATATACAGTAATGGTAATTTTGCTAAATGTAGTCAACCAATTTCCTAAAGATTCTCTAATATAATTTTTCACAACTCTGATGGCAACTGATAAAATAGAAGATGACAGAAATCCAGATCACTTTTTAATCTGAGAAATAGTACACTAATAGAGGATTGAGTTTATTTTACTTAGTCAAAATTATTATTCTGATTATTAAAAATGAGTTTAAATCAGTGATTTTCAACCAATGTAAGCATTTCAACTTCAAAGGGAGGCCAATGATGGAAAGAACTACTTCTTCCAATTTTCCTTTGAAAAACCAGGAGAAAATTGAAGACTAATTTATTTATTACTCCCATGTGTAATACCTGAGAGTTGTAGTTTAGTTGCTCCATGTCCTTACCAACATTGGGATTATAGTATTTCAATTTAGTTTTAATTGAAGTGACTAGTCCATTTAAATTTCCTGTCATTATTGATATGTTTGGATTTGTGTCTACCAATATGCTATTTATTTTCTCTTTGTCCCATCACTTCCTCTGTTCTCTTTCTCCTTTTCTGCCTTCTTTTGGGTTAAATTTTTTGATATTTTATTTTCGTTGTTCTGAGGTCATTTTAGCTATACCTTTTGTAATGTTTTTAACAGTTGATCTAGGGATTTAGGATTGGTCTCTGCATCCTCATCTTCTCATAGTCTTAGAGTTAATATTGTATAATTTCATGGAAAATTTAAGGAGCTTACATAGTATAATTCCACCAGTATAATAACCTCCTGTTTTTTATATTATTGTTGTCATATCTCTTACATCCATATGCATTAAAATCAAATAATATATTGTTATAACTTTTGTGTTTAAGATTCAGTTATTTTTTAAATAAAATAACAGGAGAAAAACATACTCTTTATTTTTATACTCATGTTTATCATTTCTAGTGCTGCGCATTCACTCTTGTAGATTAGAGTTTTATCTTGTGTCATTTCCTTTCAGCCTAAAGAACTTATTCTGTCATGTCTTGTAATGTGGATCTGTCTGCAATATATTCTCTCAGGTTTTGTTTATCTAAAAATTTCTTTATTTTACCTTAATTTTAGTTAAAAGGCATTTTCTCTGGTTGAAAATCATATTCTTGGCCAGGCACAGTGGCTTACACCTATAATCCCAGCACTTTGGGAGGCAGTGGCTGAAGGATAACTTGAGCCCAGGAGTTTGAGACCAGCCTAGGCAAAATAGTGCAACCCCTGTCTCTACAAAAAATAAAAAATTAGCCAAGCATAGTGGTACACACCTGTAGTCCCATCTACTCAGGAGGCTGAGATGGGAGGGTTGCTTGAGCCCAGGAGTCCAAGGCTGTGTTGAGCCCTGGTTGCACCACTGCACTCCAGGCTGGGTGACAGAGTGAGACCCTGTCTCAAAAAAAAAAAAAAGAGTGTTCTTTCAGTATTTGAAAGTTGTCATTTCATTGTTTTCTGGCCTCTGTTGTTTCTGATGAGAAATCAGCTGTCATCTCTATTATTGTTAAGCTGTATATAGTGTGTATTTTTTTCCATGTGTTTTTTTGGTTTTGTTTTTTCTAAGACATGATCTTGCTCTGAAACCAAGGCTAGAGTGCAGTGGGACAGCCATAGCTCACCGCAGCCTTGATCTCCTGGGTTCAAGCAATCCTCCTGCCTCAGCCTCCCAAGAAGCTGGGTTTATAGGCATGCACGACCATGCCTGGATAATTTTTTTTTTTTTTTTTAGTAGAGAAAGGTCTCGCTATGTTACCCAAGCTGGACTTGAACTCCTGAGCTCAAGGAATCCTCTCACTTGGCCTCCCAAAGTGCTGGATTACAAGCATTAGCCACCATGCCCAGCCTAGTTGTGGATTTTCTTTGCATTTATCCCGTTTATTTGCTGGCCTTCTTTGATTCTTAAGTTAATGTTTTTCACCAAATTTGGGATTCAGGAGTATAATTTCTTCAAATATTTTTTTCTCCCCTATTCTCTGTTTTCTCTACTCTGGGACTCCAATTACATATAAATTAGTTGATTTTATACTGCCTCACAGGTCACTTATGCTTTGTTTATCTTTTCTGCCAATCTGTTTTTCCCCTCTTCTTTAGTTTATATGATTCCCATTGATCATTTTTCAAGTTCGTTGAGGTTTTCTTCAGTCTTTTCCAGTCTGTTATTAAGTCCATCCAGTGAATTTTTCTTTCAAATATCAAACTTTATAGTTCAGCAATCACCATTTGGTGTTCTAAGGTTTCAATTTGTCTGTTAAAGTATTCTATTTTTAGCACATTATAGCCACTTCCTCAAGTCGTTGAACATGTATAGAATAGTTTATTTAAAGTCTTTGTTTGCTAATTCCAACATTTGGGTCATCTTCAAGTCTGTTTCTGTAGTTTTCTTTTTTTTTTTTTCCTTCTTGATATGTTCCAAGTTGTTATTTCTGAACAGTAGGATTATTGGTGATTTCAATTTTTTATGTTTTCTACTTTTTTCTATAACAAACATAGGTAGAACAGTAAAGTCCTTTCTTTTTTCTTTGCATACTCAGTAAGTTCTTATTATATGTTGGACATTGTGAATGATGAGTTGTTGAGTCTCTGGATCCTGTCATATTCTTCTGAAGAGTGTTGGTTTTTGTTCTAGTGGGCATCTAGTGGCTGATTACCTTGCCTATGTTCAGGCTTGGTTTTACAACTTGCTGTGATGAGTTTTGCCCTTAACTTTAGGGTAAACACTGGGACCTGTGACATTATCTTTATTCCTAAGGAATGGCCTTTATGGGTTTCAGGGAAAAGCCTGAGGTATTCATCAAGCCTCTTTAATTTGGCAAGATACCAAGTCTAAACCATCTGTCCTGCAGTGGGCAGCAGCCTAAATCTCTGCTTATGTTCTTCAGACATCTAGCTGTAAGCCTTTTGTCAGCTCCTTTGAGTCTTCCCATGCAAACACGTTCAAAATTCAACCAAAAAAATTAAAAAGAATTTATACACAGATTTGGAGTTATTCCCATTCATAGTTGGTGCCTTTTTGTTAGGAATTTACCTTCCTGGTTTCCAGCTGTTCTGGCATCCCCAGACTCCATCCTTTGACACCTTAAGCCAATAAAATTGCAGCCTTCTGCTTGGGTTCTGGCTAGCCTGCACATGCAGGAAGGCAAGTTCTCTCAGCTGAAGGGCCACTCAGTGCAGAGCTCTTCTTTGAAGGGTTTAATCTCTTCCAGTCTCTGCCTGCTTTTGGTTGCTTCTCCAATCCTATCAAATAGATGTCTTTTATATTTTGTCCAGAGTTTATCATTGTGACCAATGTGAGGGTTAACCAATTGCCAGGATAAGAACCCTCAGTATAGTGTCATTTTAAAAATGCATTTGTTGTGAAATATGGTTAGCTTTTCCATTAATAAAATAATGCATTTTTAAACAAAAATAATAATAAAATGAATGTTTATGTGTCAGAAAAAAATCTGAAAAGATATGTTCCAAGTTGTTATTTCTGAACAGTAGGATTATTGGTGATTTCAATGTTTTTTAACTTATATATTTTCTACTTTTTTCTGTAACAAACATAGGTAGAACAGTAAAGTCCTTTCTTTGTTCTCCTGGGTAAATAATTTGTTTATAATGACTCTTTATAATAAGATATGCTTGTGATTCTCTGCTGTATTTTATATTTCAATTTCCATAGGTTAACAATCTGAAATTCTAGTAGTCTACTAGTATGGTAAACAGTATTTTTTCTGGCTTTAGGAATAAAGAAATCGGGACAAATTAAAGTTAAATAGCTTGTCTAGAACTTCAAGCATATTGATAGGGTAGCCAGAAATAGATCTTAAATTTTAAGTCCCTCAGTTCAGCTGTGTACACTATTTCTAAGCCCTCAGCATCCATGCATGCAGTTAATTCTACATTTTCTAATGGCTGTAGAAGAAAATTATCATAGTTAAATATAAGCCTCAAATATTTTGGAAACTTCACTTCAGTCACTGATTTCAATCTCCTCTCCATCAACTCTTTTACTAGAACTCCTAACAAGTGGAAAATTTAACTGATTTTAATTTTACTACAGTTAACCCTCCAAGAGCTAATAGCAAAATGGAAGGAAGGCATGCATTGAGTTAGCAGGGAATTTCCTTCTTTCCTGGGTTGTAAGTTTCTTTATAAAATAAAGGATGGGTGTTCAATGTAATCATTCAGTGGTAGATATGTAAACTTAGCCAAGCATATTTTAATCATATTCTTATGTTTTTACTAACATAATGTACTTAAAATGTCATAAAACTTAGGGATAGAATTAGTGTTGTCACTCTGAAGTTTCAGATTGAAATAAAATAAATCTTATAAAAGATGCCAAATAAAACTATCTTTTAAAAGCCTATAAAATTAAATTAAAATAAGAAATAATTATTAAATCTTTTTTTTTTTTTTTTTGAGACAGGTTCTCACTCTGTCACCTAGGCTGGGGTGTGGTCACTTGATCACAGCTCACTGCAGCCACAGGCTTCTCCTGGATTCAAGCAGTCCTCCCACCTCAGCCTCCTAAGTAGCTGGGGCTACAGGTGTGCACCACCACACCTGGTTAATTTTTGTATATTTTGTAGAGATGTGTTTTCCCCATGTTGCCCAGGCTGGTCTCCAAGTCCTGAGCTCACATGATCCGCCCACCTCAGCCACCCAAAGTGCTGGGATTACAGATGTAAGCCACCATCCCTGGCATCTATTAAATCTTAATCATTTTCAAAATGCGATCCTGCACTTGGCGCAGTGGTTCATCCCTGTGATCCCAGCACTTTGGGAGACCAAGGCAGGTGGATCACTTGAGGACAGGAGTTTGAGACCAGCCTGGCCAACATGGCAAAACCCCATCTCTACTAAAAATACAAAAATTAGCCAGGCATGGTGGCAGGTGCCTGTAGTCCCAGCTACTAGGGAAGCTAAGGCAGGAAAATCGCTTGAACCCAGGAGGTGGAGGTTGCAGTGGGCTGAGATCGTGCTCTGGGTGACAGAGCGAGACTTCATCTCAAAAACAAACAAACAAACAAAAAACTGTGGGCTGGGTGTGGTGGCTCATGCCTATAACCCCAGCACTTCGGGAGGCCGAGGCCAGCGGATCCCAAGGTCAGGAGTTTGAGACCAGCCTGGTCAACATGGTAAAACCCCATCTCTACTAAAAAATACAAAAATTAGACAGGTGTGGTGGCGAGTGCCTGTAATCTCAGCTACTCTGGAGGCTAAGGCAGGAGAACTGCTTGAACCCGGGAGGCAGAGGTTGCAATGAGCTGAGATTGCACCATTGCACTCTAGCTCTGGGTGAAAGAGTAAGACTCCGTCTCGGGGGGGAAGAAAAAATGTGATCCTGGACTGGATCCTGTACTAGAGACTAAAAAGGGCTATAAGGAGAACTAGCAAGATGAACATGTTAATACAAATGGTAGAGTAAAAAATACCTTATCAATGGAAAATCTTCTGAATTTGATAACTATACTGTAGTTACATGAGAGAATTTTCTTGCTGTTGGGAAGTACATACTACTGAAGGGCATGATATTTGCAACTTACTATCAAGTAGTTCAGAATAATAGTATGTGTGTATATACCTGTGTCACAAAGTGAAAAAGTGAGTGATAAATGTGACAAATGTTTTTTAAATTTGTTGAAATTGTTGAATCTTGGTAAAGGATGTTCAAGTGGTAACTATTATTCTTGCAACTTCTTTGTAAGTTTGAAATTATTTTAAAAATAAAATTTATTTTTAAACTTAATAATACTTCTGGGTTTGTTTTCTTAGAATATTATATATTTAAATTTGTTTTTTCCATATCTCAGTCTGAAACATTCGAATCACATCACTATACATGATGTATCACTAAATTTTATGATTTTTTTTTTAAAGAGAATCTTTGGAACTTGAGAGTCTAACCAGAAGAAAATCTTTATGTTTGAATGTATTTGCAAAAATTAGATAATTAAATCATTGTGCTAAACCTAGGTAAGGAGAAATATGGAAAAAAATATTGGCTGAAAAGAGCAATTTTATTAAGAATGACATAGTTACAAATTAATTTTAATTCCAACATTGTTTTAAATGAAAATTGCTTATAAAAATATCCACTTATATTGTGTGTGTTTGCTACCATATGTAAGTGTAATTAAGCATCTGTCTACATTTCTAGGGGTTTTAAATTTGTAGAATCTTGCTCTGGGGCCTAAAACTTCAATAGTTAAAAGGTTTCACCGAAGACCTCAGAAAAAAAAACAGAATTTTTTTTTATTTTTGGCATGAGAGATTATTAAATAATACAAGAGCGACTATGGCTATATAAATTAAGAAATATGAAGATTCTTATTTTTCACCCTTGTGAAAATCTAAAATCGTTTTCATTTGAAATTTTTAATTTGCCTTGTAAGATTATTTCAGTCTCTTTTAGAGATAATCTTTTAGACTAAAGAACTACTGATACTACAAAATGATATATCTTATTTGTCTTACTAAATAATTTCATAAGATTCAATTATAGAATACTCTTTTTACATGTGTAATTATGTATTATTATGACAGTCCATGCAGCTGCTCTGAACTGTGTGGTGTAGGAAAAAAAACTATAGTCCATAGTTAGGAATACTAAAACTGACTTTTAATGAAATCCTTTTTTCTAGAACTGCTTTCTTTACTTATATATTCAAATTGCTAGAGACTCACCTTTGTGAATTAGTTACATATTTCTTCTGATCATGAATCTTGAACTGTTACATTTGGGTCAAATGCAATTCTGAAATAAAGTGTGAATTATTTTTTATTGTGGAGTATACATAGTGTTTTGTCTTGCATGTATAAAATACAAGTTTAAAATTCAAGTGAAAGTTGTTCCTAAAAATTTTTAAACATTCTCTAACAATCATTTTAGATACTACACTTTAGTGTCTTGGGGTTGCATCATCCTGTACATATTTTTTTCATATTAGATTTTTAACATTTTCTCTATTTCTTTTTTTTTTTTTTTCTTTGAGACGGAGTCTCACTCTGTTGCCAGTCTGCAGTGCAGTGGCGCAATCTTGGCTCACTGCAACCTCCACCTCCTGGGTTCAAGCGATTCTCCTGCCTCAGCTTCCTGAGTAGCTGGGACTACAGGTGCACGCCACCATGTCCAGCTAATATTTTTGTGTTTTTAGTAGAGACAGGGTTTCACCATATTGGCCAGGATGGTCTTTATCCCTTGACCTCTTTATCTGCCTGCCTTGGCCTCCCAAAGTGCTGGGATTACAGGCATGAGCCACCGTGCCTGGCCTATTTCATCTTCAAAGATGAAAAATAAGATTTTTAGAGTTTAGCATATTTCAACTGAGACCCATATGCTGCCCTTCATCCTGTAATTGTTTTTTCATGTCAGGAAAGATATGAGTTAATATAAAAGTGTAAATGTTGCCTTCTGTGTTAGTCTACAAGAAGCTATGTTGGAGAAAATGATTCTCTTTAAAAATACTGAGCTGGAATAATTACACAGAAACCTCATGTTTAGGAAATGACCTATTGATTGGCTATCTAAAGTTAGAAGCATTGAGCTTGAGGCTCTTTTCTCCAATAGGTTTGTGTTCGTAGCTTATCTAAGATTGCTATCTTTAGTCAGCCCAGAGCAAATACTCATCATATCACACTCAAGCCATATTCAAGGTGCTGTTTTAGCAAAAAAGATAATGATATGAATATAAAGAATGAAAGAATGCAGATTTCTTAACTTTATCTGTTGCATTAACTGCTTCATATCATATCACCGTGGCACAGGTCATTGTATTTGTTGACATGGCTAGTATGCTAACTTCTGTGTTCTGTGCCCATCTTTAAAAAAAATACAACCAGGAATACTGGATCATACAACAGGTTTTCTCTGTCTCTAAAAAATGAAATTAAAGAATAAAGAGAGGAAAGGAAACCCCTGCAGAAATTTAATGGAAACATACATTTAATACTTTATATTCTGTTTTTTCTGGTATACTGGTGACCTCTCAGTAAAGAAATGTTTTCTATTTGAGTCTGTTCTTTTGTTGGACCATCCATATGTTCAAATCTTATTCCCCATTGATCAACAGTGGATAATTGTGAACTTTCTGGGACCCTTTAAGGGTTCAGTCTGCAGTTGGGGTGTGTGTGTGTGTAAAATATTAATATATGACATATATTTATCCGTATTAAAACTTTTGATTGCACCAAAATGGCTTCTAAAATTCCACACTGGTATACCAATGTGGTATATTATTTTCCCATTTTCTGTGCTAACACGAGCAGTAAATGCAATAGATCTCATTACTTTCAGAAAGAAGTAAGCAATCACACTGTCTTACACTGAAACCACCAACTGGCTTATATTCTAGTAGCCCTATGCTGTAGATAAGAGCCTGGGATCTGGACTCAGCTACTTCAACGAGTATTTATTGGGAGCCTCTTATGTGTGGCACTGTCACAGGAAATAGGAATAAAGGGTCCACAAAACAAACTTCCTGCCTTCATGGCACTTATATTCTTACTTACTAAGCACTATGGCCTTCGCTGTATGATCTCTACAGATCTCAGTTTCTTCATCAGCAAAATGAGGATAATACTACCTGTTTTGAAAGATTATTTTCAGGGTACATGAATTAGTGTATGAAGGGGCACAGTGCCATACCAGGAATATAGTAAATACTTAATTTTAACTTTCCCTTTTGTTTATTAATGATGATAATACTTATTAGAAATACATATTAAAACTTAAAATCGATTTGCTTAAAATTGAATTTTAAAAAGTCTTAGGCTAGGTGTGGTGGCTCTCGCCTGTAATCCCAGCACTTTGGGAGGCCGAGGCGGGTGGATCACCTGAGATCAGGAGTTTGAGACCAGCCTGACCAATGTGGAGAAACCCTGTCTCTACTAAAAATACAAAATTAGCCAGGCATGATGGTACATGCCTGTAATCCCAGCTACTCGGGATGCTGAGGCAGGAGAGTCACTTGAACCCAGGAGGCGGAGGTTGCAGTGAGCTGAGATCATGCCATTGCACTCCAGCCTGGGCAACAATAGCAAAAAATCCATCTCAAAAATAAATAAATAAATAAAAAGTCTTCATATTCTATGGGCTATTCACATATAATATTATATGGCTAGAGTAATACCAAGGCTGATAGTTTTACATACATGCCATCAAATTTGGGACTTCTGTAATCTATTGATTCATATGTAGGTGTGAACCCAAAACTGCTTTTTTGAGAAAATCTTGGCCCTTCCTTCCCCCAGGGACTCCCTACCCTCTTTTGGTAGGCTGAGGGGCCATCTATTTGGGCACATATCCTGGTTAGGCTTCACAATTTCAAGAGTGGATATTAAAGCATATTGATGTATCCGGAAATAGCAGAAATAATCTGTCATCCAGGTTCTTGCCAGAAAATATAACTTCAAACTTTCTGTTACACAATACTTTTTGGACAAAAATTAAAATAATATTGATATGATTGTCTAATGGATATTGTCTGTGCATTCCTTTAGATAATGCTTGATTTTACCCCTTGAGCAAGCCAGGCTAGCACAGACTATCAAGTCACCTAAAACACATTATCTTAATGTTCCTCTGAGTTACTTCTCCTGATATGCTTTTTAGTGTTGTGTCAAAAGTCTCCACTGAGAACACAACCATAAAAAAACAACTATTCTCTATAGGTGGTTAACTTTTATCACCTAGATGTGATAAATCATAATCAATTGTGTATCCCTCCTTGTAATTGTCAATAGGGGCTGGACACAGTGGCTCATGCCTGTAATTCCAGTACTTTGAGAGGCCAAGGCAGGAGGATTGCTGGAGGCCAGGAATTCAAGACCAGCTGGGCAACATAGCAAGACCTTGTCTCTACAAAAAAAAATTTTTTTTAATTAGCTGGGGGCCGGTCACAGTGGCTCATGTCTATAATCCCAGCACTTTGGGATCCCAAGGCGGGCAGATTACTTGAGGCCAGGAGTTCAAGATCAGCCTGGCCAAAAATGGCAAAAACCTGTCTCTACAAAAAATACAAAAAATTAGCCAGGCGTGATGGTGCACACCTGTAATCCCAGCTACTTGGGAGGCTGAGGTAAGAGAATCACTTAAACCTGGGAGACAGAGGTTGCAGTAAGCTGAGATCATGCACTGCACTCCAGCCTGAGTGACAGAGCAAGACTCTGCCTCCAAAAAAAATAAAAAATTAGCCAGGTATGGTGGTGGGCTCCTGTAGTCCCAGCTACTTGGGGAGCTGAGGCAGGAGGAACACTTGAACTTGGGCGCAGGAGTTTGAGGTTATGGGTAAGCCATGATAGTGTCACTGCACTCCAGCCTGGATGACAGAATGAGACTCTGGCCACCCTACTCCAAAAAAAAAAAAAAGCCTAGGCAACATAGGGAGACTCTGTCTCTACAAAAATATTTTTTTAATTAGCCAGGCATGGTGGTGCATGCCAGTGGTCCCAGCTGCTCCAGAGGCTGAGATGCAAGGATCACTTGGGCCTGGGTGATGGAGGCTGCAGTGAGCCATGATCTCCACTGCAATCCAGCCCAAGTGACAGAGCAAGACCCTGTCTAAAAATAAATAAATAAATAAACAATCATCAATAGGAAACTCAGAACCAAATGTTTAGCCATAAACTGGCAAATGAACAAGTCCTTACCACATCTCCACCTTTCTCTACTTCATTTACTCTTCATCCCTTTTTTTCCTACTATAATGTATATATGTGATCCCACATGCTTTTTTCAATAGAGGGTATGAATAAATAACTATTAAGCAAAGGTAGCTTTACTGCTGTATTTTTAATATGATATTTTTAAAATGTTTACTATTAAGTCACTATAGAAGTTTATCATTTGTTAGCCCCCATTGTTAGAATTTTTAAGTATTTTTTCTAGTAAATGAGTCATAGCATTCTTTATTATTGTGGTTTCCAAAGTAACTTTTTCTTGATACTATAGGTTTTCCTTCATTTACAACTTCTCTTGGGAAACATTTCCACAATCCTGTGTTTCTACTGATGGATATAAATTGTTGGCTCAAAAGTATTGAAATCTGACCAACTCAAGACATCTTTCAGTAGCCAACATCTTCCTTTTTTCATGTGCAGATTTATTCCTCCATATTAATCTTATAAGTGGATTCACAGGTGTTTCCCATCAATATGATTTTTTAACTTTTCTCTGTGAAATAGAAATAAAATAATAGATGGCATCTACCTATAGTGATGCTCAAGGGATATATTTGAGATTCTTTGGGAAATAATTCCCATCCTTTTCTACTTTAACAAGATCTAAATATAATAATTATCACTTGATTTGAAAACACTTGAAAAAAAAAGAACTTTCATGGCCTCATAATTTTTTTTTTTTTTTGAGTCAGAATCTCCCTCTGTCACCCAGGCTGGAGTGCAGTGGTGCGATCTAGGCTCACTGCAACCTCCACCTCCCGGGTTCAAGTGACTTTCCTGCCTCAGCCTCCCGAGTAGCTGGAATTACAGGCACACACCACCATGCCTGGCTAATTTTTGTATTTTTAGTAGAGATGGGGTTTCACCATGTTGATCAGGCTGGTCTCAAACTCCTGACTTTGTGATCCACCCGCCTCAGCCTGCAAAAGTGCTGGGATTACAGGCGTGAACCACCACACCTGGCATGGGCTTATAATTAAATTTAAAATGTTGCTTAGAGCCAGTATACAAAGCAAAGAAGTAGGAAATAATGTTTTCAACAAATTGTGTAACACATGTAAAATATACTTTACATCCATTATAATATCTCAAACCCCAAGACTGTAAATATTTACAGACCCAGAAGTAAATTTAATTCCAGAAGAGGAAAACTTAATTTCTTGAGCACTAATGATTTTAGCCCATGGGTCATCAGGACAGTGGCCAAATATATATATGTGTGTATATATATGTATATGTATATATATATACACACACATATGTATATAAGTATATATACATATGTATACACACACACACACACACACACATACACACACACACACACACCCCTATAGGAAAAGCACAGTTAGAGTTTTGAAATGTCTATTTAGGATTGAGTTCAGTATCCATGTATCCATAAGGTAAGGATTAAGATTGTAAACTTTTTTTTTTTTGAGACGGAGTCTTGCTCTGTCGCCCAGGCTGGAGTGCAGTGGCATGATCTCGGCTCACTGCGACCTCTGCCTCACGGGTTCAAGCAATTCTCCTGCCTCAGCCTCCCGAGTAGCTGGGATTACAGGCACCCACCACTATGCCCAGCTACTTTTTGTATTTTTAGTAGAGATCAGGTTTCACCACGTTGGCCAGGCTGGTCTCAAATTACTGACCTCAAGTGATCCCCCTGCCTCAGTCTCCCAAAGTGCTGCTGGGATTACAGGCATGAGCCACCACACCTGGCCAATTGCAAACAATTTTCATAACCCCTCCTGGCAATTGTTTAGCCATACCTGGTTCTGTTCAATTTTTTTCATAAATTTTTTTTTTTTTTTTTTTTTTTTGGAGACAGAGTCTCTCACTGTCACCCGGGCTGGAGTCTGGAGTGCAGTGACACGATCTCGGCTCACTGCAACCTCCGTCTCTGCCTCCGCCTCCCGGATTCAAGCCATTCTCTTGGCTCAGCCTCCCTAGTAGCTGGGATTACAGGCGCCCGCCACCATGCCCAGCTAATTTTTGTATTTTTAGTAGAGACGAGGTTTCACCATGTTGGCCAGGCCGGTCTCGAACTCCTGACCTCGTGATTCTCCTGCCTCGGCCTCCCAAAGTGCTGGGATTACAGGTGTGAGCCACCACACCCAGCCCATAAATCAGTTCTTAGTGGGACTTTATATCAGTTTAACTGTACATAAATTCTCTCTATCCTGATACTTTGTTATATTATCCCAGGATTAAGTAGTCAATCCCATCTTACATGTTCTCATATTATTTTCTAAACTAGTCAACAGTAGTAATTTACTACTTCTATAACATATTCATGAATATATTATTTACTTTTAAATCAATGCATTTTTCTATTAATGGAAGATGTATTAGTGATGTAAAGTAAATAAGTTCGGGATCCTTTAAGAATTCTTGCCATGTAGAAGGCAGTTGCATTGTGGGATTTAAAAAAAAAAAAAAGACATTCAGAGAAGAAATGCTTTTGGGGAAAGAACTGGGAGTAAAATAGTGTAGTACCAGACAGAGTGAGAACAACTATAGACTTGGAGGCTAAATGTAACAAAAAATTGTCTATTTCTACATGATCTTAACTAGGATGAGAAGAAATCATAGTGTTAGGAGCGTAACTGATTCTCCAGAAGCTAACAGAATCTGTCATAAAGTGACAGGAACTTTCATGACCAGTAGTCAGCAACCGAAGGACATTACCTGACACAGCTAGGTCTTTTTGAAGTGCATCAATAAGAAATCAATCAAAAAAGAAAATATAGTACCTTGATGCCAGTTTTACGTTGTTCATAATAATTGACTTTATGTGATATTTTATTCATCTCTTTAGTTAATGGTATAAATACATTGGAGACATTTTGTTTATAGTTTAAAGTTTTCTTAAATTTATAATTGGAAGAAATAAAGATGTAAGAATTACAAAGAAAAAAAGTGAAATTATTCATACATGATATGATTGTTTAGGAAATTCAAAATCTACAGATAATTTTTTAGGATGAAAAGGATAATTTAGCAAGGTTGCTGGATACAAAATCAGTACACAAAAATCAAATGCATTTTTTTTTTTGAGACAGAGTTTCACTCTTATTGCCCAGGCTGGAGTGCAATGGTGCAATCTCGGCTCATCGCACCATCTGCCTCCCAGGTTCAAGTGATGTTCCTGCCTCAGCCTCCCTTGTAGCTGGAATTACAGGCATGCACCACCACACCTGGCTAATTTTTTTTTTTTTTGTATTTTTGTATTTTTAGTAGAGACAGGTTTCTCCATGTTGGTCAGGCTGGTCTCGCACTCCCAACCTGAGGTGACCCGCCTGCCTCAGCCTCCCAAAGTGCTGGGATTACAGGCATGAGCCACCGTGCCCAGCCTGCATTTCTATATGCCAACAACAAGTATAATGTTTAAAGATCCATTTATAGTAGCACCAACAAATACGCAGTATTAAAAAGAAAAAAGCTAAAAGACATATGTTCATAGATTTGATCAGTCAACATAATAAAGATGTCAATTTTCCACAAATTGATATATAAGTTTAACAGAATTCCTGTCAAAGTGCCAGCAAGATTTTTTTGTAGATGTAAAATTGTGAAGTCCCAAAGCCTCCCTCACTTCTAACATCAACTGTAAGTTTGGGCATCTCTAAGACCACCTTCAGGTTTGGTAATTTGCCAGCACTCATAGAGCTCACTGAAAACTGTTACATTCAGTTACAGCTTACTACAGTGAAAAGATACCAATTAACATTAGCTAAGGAAGTGTCACATATGGCAATGTTTAGGAAAGTTCCAAGCATGACTTTCCAATTGTCCTCTCTCAGTTGAATCATGGACACCTCTGTCTTCTTCCAGCAACAATGTTTGAGAATATATTTAGAATTCTAAATCTGGGAAGTTCATTGGAGGCTTGGTATCCAGAGTTTTTATTGGGATTCAGTTACTTTGACATGTTAACCACCCACATGGCAAACCTTAGCCTCCAGACCCTCCAAAGGTCAAGCTGATGCAATACAGTCCAAAGGTCGAAATAAAGGAAGCCATTCATATCAGGCAGAACATTCCAAGGGCTAAGAGATTACTCCCCAGGTGCTGAGGGCAAAGGCCAGACCTCTCTTTGGGCAAGGTTAATCCTTTACGGCACAGTGGATATAGACAAAATTATTCTAAATTTCTATGTAAAGGCAAAGGATCTAGAATACTTAAAACAATTTTTAAAAAGAAGAATAAAATATGAAAAATCAGTCTACCTAACTTCAAGACTTATTACTGGCAAAGATACAGAGAAACTGGATTGCTCATAGATTGCTGGAAGGAATATAAAGTGGCACAATGGACCTGGAAATAGTGGGCCAGTTTCTTGAAAAACTAAACATGAACTAAACATGCAACTAACGTACAACCTAGCAATTGCATTATTGCATTTATCCCAGAGAAACGAAGCAATGGAGTTTATCCCAGAGAAATTAAGATTTGTGCTCACACAAAAACCTGTACATGAATGTTTTAGCAGCTTTAGTCATAATAGTCAAAAAAAAAAAAAAAAAAAAACTAAACAACCCAAATGTCCTTCAACAGGAGAATGGTTATGGTTAAACAAGCTGTGGTATATCTATACCATGGAATACTACTGAAAAATAAAAAGAAACAAACTGTTGACACAGAACAACCTAGATAAATCTTCAGAGAATTAAGCTGAATGAAAAAAGCCAATTCCAAAAGTTTACATGGTGTATGATTTCATTTATATAGCATTCTGGAAATGATAAAATTGTAGAAATGGAAAACAGATCAGTAGTTGCCAAGGGTAAGGAGGGGAGCTGGGGGGAAGGAAGTGGGAGTGGCTATAAAATGGCAGTATATGACGAATCTTTGTGGTGATGGAAATGTTCTATATCTTAAATGACATTGTCAGTATCACAATTGTCATATTGCACTGTGGCTGCACAAGATGTTACCATTGGGGAAAATGATAAAAGGAACACAAGACCTCTCAGTTATTTCTTATAACTGCATATGAATCTACACTGTCTCAAAAAGTGTAATCATAAATACATGAATTAATGAATAAATGAGTCTAATATATGAAGTGCAAATCCTCTTTGGATAAAATGATAAAACTTTATTAAGAGGCATTAAAGAAGATCTAAATAAATGGCAAGATATATCATGTGGGTTAATTGGAAAACTCAGTGTGCTATAACAGACTGCTGTATATTCAGGCTGCTGTATATTCAGGCTGCTGTAACAGACTGTGATAGACTAGGTGGGTTATAAACAACAGAAATTTATTTCCTACAGTTCTGAAGTCTGGGAAGTCTCAGACCAGGGAGCCAACAGATTCAATGTCTGATGAGGGCCTGCTTTCTTTTTCATAGACAGTAATCTTTTCACTGTGTCTTCACAGGGAAGAAGGCGGGTGAAGGAGATCTCTGGGGTGACCTTTATAAGGGCAGTAATTCCACTCATGAGGTTTCTACCCTCATATCTTAATCACCTCCCAAAAGCTCCTTCTCCAGATACCACCACATTAGAGATTAGGTTTCAACATATGAATTCTGAGGAGAAACAAACATTCAGTCTATAGCACTCAGTATTTTAAATATATCAATTATCCCCAAATTGGTCTCTGGGCTTTAGAACAATTCCAAATCATTAACTGACTGGGGTAATCTATACTGGCTAGTTTACCACCTACTTCCTTCCTCTTTCTAGTGGCCACAAAGCAAGATATATGCTTTTGAAAGTCTGTCAAAGCAATACAGAATTATGCTGTGCATACAGAAGTTCATATAATGATTTATCCATATATTCAGAATACCAATAGCTTTGTAAATTCACAAGTTTTTACTGTCATTATCTTCTGTAGGCTCCCACTTCCTTAACTTCAAAATGGGAATCATCATCAAATAGTACAAAAGCCAAGTTTCTAAGTTTTTAATAACACTTGTAAGCATAAATTTTATGGTTAATTGTGTTTGTGAAACCTGTTTATACAACAAACATTTATAAACATTTGCAAACATTTATAAAGCCTCAACTATGATTTCTGGGATAAATAATTTGGAAGCCTTCTCCCCAAATGATTTGGCAGTAAAATAAGGTGTATCTCATACATGAAATGACTAGTAAAGCAAAGCAAGTACACGATAAGTTAATATAAACTAGCCGGACGCAGTAGCTCATGCCTGTAATCCCAGCACTTTGGGAGACTGAGGTGGGCAGATCACCTGAGGTCAGGAGCTCGAGACCAGCCTGGCTAACATGGTGAAACCCTGTCTCTACCAAAAATACAAAAATTAGCTAGGTGTGGTGGTACACGCCCGTACTCCCAGCTTCTTGGGAGGCTGAGGCAGGAGGAGGTTGCAGTGAGCCAAGACTGCACCACTGCACTCCAGCCTGGGTAACAGAGCGAGACTCCATCTCACAAAAAAAAAAAAAAAAAACTTTCGTATAAACTGTATAGAAAATACTGAAACCTAAAGGGAGTAGTTGGTATGAGCTAAGGTTAATCAAAGAAGGCTTAGTAGAGGAAGTAAATATTGAAGTGGCTTTTAAAACAATTAGACATACATCTTCTGAAAATTGTTACTATCTCAATGCTTAACTAGTTTGTAAATATTGACTATATTAAGGCAAAATGTCAACAGTGTTACTTTACAATGAAGGAACTTGGGGCCCTACAAAGCTCCTTGCTGAATGTGTTGAGAATATCAGAATCAGAAACTTGTACTTAGGGAAATAACTCTTTTATGGTTCTTTGCATTTTGTTGTTTAGTGCTATGTTACTTTGCAATCTTTTGGTAAAGTTACTTTTGAAAATGACAAAGAAGGCCAGGTGCGGTGGCTCATGCCTGTAATCCCAGCACTTTGGGAGGCCAGAACGGGCGGATCACCTGAGGTCAGGAGTTCGAGAGCAGCCTGGCCAACATGGTGAAACCCCATCTCTACTAAAAATACAAAATTAGCCGGGCGTGGTGGCACGCACCTGTAATCCCAGCTACTCGGGAGGCTGATACAGGAGAAACACTTGAACCCAGGATGTGGGGTTGCAGTGAGCCAAGATCACGCCCTTGCACTCCAGCCTGGGCAACAAGAGCAAAACTCCATCTCAAAAAAAAAAGAGAAAATGAGAAAGGAAAAGAGTCTCAGTTTTATATTTGATATATTTCCATCTGCATTTAAAGTTCGGCCAAGTCAGCTACATCTTGGGAATACAAGCTCATGAACACTTAAAGTTTGACTTTCTGTGAGTTCTCAGTGCTAGCACTAAAACTCTTTGATGCTAGTAAATTGTATTTACTAATAAGCACAACATTTTAGCTAAAGAGATCTGGAGGATCTTTGAGTATCTGTCAGTGTTTATCAATTAGTCGCTATGGACTATGGCCACCTGAGTCCACCTCATCAGTTTGTTGGAGAAGGCAAGAAATATACTCTGCTTTCTTCAGCTTGTCTTTTTTTCTCCTGTGGTTTTTGTTTTTTGTTTTTTGTTTTTTGTTTTTTTTTGAGACAGTGTCTCACTCTCACCAGGCTGGAGTGCCATGGCGCGATCTCGGCTCACTGCAACCTCCGCCTCCTGGGTTCCAGCGATTCTCCCCCCTCAGCCTCCCAAGTAGCTGGGACTACGGGCCCGCACCACCACGCCCAGCTAATTTTTGTATTTTTAGTAGAGACGGGGTTTCAGGTGTTGGCCAGGATGGTCTCGATCTCTTGACCTCGTGATCCGCCCGCCTCAGCTTCCCAAAGTCCTGGGATTACAGGCATGAGCCACGGCGCCCGGCCAGGAATTTCTTTCTTAACTCTGAGAGCTAGCATACACTTCAATATAAGGTAGATTTGCGACCAAGCCCAGTGGTTCACGACTGTAATCCCAGCACTTTGGGAGGCTGAGGCAGGCAGATCGCTTGAGCCCAGGAGTTCAAGACCAGCCTGGGCAGCATGGCGAAACCCCATCTCTACAATCCTACTACTCGGGAGGCTGAGGTAAGATGATTTCTTGAGCCTTGGAGGCAGAGGCTGCAGTGAGCCATGATTGCACCCCTGTACTCCAGCCTGGGTGACAGACCAATACCTTGTCTCAGATATATATAGACAGGGTAGATTTGTCAATCTATGTTGAAGATGAGTAAAGTCTGACCCCTACCTTCAAAAACTTTATTATAGTAATCTCATCTCTGACTGGATTTTAGAATCGAAAGAAACACAGGTATGTATTCCTTGCGATTTGCTTTTGTCAGTGTGGGCCTGGGCATTGCTATATAATTTTAAAGACACATAAGCTAATACAGAAATGTAAGACAGAATATGTTGAGTAGATGTTTAATAAAGAATTTGAAAAGGCTTAAGGAATGTCAATGGAACTGGACCTGACAGGATAGGGGATACTTATACAAGCAGAGTTGAGGTTATGATAAACCTAGAAAAGGAGGCTGGAGCCAGAGAATAGAAGGCCTTAAGCCTAATTAAGGAATTTCTACCTAATTTTATATAATGAGGAGCCATTGGATATTTTGAAGCATAGGAAGAGGTATGTGACACAAATGACACCTTAGAATTTTTCACTTGGTAGCAGGACACAAGATCAAAGGGGAGAGACTGAAGACTGAAAGTAAAATCAGTTAGGAGGGATTTCTGAACTCTAAATGATCTACCATTAAATCTAGATCACTGTGGATTGCAGAGGGAATGGAAAGGAAGAAAAAAACTTTCATGAGGTTTAATTGTCAGAATTTATTAACTGATTGGATCAGGAGGCAGCAAATGAGAGAGAAAAATCAAAGATGACTCAGGCTGTGAGGTAGAGTAGCTAAGAGAATGCTGTGACCATCTGTAGAAGTGAAGAACTCAGTAGAAGAGCCTGCCTGGAGGGTAGGCCCACCAGTCACCTCTGGACTGATTGCAGAAATGGAATATTATGACAGTGTATTCCCCATCCCAATACCTTACCACCACACACAACGGTCCTAAGGGCTGAGAAACCAGAGGTATCAGAGTATATGACAGAAGCAGAATTGTTAGCAAAATGTTATTTCTAGTTCAACTCCATTTTTTAATTCACTACCTTCAAATATTGTTTTACTAGGCTTTCTTTCAACTCCTACTTCATATTACTATTGCTACAGATTGATTTTATTCCTTATATGTGAATTAGCAGTAACTGAATTTTTGTACTCTGAGCCGTGTAAAGGAGAGTCCCAGAGAATGCTCTAGAGGCAGGATGAATTGGTAAGTGCAGTCAGGAAGGGTTAAATTCATCCTTCTCACTCCCCATAACTCATTCTCTACATACCAGCCAGTGTACTCTTAAAATGCTAGTCCGTTTATATTTCTCCCCTGATTAAAACCCTGTAAACAGATCTTCCAATGAACTTGGAATAAAACCCTTCAGTATGACTTGCAAGATTTCACATGGCCTGGAGAATGCACATCTCCCTGAATCATCTGACACCACTTTCCCCTCACACACCATGTTCCAGTCCCACTAACCCTTTGAGTTCCTCAACGATGACAACTTCTTTCCTCCTTAGAGCCCCGGCACTTGTTCTTCCACAACTCTGCCTAAAGCACTCTGCCCACAGACTTTCACCTGGCTCCTTGTTGCCACTCAGGTCTCAAGTCAAAAGTGTTCTTCACCCAGTTGAAACCGATGGCCTTCTTTCTCCTTCCCACCTCATCCTCCCCTTCATTCTCTTCACATCCCCTATTGGGTTTTCTTCTTAGTACTTCTAACTCTCTGAAGTTTGCACGTTCATTGGTTTACTTTTTATTTGTTGTCATTTTCCCCTATCAAGTGTGCAGAGCCCTTATATTCTCTGCTCACCACTGCACCCCCAGTACCAAGAAACAGTGCCTGGCATACAATGAATGCATGTACGAATTAGTCAATCACAGGAATTCTGAGAAAACTCTCTCTCCACACAATATATCCTTTATAATAGAATTCACAATTGAGAAAGGAGGAGGGCCACAGATTTGGATATTTGAACTAGTAAATTCACATTTGTTTTGTTTTGCTTTGAAATAAGGAGAGCATTTTGCAATTCATTCTGTCTCATTCTTCCCTGCGCTAGCTTCTCTCTCCCCCCTCCCCTCTCCCCCTCTCCCTATCCCCCTCCCCCCTCTCTGTCTTGTCTCTCAAACTGGCAGCCATAGGTACCCAGCTAAGCAGTGAGGGGAAGCTGGGAGGAAAAGCCTGACAAGATATCTGTAAAGTTCTACCAGCCCTTTTCAACAGTGTTATTTTACAATGAAGCAACTTGGGGCCCAGTAAAGCTCTTTGCTAAGTGTGTTGGGACTATTAGAATCAGAAACTTGTTCTTAGGGAAGTAACTACTTTGTGATTCTTTGCTTGTGATTCCCTTGTTTACTTCTGTGCTAACTTAAAATCCTTTAGTAAAGTTACTTTTGAAAATGACAAAGGGAAACTGGAAAGGGAGGCTTTTGCCCAGGCTTGAGCTGAAGTTTTAATGGGAAACAGTGTAACCCTGGAGGCAAGACCTTGTGGCAACAGTGAGAGTAGTATGTGAGATAAGACAAGAGTTAAAACCAAACAAAACATTTCTATAACAGCTGTCTATATTTTATAGGCAATCGAAGTAACAAAAATGCATACATTTTTTATTGTCTAGGAGAAGGTTGATTAGAGAAGCCAGCCAAGGTTGAAAGTCAGAGACCCACAGCAAGGCAGGCTGTCTACTGCACCTCAAGGATAAATTTACGGCCTGGCATGGTGGCTCATGCCTGTAATCCCAACACTTTGGGAGGTTGAGGTGGGTGGATCGCCTGAGCTCAGGAGTTCGAGACCAGCCTGACCAACATGGAGAAACCCTGTCTCTACTAAAAATAGAAAAATTAGCCAGGTGCACGCCTGTAGTCCCAACTGCTTGGGAGGCTGAGGCAGGAGGATTGCTTGGACCTCGGAGGTCAAGGCTGCAGTGAGCTAAGATCACACCATTGCACTCCAGCCTGGGTGACAAAGCAAGACGACCCTGTCTTAAAGGAAAAAAAAGGAATAAGTTTACTTCCCAAAGTTATTTCCCTGGGCTCAAACGATTCTCTCACCTCAGCCTCCAAGTAGTTGGGACTACAGGTGCATGCCATCGCGCCTGGCTAATTTTTTTGTATTTTTGGTAGAGAGGGCATTTTGTGATGTTGCCCAGCCTGGCCTCCAACTCCTGAGTTCAGGAGATTCACCCCACCTCAGCCTCTCAAAGTGCTGAGATAAAAGGCCCCGCACCCGTCTTCCCTGAATCTTAAACTGCCCCAAGTTCCACTGCGCCCCCACTACGCCCTCTTGTACCACCCCCACGCTTCGCCAGATGAGAGTTACTTGGCAGAAAAGGAGCTAGAGGAAAGGATAGGTTGTGCCAGAAGCCACAAATGATGCAAAGTGTCTGCTGCTGATTTTGTGTCTTTCTTTTAGCCTATTATCTCTGGTCAAACTTGACTTCTTGCCTTTACAGTCTCAATACAATCTCAACTTTAAAGGGCTTGCAACTGTGTTAGCAATGGAAAGAGAACTTGCTTGTATCTTATGCAGGTAATTCAACAAGGCATTGTAACATGTTTTCTGAGCTGCACTTGGCATTTTCCTTACACAATCTCCGTGCACACCCCATCACGCCCCATTCACTACTCCCAGTGTGGCCGGCTCATACTTGTCCCTTCTAACTGGGAGGATTTCCAATAGAAGCCCTTCTTTGTGCAAATATTAGTAACTGTATATTTCATTTTTTCAAAAAGGATATTGTTCTTAGAAGCTCTAGAATTCATTTTTAAATGAATTTTAGTAGTTATATTTTATTTCTTTTTAGAAGGCACATTATTTTTCAGTGTTCTGATATTTCTCTGATTCTTTATAGCTTTCTAAAAATAACTGCTGGTAAGCTCGTAAGTTCATTAGTTAATCCCAATGGGACTCAATAACGCATATTACAGATCTCCTGATTGTTATATATTAGATTTTCTCAAGAATTCCCTTACCTGTTATTATCAACATAGCTATATTGACAGGGTCTTCATTACTTCCTAATTGCCCATACTCCTTTTTCTTGTTAAAGATCAATTTTTAAAATCAAGCCTTGTCATTTTGGAAATATCATAGACATATTATCCTGTTAATATTAATGTGTTTCATATCTTTCTAGTTTCCTGCCTCCTTTATCATAGTAATTTACAAAGTTTATTCATTACCTTTTTCTTTAAAAATGTATTATTTTGTGGGGGGCAGGGTGAGAGGGTAGGGGCACATGTTTGGGTTTTTTCTCCCTGGAACAAAGATATAAAAGATGATCTTTCATATTCAAAGGTGAACAATTGATATTCCCTATTCTAAGCCAGACCCTAGGAAGTAAATTATGTGTAGATTGTTAAAATTACAGGCATACCTTGTTTTATTGAGCTTCACGTTATCACACTTTGCAGATATTGCATTGTTTACAAATTGAAGATTTGCAGCAACCCTGTGTCAAGCAAGCCTGTTACCGCCCTTTCAAAAAAAAAATCAGCATGTGCTTACTTTGTGTCTCTATGTCACATTTTTTTCAATTCTTGCACTATTTCAGACCTTTTCTTTATTTTTATATCTGTTATGATTATGTGATCTTTGATGTTAATATTATAACTATTTTGGGGCACTAAGAATCATGCCCATAGAAGATGGCAAAGTTAATTGATAATTGTAGTGTATACTCTGACTACTCGTTGGATTGGCCATTCCGCCGTCTCTTACCCTCTCCTCAGGCCTCCCTATTCCTTGAGACACAATATTGAAATTAGGCCAATTAATAACCCTACAATGGCCTCTAAGTGTTCAAGTGAAAGGAAGAGTCTCACATCTCTCACTTTCCATCTAAAGATCAAAATGATTAAGCTTAGTGAGGAAGGCGTGTCAAAAGCCAAGACAGGCTGAAAGCTAGGCCTCTTGCAAAACAGTTAGCCAAGTTGTGAATGCAATGAAAAAGTATTTGAAGGAAATTAAAAGTGCTACTCCAGTGAACACATGAATGATAAGAAAGCAAAACAATCTTATTGCTGATCTGCAGAAAGTTTGAGTAGTCTGGATAGAAGATCAAACAAGCCATAACATTCCATTAGGCCAGAGCTTAATCCAGACCAAGACCCTAACTTTCTTCAATTCTGTGAAGGCTGAGAGAGATGAAGAAGCTGCAGAAGAAAAGTTGGAAACTTCAGAAGAGGTTGGTTCATGAGATTTAAGGAAAGAAGCCATCTCCAGAACATAAAAGCGCAAGGTGAAGCAGCAAGTACTGCTGTATAAGATATAGCAAGTTATCCAGAAGATCTAGCTAAGACCATTGATGAAGGTGGCTACACTAAATAACAGATTTTCAATGTAGATAAAACAGTCATCTATTGGAAGAAGATGCCATCTAGGACTTTCACAGCTAGAGAGGATAAGTCAATGCCTGGCTTCAAAGCTTCAAAGGACAGGGTAACTCTCTTGTTAGGGGCTAATGAAGCTGATGACTTTAAGTTGAAGCCAATACTCATTTACCACTTTAAAAAATCCTAGGGCCTTAAAAATTATGCTGCATCGGCTGGGCACTGTGGCTCATGCCTGTAATCCCAGCACTTTGGGAGGCCGAGATGGGAGGATCATGAAGTCAAGAGATCGAGACCATCTTGGTCAACATGGTGAAACCCCATCTCTACTAAAAATACAAAAATTAGCCGGGCGTGGTGGCACGTGCCTGTGGTCCCAGCTGCCCAGGAGGCTGAGGCAGGAGAATCACTTGAACCTGGGAGGCGGAGGTTGCAGTGAGCCAAGATCACACCAGCCTGGGTGACAGAGCAAGACTCCATCTCAAAAAAAAAAAAAAAAAAAAAAAAAATTATGCTACATCTACTGTGCCTGCACTCTATGAGTGGAACAACAGAGTCTGGATGACAGCACATTTGTTTACAGCATAGGTTAGTGAATACTGTAAGCCCACTGTTGAGACCTACTGCTCAGAAAAAAAAAAGAATTCTTTCAAAATATTATCACTCCTTGACAGTACACTTGGTTACCCAAGAGTTCTGATGGAGATGTATAAGAAAATTCATGTTGTTTTCATTCCTGCTAACACAACATTCGTTCTGCAGCCCATGGACCAAGGAGTAGTTTCAACTTTCAAGTCTCATTATTTAAGAAATACATTTTGTGGCTGGGCATGGTGGCTCATGCTTGTAATCCCACCACTTTGGGAAGCCAAAGCGGGCAGATCACGAGGTCAGGAGTTCAAGACCAGCCTGACCAACATGGTGAAACCCTGTCTCTAAAAACACAAAAATTAGCTGGGCGTGGTGGTGCGCACCTGTAATCCCAGCTACTCAGGAAGCTGAGGCAGGAGAATGGCTTGAACCTGGGAGGTGGAGGTTGCAGTGAGCCAAGATCATGCCACTGCACTCCAGCAGTAGGTGACAGAGTGAGACTCCATCTCAAAAAAAAAAAAAAAAAACAAAACACATTTTGTAAGGCTGTAGGTGCCAGAGATAGTGATTCCTCTGATGGATCTGGGTACAGTCAATTGAGAGAGCCTTCTGGAAAAGATTCACCATTCTAGCTTCTATTAAGAACATTTGTGATTCATGGGAGGAGGTCAGAATATCAATAAGAACAAGAGTTTGGAAGAAGTTGATTCCAGCACTCATGGATGAACGTCTTTGAGGGATTCAAGATTCAGTAAAGGAAGTAAACTGCAGATGTGGTAGAAATAGCAAAAGAACCAGAATTAGAAGTGGAGCCTGAAGATGTGGCTGAATTGCTGCAATCTCATGATAAAACATTAAGAGATGAGGAGTTATTTCTTATGGATGAGCAAAGAATGTGGTTTCTTGAGATGGAATGTATTCCTGGTGAAGGTGCTGTAAACATTGTTGAAATGACAACAAAGAATTTTGAATATTGCATAAACTTAGTTGATAAAACAGTGGCAAGGTTTGAAAGGATTGACTAATTTTGAAAGAAGTTCTACTGTGGGTAAAATGCTGTCAAACAACATTACATGCTACAGAGAAATCTTTCAGGAAAGGAAGGGTCAATCAATGCAGCAAACTACATCATTGTCTTATTTTAAGAAATTACCACAACCACCTTGATCTTTAGCAATCATCACTCTGATCGGTCAGCAGCCATCAACGTGGAGGCAAGACCCTCCACCAGCAAAATAGTTGCAACTTGCTAAAAACTCAGATGATTATTAGCATTTTTAGCAATAAAGCATGTTTTAATTAAGGTACTTACAATGTCTTTTTAGACATAATGCTTTTGCACACTTAGTAGACTGGAGCATAGTGTAAACATAACTTTTATATCCACTGTGAAACCAAAAAAAAGTGTGATTCACCTAATTACACTATTCACTTCATTGGGGTGGTCTGTAACCAAACCCACGATATCTTCAAGGTATGCCTGTATTCCATGACCTTTTGGTCTAGGACCATGTAAGATAAAGTGACTAACAATAATTATAAGAGTGAATGGCAGATGAAGAAATTCTTTTAAATTATCTTTTTGGTGATAAGTTACTCTACAACTCAGATTGTTCTTCAGTCTTTTTACTGTTTACCAGTAAACCTTATCTCTGGAAAATCTGATTAGTATGTGTGTATGCATGTGTGTGTGTGATATCATTTGAAGAATGATTATTTGCTTTACCAGAAAATTATTCACTTTATTAAGGGATTCATTGAAAAGGTAAATAACCCATGTCTTCATTTAAAAATAGATTTCATTAACAGAAATTATATTCCCATATAACTTAAGACATCTACTGCATAAAATGACATATAGCTTCAAAATAATATACATCTGCCAAAGTAAACATCAGGATTTTGGCTGCTAATTCAGTAGCATACTTTGATTACTTTTTGCCCCTGCCCCCGCAAAAATACTTCTAAACACTAAGATCAAGTAAAGAGGAGTGTGGGCAGGGTTGATGTATAAGAAACACTTGAATCAGAGTCATTCACAGGCAGAAGTAAGGGGAATAGATAAGACAGAAGATGCAGTAATGTTTTCATCTCTCTTATCCTATTCTTTGCTATTCCACCCTCAGTGCTGTTTTTAACCATTTTTTCTAAATGCTATTACATGAATGTAGCCTCCCTCTTTGTCAGTTCTATTACAAGGCACTTTTTCTTAAATATGTAGTCTTTTGGGAAAACAAATGACACATTTTAGCAATTTGATCTTTCTCATATGATTTATAGTCTCATTCTTGATTCTTAGAGTTTCTAATCTTTTTCACCACTTTTGCTATTTTCACTCCTTTAAAATTTGCTACAGTTCATTTTTTAAAACAAGTGATAAGTCAAGGATATTCAGGGTAGTATTTTCATTGGACGATCCCCTGCCTTTTAGTCACTTCACAATGAATAACATCATTGACAAATGGCATTTGTGGAAGAAACATAAGAAAAATGAAAAATAGGTATTTTCTGCTCTGTACAAGGATAAGAGAGATAGCTAGAGTAGGGTTCAGATTATTGGAAGAATTAATCTCTAATATAGTAAGAAATAATTATTCATTTTTATTTAAGCTGACCTTTGATTAGCTACTATTATAACAAATATTATGCCGTGCTTTTACTGTCCTGAAATAAATTCTACAGATAACATAATCTACCTACTTACGAGATTGTTAATCTTTGTAATGCTCTAGTTAACATGTAGAAGGAATAAAAGTAATTCATAATAAAATAATATGGATTTCAATATTTAAAGTGCTCAGGCAAACCTACATGAGAAGACATAATAAAGTAGTCAGATACTTGGTCCTATGCATGGAATCATCATGAATTTGACAGCTACAGATGCGGGCTGATACAGGTATGCTTATTGGCACCTCAAGTACCATGGGCATGGTGCCATCAGTTATGATATTTTTTTCATAGGGTAAACCACTCTTGGTAAGACTCTGAAAAACATAAAATGCATGACCCTTTCGATTTACACGGTAGTTGTATTCCTGGAAAATTCAGTATATATTAAAATCATGCAAAAAGTATTTTAAGATTATCTGTAAAACATATTTAAATTCTAATCCATATAATTATAAACAGGTTTTCAACTACATGAATAGCTGCTGAACATTTGAAAATCATGTGGGATGCAGAACAATTCTGTACTGCCTTGCAAATTACAGGATATCCACTATCCCTGTCCTTCTCCCAATAAATACCAATAACACCTTCCAATCATCTTGACCATCGAAAATATCCCTGCAAATTTCCAAAATGCCTCCAGAGGCCATTATCATCTCCATTAAGAACCACTGATTGAAACTGAGCAAAGGTATTTTTTTGTAATGAAGTGCTGTGATCCTTTACATTTTACTTTTATACTGAATTGATGTTATAGACTAGGAAACTGAATTCACTCCAAAGGTGAATTATCCAGTTAGACCAAGCCTGCCACTCCTAAATGATACCAAAATCATTCCTTGAGAACTTGGCAGATATTTAATGTGGAAAAACATTTTACTCCTTATATTTTGTGAAACTCTCTAAATTAGGAAAATTATTGGTTTGAAAAGTAGAGACTTCTGATAAGGGTAAAGTGGTGGTAGTGAAAAGACTAGACCTTAACCATAAAACCATGTTTTTCCCCTTCAAATGACAAGGTTAGTGCTAAATAAACTAGTTTCCCTGTGATTTCTACATCATTGCATTTTATTAATAAATGGCTGCTTTTTTGATTGACCTAAACTTCTACCTTTTATATCCTTTTATGAACAAATAATGTAATGGTCTAGTGTTTCTGTACTGATGTAATAAAAAGCATCCCACTTAATGTCCCCTAAAGTGATGTATTTTTTAAGTACTAGAAACCTGCTCTCAAAAGTTTCCATTCACTGAACATTGTCATGGATAGAGTTTCATATTCATCTGTAAATATTTTCACTGAACTTTGGACCTAAATTTTTGAAAATGGTCTCCAAACATATTCTTGAAATGTATATATGCAGTCCAAGTTAGACATGTAATTATTCAACTTCTGAATGGTATTCTAAAAATCATTTAAAATCTACTTCCAAAAATTTAGAAAAGACATTTTTATATTACATATTCATGTTATCATTCCTTAGTTTAGGGAGAATTCTCTCCCTTCCACCCCATTCTCTGTAATTCAGTTGCTAACCTACCTTATTACCTTTACTCCTAGCAATTTCCCTTCGTCTGACAGAAGCACACATTCTCATTATTTATACTCTTAAATTACAAGAGTAAATGTTGAGAGCCAGTACAAGTATTCAGTTATCTCAGGGACTCTGGTCTTTTCAGTCCAGGACTAATCAAGCAGAGAGTCATCAAAAGCTAAAACTAAAAAGCTTTTGTAGTGATTTTATCACCAGGGAAATCTGTTCATCCTTCAGAAGGATTGTTACCCGTAAAGAAGAAATAAAGGAGTTAAAATTGCTTCAGACCGTTGACTCCTTAGGTCCCTCTAGATTCATAGATTGAATTGGTTTCAAGGGGTGGGAGGAATTATGAGGGGAATTCCCTGAGAAAGCTTACAAATTGATCATAGCCTTAGTAACACTAGTAGGTGTAAGTGTGATCACTATGGAGGAAATGCCAAATGTGGCTGTAAGCTTGGGAAATGGTTACGAAAAGAGACAATTAACACCTTTTTTTTTTTTTTTGGCTTATTGTATTTGGGGGTGGGTGTTGCCACGTAGTATGCATCTGAGAATGGTCTTTCAAAATGAATTACAATTGATTTTAAAATGTCCTACCATTATAAGTGCAACTGTGTAGTTATTACTGAAGTGAAACTAGGGTTGCAAACACTATAGAATAGAGACACACATTTGATAACCCTATCCAGAAACTGGTCCTCCTAGATCTACCCGCAAATATCATTTAAAGCAGGTATGTCTGAGCATATGTAGAACTGCTCAGTTAGGTTTGGAAAATATAAATGCCTCCAAATTCAAAAGAATCCTTTAAGATTGTCATTTGAATAAATCAGTAAAAATATAATAATATCTAGATGTTATGTATTATAACACCTATTGATGCAAGCAGGCATATATATATAATTTTCCCCCAAGAATTCTATGAAGAATTGTCAAAATCCACCTAGCACTTTAGGATTTAACAAGATAAACCTACACTCATCCCTCCTTCCTATTGAGTAACAATGAATTTTGCCCAAAATGAGTAAGCAAATAAAATGACCTCATTTTTAGTCTGAGTTGGGGGATATGACTTTAATACTGGGTCTTAGTTTCAAATTCAAGTTCATGAGGCCAGTCTGCAGAGGAAAGGAGGATAGAGAGAATCCTTGGGAGGGCACTGATAAAGAGAGAGGGGTTCTCTAGTAGGGCCAGCTCCCACAGCTAAGTCAGGCACAGACTGTAGCTTTCTGCTCTCTGGCCGACAGCAGCCATAGCATCCTTATTGTTGTAACTCCTAGATTGTGATACTGTCACAAAACTGTTGCTAGGCAACAAATGTGGTTACCAGGTCTCAGCGAATAGCTGAAGGGGAAAGCAAAGTGTTGCACCATTGTAGAGTAACCATAGCAATGACCTACTATTACAGACTAAAGAATTATCATTAACAATGTTAAAGTATCAGACTGAGGCCCTGAATCCGGAGACTTCCAAGCGGTATCTCTCTGCATAATTGAGTGATCTAGGAAGAGATTTCAACTGTTTAAAAGCTATTCACTCATTATTTCTGTGGAAGTCTGTAATTATTTTAATTTTTAATTTTAAAAAGTGCTCATTTATGAAGCCACTGGTAAAATGCTACATAAGCCATCACAGGGAGTCAAAAATAGCTAAATGTATTTCCTCATCTGTTCTTATGCTTGCATCCGTGTTATCCGCTGCCTGTGTTAAACTGAAGGTCGATTTGATTTGAAAACATGCTGTACATTAGTATTACATCGAAACCACAGAGAGAAGCCGTAGTAAAATAAAGTAACCCCATAAATTGACAACTAACCTGCATTTTCTAAGTTGAATTCCTCCTGATAAAATGGGAGGCCTAGATGCTCTTTTAGTAGTCACGGCTTTGAAACCTTTTTTTTAGCTGTTCTAAATTTGCCCCTTAAAATCTGTAAAAATGTCGCCCGCCAGGACACTTCAAGGCGTAATCCCTTTTGAATGCGGTCCTTCATTAAGCGTCCCGTATGATTTGGTCTCAGTGACCTAGCTGAGGTAATTGTGTCTAACAGCACAGCTTCCGGGAGACGCAAGAAAAATCATTCCCCCTTCCCCTCCACACCACCCCCTTGGGAAGCAAGGAAACAGGCGCTGTGCGATCCCGCACGCAGGGGAAACCAATCCCCGCGCGCGCCGAGTCTCGGGAGTGGGTGGTTTCCCGGAGGGAGAGGGAGTGGCCCTTCCCGCCCAGCGCTTCCATTGGCCCGGAGAGGCGGAGGCCTCGGGCGGCCAGCCGCGCCTCGGACGACCCCGGGACAGATCCGGGCCGCGTCCCCGCGTTGGGAGAGGGATGGGGACTGAGGCCGGAGACGCCTAGACGCCGCGGATAGCGAAGTCTGAGTTCCTCTGAGCCAGGGGGCAAGTGACCCCGCAGCCCTAGTTGTGCCCTGGGAGTCGGCTGGCCCGCGCCCGCGAGGGGGCGGGGGTCCTGGCTGAGGGGCGGGGCGCGGGCGGCTGAGGCGGGGCGCAGGCGGGAGGGGCGGGGAGGGGCGGGACCGGGTGGTCGGGAGCCGGGGCTCGGCCTGGCCCTCGCCGCCCTCACCGCGCCTGGCCCCGCGTGGCCACCTGGTAACCGAATGTGTTGTTCTTTGCAGGCACCGACCGTCACGAGCTAACTTCCTGGAAGAGCTTTCCGTCTATTTTCAAATTCTTTACCGAAGCCTCAGAGGCCAAGACCAGCTCCCTGAAGCCGGCTGTGACGCGCCGCTCCCACCGCATCAAGCACGAAGAGCTGTAAGAGGAGCGAGCGCGACGGGGGAGGCCGCCCTGGCGCACCCACCCGCACGCCTCCTCACTGCTTGTGTCGAGCGGACTCCCAGCCCCTCATTAGATTGTTTTCTTCCCAGAGCCCAGGGTCGTGATATATACATCTAAATAGCGTTTTGCATTATTTCTAGATGAGTGCAACTGTCAAAGCAATATGGGTTCACTGGTCGTGCTTCCTGCGGGCTGAGCGCGGGCTGAGCGCTGCCAGTCAGCGCTCACATTAAGGCTGACAGCGCCCTGCCTGGCTCGGCCGGCGAAGCTCTAATTGCCCTGAAGGAGACCGCGCGGGCGCTGCGGGTCCGGCGGCGTCGGCGCGGTCCTAGCGCCCGCCGTAGCGGAGCCGCTGCTGCTTCCCCCTCCTTAATCATGTCCATCTTTCCCCGCTCTCAACTGGAGCAAACTTCTATTCCAGACTTCAGATTTCCATTTTCACTAGGTTTTTCCCTGAGGGCATCTTATTACCCACCTCTTTTTTTTTTTTTTTAAGGAAGTTCCACACACACTCCAAAGCCGATTTCAAATTCAGAACCTGAATGCCATGATGTACCATGTAGTTTGGGGAATGCAAATTGTTCTCTCCCTGTTTTCATTTCGGGACCAGAAAAAAAAACAACTCTGCATAAAAATCTATAAAGTACTGAATCCGCATTACTGCTGAAAATCCTTTTGCCAGCTAATTGTGAGAGTTTACACAAGTCTCTGATTTCAGAAGAGACTGTTAAAACCAAAACAATGATGGGCAGCTCTTTTAAGTGTAGGTGTGAAGGTCCCATTTTCAATGGAATTTCCAACTGTTATCACTGGGATTGACTTTACTTTTTAAACACATAATGTGTACTGTGTGGCATTGTAATTTAGATATAACACACTTAAGTTTTGCTTTTTAAATCTCTCTGTGGAGAAAGGTTGTTGTTAATCCTTTCCAGAATGATCTATTCTGAGCTTTCCTGGAGTTAGGCCCTTCTAGGGAGAGAATTTTTTTATTGTCATCAGGAAACGAAACCTTTGTGCTCTGCAGCCTTTTTCTTCTGAAAGGCTAAGTGGGGCTAAAATTATCCTTTTAGTTTTCTGCTTTAACAAGAAGAGAAGGACTTGGTGTGAAAGAATTTCTTCTCTCAGTCCAATGGTATAATTTTTAGCACTCCGCTTCCTCTGTAGGGTTTAGCCCTACAGTTTGAACAATTATTTTAATCCAGCTAAGATGTGGCCAACACTGTGAAATACAGGAGATGTTAAGGTTTTGCTGACTTTTAGATTAAAATCTTAAAATTTCACATTATATTTTAATTACTTGAAAAGTTTAATTACCTAGTAAAGATTGTTTCTAATAGATGAGAACATAAATTTAATAGTTTTCATCCTTTTTTAAAGTGTGTGCAACAATTAATATGCCTGCCTTATTTGAGGACATGATAAAATGTACCCAAAATGACTTCGAACTGTCTAATGCCTCAGAAAAGTAACTTAAAATCAACCACTTCGTGCTTAAATGTTTTTATATTATGAACCGATTTCAACAAGTTTTAAAGCTGTTAATATCTCATTGCTGTGTTTGACATACAAGTACATTCATTGGTTCTATAGTCTTAATGATGACAAATTAAAGATGTTTTTTCAGTGCTCAGGTATGCATATATTTTCGTGTTACTTAAGCAAAATCAACTATATAGGAGGAAAAATCAAAATGGCATTTTATTCAGCTACCAGATGGCTTAAAATGAGTAAACCCCAACAACATCAAGCACATTTGTCTGTGATATTGACCCTTTTTATCCAATCATTACTATTTTAGAAGTAGTGGTGAACTGTGTAAAATAATGGTATCTTCAGCAGTGTTCCGGAATCTTAGTTGAGGGACAAACATTCCTTCCAGTGAGAGATTCAAGAATTGATGTGAATTGAATATATTTTTCAAGGTATTATAAATTGTGTTGTGTTTTCAGTATAAGAAAATGTTGACAGGAAACAATTTTATAGCATTTATAAAAAACCAACACTTGTGCAATGCTAAATTGGCGAAGCTTCTGCACCTGAATTAGAGCACAATAAATATGCTGTTTATAAACCAAATCACTGCTATTCCTTCTCTGAAATCATCTCTCCTCTTTTTAAACCTTTACTTATAGCTAGAATAAATCACTATTTAATTGCCTCTAATACTTTAAAACTACTGGATGGTTAGGCCTGGTTTAACTATTTATGGAGAGCTATTTGCAAACTTAAGTTGTGTAAATGTAATTTCTACTTGTGAATCTGAGCTGTAGCAGCCCAGAGGGAGCTAGGCAAACTATTCCAGACCACCAACTGATAAGTGATCAGATTCTTTGTAATGTAGGATTTTTTAACCTGTTGATTATGGGTTTGTTGATATAAATGTAATAATGTTCACCTCGATTTTCCTGGAGTAACAACCAGCGTTGGTAGTAGCCCACCTGCATGAGGACGGCCAGTGTTAACAATATTTTTGTTCTGATCTTCTTCCCCATTTTTGTTTCCTCAAACAGGTTTTTAGGAGAGTGGAGATTTAAAGTCAGGATGTGGCCTTTTTATTTTAATTATATACTTAATTCTTAGAACAAGTAGAATGGGAAAGGAGTGACTGATAAATCTAAGATTCAAAATAGTCCCGTCGAAACTTAAAGGCCAGATTATTGCTTTGGAGCTTTCTATAGGTACTAGCCATCCCGTCGTTAAATGTTTTCATGGATATTTGAAAAGAAGACCATGTACCTTTAATAACTGTTCTTTTCTCGAGTTTCTGCCTCGTGCTTTGACCTGGATTGCATTATTATTGTTTATGCGAAGTAAAAAAAAAAAAGGAAAGCACAAGCTTTTCCTGTATATTATATTTCCATTTCCATTTTAAAATAAAAACAATTTTCCCAACAACAGCGGTGTTATTATTCTTGCTCAGAAGAATTCTTGCTTATTCACCAATTGCATAGAGATTTTTTAAAGCAAAAACATAAAAGGAAGGATGAGACAGCATCCGTCAATATTTTAAACCTTCTGGCTACTTTTTATTTCTGTTAGTATTGCTGTAAGGTAATATCCTAACTTTAGTTGAGTCACTATTTGGCTTGCACCTTTTACAAAGCTAACATTTCTAAGACAGTTGTTTTTAATATCTAAAATATCTCCTTAGCAAGGAAATCTGAACAACCTATCAATTAAATTGTTGTTTTATAAAATACACTTGAATATGCCATAAATAAATGTGTTTTCCAAGAGGAGTCTGGTGAGTTTAAGTTGCCTCCAAGTACATGTATATAGGTTCTTGATGTACTGTGTTCGATCTGAAAATAACTTACATTTCTTTTACAGCTTTCTTAAAACCTTTAGCCCCTTTTAGAGATATGCTAACTGTATTATCCGTGCTAATAAGTTAGATTTTGTTTGTTTCTCTGGATTATCTGCGGTTCAATCCAAACACGTGTGTCTCTTGTTATAATCATATTTTTTACTGTAAACTGACAGGTTCCTGTTGGTGTCTGTAATCCTAATTCATTTAAGAAAGAGTACTACTACAGAAAGTGTAAAAATTTCTCAAAAACTTTCCACATGCCTCTGTGGAGAAAAAAAAATGTCTTTAAATGTGAGACACTCTCATCTTTGAAATATGGGTGGCAAAAAGGGGGATGATGGTGGTGGTTATTTTATTATTACTTATTAGTGGCCATAATAATATAAAATAAAAGACTCCAGGAGGTACTCCCTTTCAAAAATTGAATACTTTCCTTCCTTCCTTATATAGAATGACTGAGTGGGAGTCTCTTGAATTGTTCGTCTTCCTTTTATCTAATATTCTATTAATCTCCAAAAAGATCAGTTTGAGTCTGGGAAAGGGTTTTTAATCAACACTTCACAGAGCTTAAAGCTACCCTACCTAAAGCGTCAGCTTTGTTAGGCGGTTTTAGATTTAAAGCATTGCAACTGTCATGCACTGTACTAAAAGTAAAGAATGTACACCAAGTGGAAGATGTTGAAAAGAGGGGAATAGCACAAAGTCGATTAACGGAGATTCGAGAATAGAAGTAGCCATCAAAGCATTCCAGCATTTATCTCAAAATCTATGTAAGGTTTTTTTAAAAAAGCAACAATGATAGTTTTAAACCACACACTTAAGAGGGATGAATGTTGATTTAATTGATTCATTTGGATCGATGTTTTTAAAGTTTCACACTACTGATCTTTCATGTAGTGATGTCTTTAGCAGTCAGTGGTCTGACATGAGCCTTCTCAGATTTCATCAGTGGGACTCTCCATGACGTCTAAAATTATGCAACAGCCTATGCAATGGTAACTTTAGAATTGGGAGACCTTGATGCCAAAGAGCGTGATTAGATTGAAGAACTCTTGTTAATTCCCAGCACAAAGGTTTTAGAGAAGTAATAACTGTAAAATGAACCACAAAGGTTAAAATCACCAAATATTAAATAGTTGGCTTTAATTGCTAGATGGGAGAAAGTCATCCTGAAAGTTTGACCATGAAGTGGATACCACACAGTGACCACTATTTTCCCCTGGAATATAAAAAGCTTGAAAGTGGAAATTTGACTTAGTCCATGAGGCCTTCTAAGCAACTTTTCCCAGTCCTTCGCCTTGAGATTTGTGAAAAACCTTTCACTATATCCTTTATATTGTTGGAGTTGAGTTCTGTTTGAAACAGACATGAAGCATGTTTCTAGAAAGAAATCTAGAGAAGTCCTACATCTTTCCTTTTAGATCATTCATCTTTTTCTTCCTTGGCTATTACCTCGGGTAATATGGAGAACTGTCATGGGTAAAATAATGTTGAACTGTACTTTGTGGCCAGCCTGCAATACCAATACAAAGAATCTGAAATGAAAAGACAACCAACACCCCAAGAATGATATATCTCCTTTTAAAGTTTACAATTTGAATAATGAATTTGGATAGAAACTTGGCAGGAAAACAAACCATGGCACCATCACATCACCAACCATTTTCACTTTTCTGTCCAATTTCAGAGTGCATGTGTTTGTGAGTATTTCACTAGATCAGTGACAGCTCTTTATTTGCATAATTATATGCTCTGGTCTGAAGAGAAAACTAACCCCCAAATTTCATGGGTCACCAAACTGCAACAATCAATGTTTTATCACGTATGCTAAGCAAAATCTAAGAAGCTATATGAAGTTTCTTGGGGAGTTTTTACTCCTCAGAAAATTAAAGAGTTTTCTCTCCTGAATAGATTCAAAATCTTTCCAAGTTCTTTGTAACTGAATTCTGTTTGAAGGCAAAACTACAGATTAACATGTAGATCTGGATCGTAGACTCACTAGCATTACTTCAAAGTGGCTTAAGAAGAGCAGCATTTTGGGTGCACTATTAAATTCTGAGCACTGTCCTTCATGATTTGAGGGAAAAAAAATCACTGGTCAAATTATGATTAGCCAAAATGAAGTTCGATTAACTACAATTGAGTATAAAGTTCATTTTCTTCTTTAGAATAACTCAAGATTTTAAAAAAGACCTACCTAATTGAAAAAAAATACATATGTCTCATACACACATATTCATCCATGAGGTACATGTGCCCATTCCTGTCCATTTCACCTGAAATACACAGACAACATATACAATATGTCTGTCTTTTCGATGCCTATGGTATAGTAGGTGTTGTGTATATGTTGGTTACCATGAATGTTTGTAAACTTGTTAAATAAATTTTTCATCTTCAATTCTGCAAGGCATTGTAATAAATATTTTATGCTTCAAGTTCATTGAACCTGTAAATTATCTCTCTGTAATGTGCATTTGTGTGTAAGGTTGGCTTTATTTCATTAAAGAAAATTTTATTTAAATTGTTGGTATCTTTAGTTTGTAGGCAATCTGCCAAATTTGAAATACTATAAGGGATAAAGACACATGCAGAGAGAGACTTTTTATGGAGTTATTGAAATCCTGGAAAATATGCCTTTACCTAGATTATTAAGGAATATACTAGGTGCATGATTTAATTCTACAAAAGGAGTTAGATAGGAATTTCATTTCAGAGCATGTAATACAGTGCTTTTTGTTTGAAGTGAGCTGTCAGTTTCTTATCAGGCAATTTACTGTCATCAACAAAAACATCAGGAAAAAAGAAACATTTAAGGGAAAAATTTTTCAAGAATTGCAGTTTTGAAGTGTTTTATTCTCCATCTGAAGAAAGATGAGAGGTCTTTAGGTCAGGCATCAGAAATTTCCTAAAATGTTCTTATTCTTTCAAGTGAAAAAGAAACCAATTCTCCCAAGTTTTTAACTAAAGTTGAACTCGAAACGAAACATTTACCTGCTCTTGAACCTAAAAAATGTAAACCTCTGCTTGTCACGGAACACTGCCCAGGACCACCACATCTCATGTTTGTTACTGTTCTTACTGAAATGTTCAGCTAATTATAACCCCTCTGCTACCCCTCCCCCCATCATCTACCTCCCCAGAAATTGCTGTTTGGACTGAAGATCTTGGATTCCTCTAGGTGAAAATTCCTCAAAATTGAATCTGTAAAAACAAATAAATCCAAGTTTAGCATTTTTATCAAAATGAATTTGTAAGCAAATGAGTCAAAATATAAGGTTAGGGTTAGGAACTATGTGTCTTTGAGTTAGATTAAATACATTCTATTTTTTAGATGGTATAAATCCTTCTAAGGAAAACAATACACAATATTTAGGCCTATTAATTATTTTTGCTTTATATGACCTCTGTGGGAACATTGCTTAGAGTGTCAGATAGGGCTCTCAGTTTTCCACTCTGCCAAAGATGCAGAAAAATTTGTTATTTCCCACTGAATTCCACACATGAGGGGATTGACCCTGTGGCTATAAGGCCTAGGTTTTCTCTTTTTATCATTTTCATTTCTTTTTGCTCACATGTCACCATATCCCATTGTGTCTGAAAAAGGTGCCTCTGATCCAGTTCATCTTCATGTACCTCCAAATAATTTTTCAAAGGTTTATTTTCTTCTTTTTTTAGCCATAATTAAATAAATGGCTTTTTTCCAATAAATGTTCACACCTTCTCTGGGTACTTGGATAATCAGGATTTATCAACTGAAGAAATATTGATGGTTTGTTGTGGTGGTTTTGTTGGTTCCTCCCCTCCCCCCTCCCCATTTTTGCTTTTGCTTTGCATCAGTAAATTACTTAATATCATCCCCTGGAGTAACCACCTCTAAAAATAACCCTAGCACAGAGTGTCACAATTTGGCTTTCATACCGGCTTGAAAAAAACCATTAAAATTGCATTGATCTCACAAATATTGATCTAGTGCTTTATATCAAATATCAAATGAGATGCTGTCAGTTGCTGCTGATCATTGTGTCAGCTGTTTGAATTCATGTCCCTTTCCTTCTTCATTGTCACATGGATTCCAGTTGCGGAGGCTAAGTAAGATTTTCTTGATTAAAACAAATTCAATTACTTTCCTGTTTTGCACATTTCTGGTTGAACCAAACGTAGTTTAATAGTCTACCTGAAATTTTGGCAGGTGATATGTCTGTACATGTGTGTTACAAGAGTGTGATTCAGTTCCTAGGTTATGTTTCTATTTAGCCTAATCTTGAAATAATTTTAACTGTATTCTACTTTATTTCTGATCACCTGTATTTTTAAAAATAAAATTTGTTTTTTTAAAAAATGCAGTTATTAGAGTACCATTTTATAACTTAGAATGAAATCTTAACCATTTCTAATTTATACACACACACACTACAATAGCAAGTTGCTCCTTTTATTCTTGCTGACAAAAATATAACTATAGCTTTTGGCAGGTATGGAGTTTAGAGAATTATTTAAGTGAAATTGAATCTATATATATTTAATACTGCCTCAGTAAACTCATGTTATCTAGCAGGTTAAGTCATGCTGTGCTTTTATTTTCCATCAAATCTGGAAATAGCTAATTGCCCCTGGATATGTTTAGAGTTTCAAATCAAGTCTCAAATCATCCTTTTTATTTCCTCCTTACTCTTTACTTTGTACATCAAGAATTGCTGATTACACTACTTTGAAAAATGGAACACTTTAAAGAAGAAGCTACCAGTTAACACTGCTGTCTAAGCAGTAATGACTGTGAAATATGGAATAGAACCCCCATAAAGTACTATTTAAATTTTACAGCCACATTTGTATTTTCTACATTCGCAGGGAGGAAAAAAAAATCTAGCCGCACGAGTTGTTGGTGTCCGTTTCCCTTTTATACACTTGAGCTTGGTTTGGGGACAGCAAAGCGAAATGAAGCCGCGCTCTCCCCAGCACCATGGACAGCGCCCAGCGCGCGCGCCCCACCCCCCCCCCACTCCCCCCCAACCCGCCCCCTTCCCTCTCCCCTTCCTTGGCCAGAACCCCAACGTTCTGGCCCTCGCCTGATTCCTCTCTCCGACCACTCCCCCGCCACAGAAAACTGGCTCCCGAAATCTTAAGATCTGAGCCTAAAGCGACAGTGACTTTAAAGAATATGCAGTTTGTGGGTGGAGAGTCTTGCTTGCTCCAAGCCGGTGTTACAGCGCCCAGAGTTTACACAACATTTGCCTGAGAGTCTCCTTGAATTTGCATCTAGTCTAAGCTGAAAGCAGCGCCACTCTTGTCATTTCTATGGCAGGGATCTTCCCTCCCCTTTCCCCTTACCCCCGACTTTTCTGTGGCCAACTTTTCACCACCACCCATAGCTGGCAGAAGCTGTACATGACTGCACTTTAAGAGGTCTGTACTGGGAGCACATTCTTCCCGGGCTCTGAATCTGTCTGGAGAGATCTGCATTCCAGAAGATCTAAGTCCATACCCGTCCGGCCCTTGGTCCCACGGCTCTGCCAGTGGCTGGAGCTGTCGGACTGGCTCGGGTGCGCCCAGGCACTGGTTAATTACCTCCCGGAGAGAGGCGGCTCCGCTGCGGGCGCCCGGCCCGCCGCGCGCTAAAGAGCCTGACGGCAACTTACTTGACAGCACCAAAAAGGGGACGCGTCTGGCTCAATACCCATCACCTCTTCTCCTGCTTGCAGACCTTAAGTCCAAGCTGTGCTTTTCGGCACCTCTCCCTGTTTGGCTCTCTTCTTTTTGCCGTCGCGTTAAGCAAAGTACAATAAAGGAAGATCACTTCCCTGTGGTATCTTTTTCATTGCGTGGTCTCCCTAGCAACACTTAAGTTGCCACTCCTAAGACAAGATTAGTTTTTTGTAAATTTCAAATTGCACCTTGCTGTATTGAAACTCTTCTCACTTGCTGGGTTTTGAGTGAAATCTCTTCCCTCCCACCAGGACCCCATTCTGGTCACCCACTCTTTTGAACCGTTGTTGGGGACGAAAATACTAGGTTTAGAGTAGGTGAAACGGTCAAAACCAAATTTCTATTAAATATCAATTGTACTAAAATAATTTCAAACCAACTTGATCCAAACTTTGCTAGAAAGAGTCAGGAATAAGTGAAAAGGGAGAGAACACTAATATCTTAAGTTAATGGGTTTCTTGCCTATAAAATGCCCTCAATAAATTTATTTGAAAACTGCTTCTGTATAGTAACATGAACTACAATACATTTCAGGATAAATTATTATCTATTTGCCATAGTATTGCAAGGAAAATTTTCAGTAAACTAAAGCAAAAGTTTAGCTTCAAAACACTTTATTTTTATGTCCCATAAGACATACAAATATTTTATTAACTCCTTCACGGGTTAACAATTTAGTTTGTTTTCTCGAAACAGCCATCATCAACACACTGCTTTCTCATAGCACTGCTTGCACAAACTTTTTGTCTTTTCTTAGTCTGCAAAGTCACTGCTGAATTCTCCTCAAAGATTATTTTTTTCCCGTAGTTTGGTCATTTTTTCCATCTCAAGAGTCATTTTGCCCAAATACTAAGGTAAATCCATGCTACTAGAGAAACTCGGCCATGCCGGAAACTAAACTAGCAACACGACCCTCCTACGAAAACGGGGGACAACTCACGTTAGCTAATGCAGTTTGGCATCTGAAGTGTGCAGCATAGCGAAGACCTGTTGAATAATAGTGACTTGAAGACTCGAATATTCTAGACTAGGATCCATCTCCCACTATCTAAACCCGCAACTGAAATATCTACATAATGTTTGCATATCTTTGGCCAGTACCCTTTGGGGGAGCTTCCAGGTGCTGAGCTTTCTTCCATCTTTGGATAAATTCGTTCTAGCCTTCCGGAGTTCAGGAGCAAGCAAAGGGAATCAGGTGCAGAGAAGGACGTGAGGTTTTCCTCTGTCGGGGCTAGGGGAGTTGTGGAGATTTGGGGTGGAAGGGACAGCGCTTATTGAACTTCTGGGTGCCTAAGGTTTACTCTCTCAGTCTGGGTTTTGGGAATCGCTTTCTTTCACAAGGGATTTCCTTTATGACTTGGAGGAAAGGGGTAGTTAAGATCTGCATTTCATTAATCAAGAATTTCTTACTTTTTTTAAAAAAGTATGCTCCTAATCCAGTTTCAGAATGACTTTTCTGGATTATTGTAAGTACGTCAGAAACTCCCAGACCTGAGTAGAAATTTCAGAACCACTTTTGCCAGAGAAAACTGTGAAGAAAAGAAGCATGGGAAACTCATTTTCTTTATAATAAATCAGAACATTGAGGATACTGATCAGGTCCCCCTGAGAGGAGCATCTTCAGTGATGTTTGTTCGCCATCTGTGTGTGTTCGGTGAAAACTCTAAACCATTTTACAGCATAGATTACTATTTTTTTCCTTATTATCCAGCGTTTGTTTCAATTAAAACCCTACTATTCCATAGGATTGCTGCTGTTGTATCCATTTTTTTCCCCTTCAAAGTCTTTTAAAATAAGTTTCCTTGTCTCTTGCCCATTTGTCAATGTCAAGTATACACTGCCTATTTAGTTAAAGAAAAGTGTGTATTTCATATGTTATAAAAGAACAGCCTTCTTTATTTGGTTTCTTGGAAATCAATAATCTCTTAAACGTTTACCAAGACCCCTTGGGGAAAGGAGAGATGTAAACAATAACCACCAAACTTCAACATGACAATATCGGTTAAAATCTGCAGGATGATCATTCGAATGTGGAGAGGTAAAGGGGGATGATTTCAAACTCCCGCGATTACGGAAGAAGGGACCCCAGGTGTCGGATGCCTGGCTCCATCCTCTGCAACTTGCAAGGGAGTTACCTTGGAGAGTGGGGAGTTAATTCTAAACTTCTTTACCAGGCATTTTAGTAGCCACGCTGGTCTTCAAATAATTTAATTGGGAGGTGGCTGGATGACCACAGAGAGGTTGCAAAAGATAGTTATCCCCATTAAAAGAAATACCATGATTTCAGTCTTTCCTGACATAATTAAAGGCTTTGGTAACACTCCTTTATTTTGCCTCATGCTGTGAAAAAAATCACTTACTTCTCCAGCAAATGAAACTTTAAAATAAATTCTGCAGTTTAATTTCTGCTTTTAAAAGTTAGTAGGTATACGAGGAAACAGAGAAAGCATTAGAACAACTGAGTTACACTTCAGCTATTTAGCAGTTTAACATTAGAAGGAAGAATACAGCCAGTTTTCAACTTAGCCAACTTTTAAAACTACATGTGTTCCTGGAAAATAATACCCGACTAGAGTCAATTTGCATGAGATTCTAAGCTAGGATCTCAAGAAGGTGATAAAATATATGAAATTTCTTGAGTAAATGGTTGGGGAGGATTTGTAAGCATCTGAGGATCTAGTGATCTATTAGAAGCACAATGCACTCAAATTTGAATTTTCATGATCAACTTTCAACCCTGAAAAAATGAGAGCCATTTGCTTAACTTAATCTGTAACATATGTTTGCACCAGTAGCAGGTTTTTTGGTGTGTGGCTGGGGCTGATCAAGTTGTAAATTTTCTGCTTTAGGTTTTCAGCGCCTGCTAGTTTCAGCCTAACACCTAGAGAGAGTCTTTGCGGGGTTCTTCACCAAAGCAGCCAAGGTTTGACAAAAGGTTTCCAAACCACCGAGCTCTGTGTGTTGTTAATTTCCCCCAAAGGTAGAACATTTCTATACAAATTAGTTTCCAAATCCTAAAAGCAAGTAACAAGTTAAACTCTCCCATGTCAAAGTGTTTAAAGTTATAAAGAGATATTTTTAATTTGCAACCGTTGCCTTCCTCACCAGCAATCCTTTCTTTAAAAAACAGACAATGGTATGAGAGCAGTGGGTGCTGTGAAAATGACATCTTCATTCGACAAAACAATATTCAGGTCTTTTTGGCTTATCTTAATTTTTTCCACCAGAAATTTAGAACTACTGATTTTCTCTCTTCGTGCTTCAACACAAAGGAATCCCTCCAAAAGTGTTTTGAATATCTGAGAAGAATCATTTAGTGATTGAAATAAATATACATTAGAATCCACAAATCATTCTTCTTGTGAAACAAGCTGTGTAGTGACTTTCATTACTAATATTAAAATATATCTCTTTGTAGACATAAATTTTTAGTACTTGGGCTATAAAGAAATCATAATACTTTTTCAATCAATTAATGCTATCTCATAATGACAAATGAAAGTAATAAGTTCCCCACATCAGCCTGATTCATCTTCGAGTGAGAATGGGGAGTAGTGGTGGGAGAGGGTGGTGGACTCTAGTGGGAAACCTCGACGATTGTAAATCACCATCTGGACCTGCTGAGTTGTCCTCTTGAAAACCTCAATCACATTCTTGGAGGAAAGTTACTAAGGTGCCTTTTTAAGTGCACCAGAACAGGTAATTGAACCACACATGTGCCCTAAATTTAGGTGCAGAGTTTCCCTGAATTTCATTATTATATGGATTAAGATGGGCAGCTCCCACCTGGACGATACCTTAATCAAAAAGAGAAAAAGTGTGACGAAAACAAGGGCAATAATAACATTACCAGCACTGTACTGATCAAATGCCCACAAATAGTTCAGAACAACGGTGCTAAAAAGCCGCTTTAATTCTGAAACAGAAAGTCCTGAGACACCGAGCGCCATCTAGCAAGCAAAGTTAGAATCAAAGTATGCCTGAGTCAAGCACAGAGCACAGAAGGACAGGGGATGGGGAGGTAAAGGGGGACTTCGAGATCACTTGCTGTGATTTAACCATCCACCCAGTCTCACCTGAGCCCAGAGCTACCTGCAAGTTTCTGCTCTTCGCCTCACCGACCAGCTCAAATAAACCTAACAACTGAGGTGAGACAGACCGTTTCTGCCTCCAGCCAAGGCTAAAGGACAGCTCCTCGCAGGATTGCTTATTGTCTTTAATTAGAACAGGCCGCTTCTCCATCCCCTCCTACCACCTCCCCAAAATCAGCCTAGTGTCTAACTAGTTTTGCACCTTCTTATCCAAATGGGGACAAAGAGCAGTGCCTGAAAGGCTCACCTTGGGCTGAAATGATTCCCAGGGCTTCAGCGCAGAGGAAAGCGCATCGCTGGGAAAACATAGCACGATATGAGAAGTCACTCTGAGTTTACAAGGCTGCCCAGACGCCTCCTGACAGGCGATCTGAGCTCTCTCCGAGTGGCATAAGACACATATTTACTTAACAAGCCACTGATGGTCATGGAAATGGAATGCTGCCTCCTAAATATAAATGCTGTAACTTTATTCTTCTCCAGGCAACTGGGTCTTTGATATTTTCTTTGGCTGAAGAAAAGTCAAAGGTAGCTAGAAAGCTAGAAAACTACCCTGTTAGTGTGTAGCTTGAAGGGGGTGGGGGTGGGGTTGAAACACTTTTTAAAAATAATTTTAAAGTTTGAATAATGTTACCTAATTATATGAATATTCTTTGGAACTGGGCTAACAATGTAACTACAAAATAAAGCTTCTGGGATTTCAATGTGAAGAAAGTAAAGAATAATCTGCTGGTTTCTGTAGAGGCAGGTACCGCATATTTTTCTTTTAAACCAGTCCATCTGAATTCAAAAGACTGAGAGAGTTCATCTCAATAATATGTGTGCTTTCTAAAGAGTCTTTCTGGAATTTCATTTTAAGGCTGGAAAATAATCCAGTGTATATACATGCTAGTCTTAAACTACTCTTAATTTCCTGCTATTGAATATTGCCTCTATAGTAGCTCATTGATTCACATTGTTCTTAGAATACAGAGCCAGAGCTAGGCTTTTCTATTGTTCTCTCCTCATCTCCATGTCCCACACACAATTTTTTTCCCAGTGAAGTGAAGTTTTGTAAAATAACAACAAAAACAAAAACAAAAAAATTAGAAAATGAAATATTAAAATATTCCTGTTGAATATCAAATGCTACTCCAATCTCAGGTTTGCTACTTAATGAACACAAGCACAATAGATATGAAATAACAGTCCTCTTGATTTTTCTACTGTGCTATTTGCTGTGCAAAACAACCACATTAAGAATAAAGGAAGCATGAGATAAGAGTATGCTTAACACACTCACAGGTCATAGAACTTACAGGAAAAAAAAATCTCAGAAAAATCACAACCCACCCAACAAACCTAAGCCAATAAAGAGAGACTTCATAGTTTAACCCACAATTTAGAACACATCTAATACATTTCTACAAAACCTCCTTTTCTCCTTATGCCTGAAAATATGTGTAAAGATCTGAGGATGGACAGTAGACACAATTCATGCTCTCTCTTATTTCCCTCTCCCTCTCTGAAGTTCAGAAGAAAAGTTCCCAGGGCAGTCTTGCCTCCGGATGCCAATAAAAATTTAACTTTGTGTGTGTGTGTGTGTGTGTGTGTGTGTGTGTGTGTCTTGTTAAATAGTACATTTCTCCCATCAAGGTCTTCTTAAACACGGAACCTTCTCCTAGACAGGGTACCCAGCTGTTTAATTTAACATTGATTTATTGCTTTTAAAAGTAAATTTACACACATGCCAGCAGCGCTCCGTTTTGTTTCCCCAGACCCTGAGATTTATTTTCTACTTAGCGCTTGTCTGACAAAACAATGTCCTTTAACTTTATTACACATCGATAAGGAAATCTGTCTTATTTTTGTTCAGATTTATTGCTGTGTTACTTGTGGGGACTTTTGTGATCCAGAAAGGCTCAGGTCCGAAAATAAATAGAAAATTAAACAGAGTTGATCACAAAATAATGATCAAAACCTTACAATATTGTCCAGCCTATATCAGCCTGCTGGGGGGTGAGGTGGGGTGGGACAGAGGATGATGCTCCCCTAGTGAGCACAGTTGCTCTGGAAGAAAACAAAATGTCTTTAATGGGCAGGTAGCGTTTGAAGGTGGAGTAGCCAAATCTGGGTTCTGTAATATCTCCAAGTTCTTGGTTGAAATGTATTTGGGATTACAGGGCAGGGAGGTGCATCTGCGGGACTCCCCACCCTATGGCGGCCTTACCTCCGTGCAGAACTCCCAATTATCACGCGTTCGTGATGACTGAGCCCAAGGGAATTAAGATGGACTTTGAAGCAGCTTTTACGGTACACTTCATCTACATTTGGGTTTTCTTTAGTTCTCATTAAAAGGGCCACTTTCTTCTTTTCATTGATATATGTCTTTGTGTCCTTCATTTCACACTCTTAAAAAAAGTTCTCTCATCAGATCAAGTGCAAAAAGGAGGGGACGACATAATAACCATCATAATCATGATAACAACAACAACAACAAACAAGTGGTACTGTGGGTTTAAATCTTTTTTAAAAGAAGGTTTTCTCCTCTATATGGCATGGCCCTCCAATTAAAAAAAAAAAAGCTGGGGTTGAGAATGAGGATAATAAAAGTGTTTCTAAGGTTAAATTACATGAAGGCAGGCTTAAAAAAAAATCTCTGAATGTGATGAGCTTTCCTCTCCCATCCTGATTTCTCACAGAGACATTCAGTAATCACTTTAGAGCTGTTCACATGAGGAAATGAGGACACTATCTTTTCTAGTAAGAAGTGAAGATGTGACAGGTTTTGTTATTGGAATGAGGGAGAACTTCGTAAGATATTCCCTTTTTTCGCCCCTACAAACCCAGCATCTTTAAAACCCCCTGTCTGAAAGCGTGACTCGTCTGTTGCCTTTCCACTCTGGTCAGTGGGTCCTCGAAAACACCATAACATGTTTCAATAATTCTGACAAACCCATGAAGATTTTTTAAAGTTAATGAATCATTCTTTCTCCTGAAAACACATAAAAACACGTTTGTGCACGCAATTCCAATCTAATGAGAGAAAGAAAGAAAAGGGAAGGAAGGAAGGAAAGAAGGAAGGAAGGAAGGAACGGAGGGAGGGAGGGAGGGAGGGAAGGAAGGAAAGGAAGGGAGGGTAAGGACAGAAAGGAAAGAAAGAAAAATAGGAAAAAAGGAAAGGAAAAAATATCCCTCTTTAAAAGGGGGGAGGTGGAGTAACTGCGAAACATTGAAAATTCTCCTATTCATATTAGGAGCTTCTTCTTCTTCTTCTTCTTTTTTTTTTCTGTTTGCCCTTTGAAAAGGGGTCCTGTCACTCAGAAAGGGGCTGTTTCTTCAACCTCCTCCCCATCCACCCACCAGCCGGCCCCCCTCAGCCTCGCAGCCGGCCCCGGCCCACCCCGCGGCCCTCCCAGCGCACACACAGTTTCTTCCAAGTGCTTTTTCAAGTAAGAGCCGGAGAGATGAGAGGTGCGGCTTCTCCAGCGCGGAGCCAGACAAGTACTTCTCATCCCGGCGGAGCGCGGCCCGGCGCGGCCAGCCCGAGGCCCGGACGTTCTATGTCAAGAAGCCCCACGGCCCCCCGGGCTGGCCGCCCCTCCCCGCGGCTGGACAGCGACGTCGCGCTCGGGCCTGTCACGTGGCCGCGCCCCCCCGTGCCCCCGCGGAGCCCTTTGTTAAGCCCCCGGGTCTCCACGCGCGGCCGCCGTGGCTGGGGCGGTGCCGCATGGTGGATGCGCCCGGAAGACGATCGGGGTACCCTGGCTTTGCCTCGGCTCACCACGCAGCCCCCAAACACCTTGGGCGGAGGCCCCAAGCACTTGGCAAATCAAGATTCTCAGTCCTTTGAGGAAAACGGCCCTGGGCCACCTCCAGTGTTTCAAACCAAAGGCACAAAGTGGGGCAAGGGGGCCAGTGGAGGGCGCGCCTCTGCACAGGGGTGTAACCACTGGGCTGACTTCCCTCCTCCTTTCCATTCCGCCTCACCAGTTCCTCGCCTTTTTTTTTTCTCTTCTCTTATCCTCTGCCACGCTCAGAGGCTCAGTGGGTGGGAGTGTGTGTGTAAATGTGTGTGTGGTGTGTGTGTGTGTGCGTGCATGTGCAGTTAGGTGAAATTTCATAAGAATATGTCCTAGGCTTATCAACTTGCTAGGTTGAGGGAGGATGTTCTCCAGTAAATGGACTGGAGGGAGAGTTTAAGCGACTTATTTGGGAGGAAATAGGGGGTCAGATTTGGTCTAAGTGGAACATCTGCAAAACATTCAAGCAGCTTATTCAACAAAGAATCTAGCCATTTATTGTAGAAATAATAAAAAGCCACTAATGATTATAGTTCCCACCCCTTCCCCCAAAAGGCCAAATCATAATGAAATAATTCAAAGGTAGGCCTCATTTCCTAATAGTGGAATTAAACAACAACAAAAAAGAGCCCAACTAAACTTTCCAGCTCGGCCTTCTTAAGGGCCTGGGAACCTTGCTGAGAAATTAGGTAAATAAAAGGCGAGATGGAATTTCTGTTGAGCTGAGGCTGCAGTGCCCCGACTTGCACATAGTTCTGCCTTGATACGCAATTAAATTACAGTAAATTCCTCTTTAAATAATAAAATTTGGAAGACTCCTCAGGATTCGAAGATGTCTGGGGTTAAGTAGCTTTTAAAACGTCAGTTTTTAAATGGCTTGTGCAATGAATAGCTACCTTTAAATTCTAAAACCATTATAAATGTGCTATACATCTGGGTGCTAGTTTGTCTCTCCATATTTCTTTTTAAAATGAGGAAAGAATTCATAAAAAGCTACTTGGCACACTTTATTTTAGGAAAGCAGATGTTAATTTTTTCACGTATCATTTTATGACCAAGTACATGTGTAACGTTGGAAAGCATCCAGAACGCCTCTATTATTTGCTAAATGACTGTTAGTTGAGGCGTATTATTCTCAGCCTAACCACGGTATAGGTTATATCAATAAAGTAAACATCTGTGATTTTTTTTTAACCAGGGGAGGGGGTGGGTAGAAAGAGTTACCATAAGCGAGGCAGGGAGGGGAGAGTTTAGGTAGGAAGAGCACACCTGCGTTGTAGCAAATAGAATATTTATATTGTTCGGTGCAAAACAAAGTCCCTCAGTCAGGCACTCGGGGTTATTTACATGGCGGGAGATAAAGTTGAAAGCCTTTTCCGGCGTGCCAAATGGGATTCTCCCAGTGGCCTTCTGCGTAGCAAGATAACTGGTACCGAGTGCTCCTGGCGGCGTCGGGCCTTCTCCCGCCAGCTCCCCTTCCCTGCACGCCAGCCCCAGGCCCAGACCGGGTTGAGCCAGGCGCTCAGGCTCTAGGAATTCCCAGGCACCGCGGAAATTTCAGCGGGGTTCCCAGCCTAGAAATATGCTCAGGAAGCGTCCTCATTTGCCCTGCGTCGCTCGAGGACGCCGGCGCCCAGGATAAGCCAGTGGGGTGATAATTAATGGAATACAATATTTATGGTCCGATGTATTGACTCTGAGGCAAGCGCGCCGTGTAGAGTCCGTGGGGGTCTGACAAACAGGGGTTAGTGAACAAACATAATGACCGGAGTACTTATGTCTATCCGGTTTACTCACTTAAACCCAAGGTATGTAACATCACGATAAATATTAATATCCACCTCGACAGACCCTCAGCACCGCTGTCCTCCTAAACTCTCCCTTCCTGAGCGCTGCCCTTAACAAAAAGGCCAGAGAGGAGGTTTTTAACATAAAATGCTGCAAATATGAAAAATAGGTCACCAATAAAATTGGTCTCAGCATGGAGCGTAATTGCAACAAAGTGCCGCCGAGTAAAATCGAGGAGTGAGCTGGCTGAGGCGGCACAGTCGCGAACCATCTGGTGTGTATTAAGAGTGGTGCTGTAAATATTGCTGAGAGCTAATGCATTATCGGCTTCTATAAGTGCACAGGGCCTCTAAGCTTTCCATATGTTAGAATATGTAGATCGGGTGAGAGCAAGGAAAGGTGTCTTATCAATCACAGGCTTCTAAAGCATTGTTTTGCCCACTCTTTGTGGATTTTTGGCCCCCCAAAGTGTAGGATATACATTCTCATTCTCTCCCCCCACCACCCTTTTTCCTCTTCTGTCAATTCCTCTTTCTCTTTTTCTCTTGCTCTTTCTCCCAGCTCCTTCCTTCCATACCCTCCTCCTCTCTCCCCTCTCTCCAAGGGGATAGGGCAGGCATTGCTGACGTCACTTCACATCAGTAAAAGAGAGTAACTGTTTCAGAGAGGAAGAAAAAAATCATCTGTTTTTCATCAGTACTAAAGTTTTGCCTCTTTAATAGAAATGGGCTGCCCAGGCTGAGTACTCCTTGTGTTTTGAAGCTTATAATCACTACTACCCCCTTTTGGAGGGTGGCCCAAGAGGTGGGGAGGTGTTCTTCATCCTGTGCGCTGATTCATTTTATATGTGGTTCTAATGCCAGAATCAGCTCAAATAGATGAAACTAATAAGGTGCAAAGATAATGTCTTCTAGAGATTTCACATCTACACCTCCTAGGCAACTTTTGTCAAGGAGAGTGGAGGGCTCCTGGTTCCATGACACTTCTGCTTTGAGTCCTGGAACTTCTTCCTTTCTCTGGAGCCTCCCTCCATAATTCCACCCCCCACATACCTAACCGCCACACACAGCACAGCTAATAAATTTCCTGCTGTCACATTACTTTTCTGGGGAAAACAGAGTCCTCCTTTTCCTGATGATACCCCACATCTAAGAGTTTACTATAATTACCCCCCATCTCCTCTGAACCCCTCTCCACATATTCCTCAGCTACAAGTTTTTAGTCAAATCCAGTGCTAGGAAGTTTATTTACGTTGTCCCACAGAGATCATTTTCTCTCCTTCAAAATTGGCCTGGTCTGTTATTCTTCCTACTTTCCTTCTCCTTCCTTTTCTCCCCACCTCTACCTCCTGTGCACATATAGTACAAACCTCCAGCACTTCTAATGTGGATAAACCTGCTGGTCATGACAACCCAAGTTCAATCAGCAAATAAATAAAACTCTTACTTTTCTTTTTTGGCTGCCGGCTGCACTCCCCCTCTGGCCGTTGCCTCCTTTAATTATAGGAGCTATATTTCTTCCCTGGGAGACATTCGAGGGGATTTTTAGTTGGAAACTCGTTTCTGCTGAGTTATTTTGGAGCCAGGACCAGTGAGTGAGTGGCCCGTACCCAGAGGCTTTGAGTGAAGTGCAGATTGAGACATATCGAGTTCCCTTTAAAAGGATCATTTCATGTGGGAGGCTGGACACAAAGTTTGCACTCGTGACTGGCATTCCAGTGAGAGACATGCATATTTTAAAACAACAAAGCAAGCTGGAAAGAAAGCTTAGGGGAGGGGGAAAAACTTGGAAAGAAGTTACTAAGTGACAAACATCTGTCAACATGGGATAATTTGTACACTCCAATGTAAAACTATCTGCCTAGTTTGATGGAGTTCAAGGAACAGGATCTGGGAGAGCAAAGTGGATACATATTTATCCCCGTTGAGATATGGCTAAAAGACACTTCTCCCCCAAATAGGTGTAAGGTCATTAAAACTGCATGATTGAGCATAATTTTTAAATGCTTCTTACAACAATAGAAATTTCTAAAATTGCATTTTTCTGATAGTTAATACAAAACTAGATCTATGTAATTTTAAGATGTATTTCATTTAAAGAACAATGGAGAGCAATAAAATAATGAGCAAGATGCTTATTACAGAAAACAAAATGAATTTTATCTCATAATAAAATATGACCAAGAGAAAGAAAGCGGGGTGGGAAGCTCAAACAACCCCTGATTGCTATGTTCTAGAAAGTTTTAACCGAAAGTACCAGCTTTACATGTGTATGTGAATCAAACATGTAAACATCCACCTCTCTTTGTGTAAACAAGGAAAAATGGCAAAATATTTTCAGAGAATTTTTCTCTCCCATTTAAGTTTGAAGTTTCAACAAGCATATTATACTTTGAGAGAGAAAAGCAAAAAAGTTCCCTCTTTAAGAGGAAAGTTTTTAAAAGCAGAGTGAAAGATCAGGCAAGATCCTGGTATGTCTTTTTTTAGGCACCGAATCTCCAACAACCACATGGAAGTTCAGGCTCCAGCTTCCACCGAGAAATCTTTTTCTCCTCCAGATCTGAAGACAAAAGGAGAGGAGGCCTGGTGGTGAGCGGGATATCTCTGTTAGTTGTCAGCGCAGGTCCATGGGTTAGGAATGCTAATGAGCCTCTTGGCCAGCTGAAGACTTGGTTCTCTCTCTCGCACACCCTGACGCTCACATACACTCGGGCTCCTGCATGCCGACTGACAAGCACACAGACAGAGCCTCGTGCACGACCCTGTCTCTCTCCTCTTTCCTCTGAGCCCAGAGATCGATCGCTGACCCCACGGTTGGGCCAACGCTTTATTTATCTGGCTGTGCAATGATATTATCAGCCTTAAACGTTATATACAGCAAATGTCTTCCTAAATCAACACAATAGGATAGCTTGCAGAGACCAGCCTGGTCTTTCTTAAAGAAATCCCTCGCTATCTCTTTCTCTTTTTCCTCTCCCCTGCAGGCACCCCTTCTTCCTTCCTCCTTTTCACCTGGGGGTATTTTATATGCTGGACTTGGGGATTTGATCCTTTGCTTTCAGCTTGGTTAGAGGAGGCCTTCGCAGACCAGGAGATGGATAGACACCATTATCCAGCCATCACTGAGATCCCCATCAGGGGTTCCCTTGTCAGCCGGATCCAACTGCCTAAAGCCACTCTATTCACATGATCCGAATTTCTCAAAATTGGGGTAGAAGAGAAGGCCAGGGGTGGGGAATGGAGTGTGCAACCTTGCACCGTGTTAATTGTTTTCTTTCCTCTCAATTACATTCATAAACCTATTTTCTGCATTGCATGTTATTTCTTTGTGCTTCAAAATTGAAATCACGTGCAGCTTTCTCCCTTCCGCACACACAATAAATGCGCTGCCCCCTCCCCCAAACCCATCACGCAACTGTTTACATCTTGGTTACTCACTCTGCACTTCGGCCCCCGGAGAAGAAATTGGCCCCGTGGGACTTGGTGAGGCTTTGTGAAAGCATCTCTCAAATCCGTATCTCGGGCCCCCGTTCTGGGAGAAAGGCTCCTGGATTCGCCTCCCGGGCCTCCCCACCACCCCCTCCTCGTACAGGTGGTTGAGGCTTACACAGGGAGAGCTAGTAGAGAGGACATCCAGGGAGAAAGGCAGCTCCGCAGTGTCCGGCCAGGACTACTCACAACCCACCCCACACCCTGGCTCGCCTGCCAGCCGGGGTCAGCTGTGACCACGGGCGTGCCTCTGCCAGTCCCTGGTCCCCACACCCTGGGCGTAGCAGATCCCGCACAGGGAGAGGCTACTCCCTGGGGAGCATTCCAACCCCAGGTTCTCCCAGGCAAAGAAGTCCCACTATAAATAAATAAATAAACTCCAAAGGGGGGGAGGGGGAGCTGGAAAATGGATTCGCTGACAAGGAGAGATAATAAATGAGAGGCGCTTTCAGATAGATATCTCAGACGTGAAATTGCGCCCAGCTGGTTGTGTAAGCAAACAAATAGTTTCATGTTAGGAACTCTCAACTTGTGACTTGATGAATAGGACACGACAGAGGTAAATGGGTCTTTAACTCATTTAGGGATACAACTCTTTGGCTTCCCAAGTAAAAGGCCCAGTGACGCCACGGATCCTGAGCAGGCCCTTTAACAAGAGTTTTATTAGTTCCCACTTGTGTCCCCCTCCACTCCTCCTCACACTCCTCATGGTCTGCTATTTGCAGAGACATTCAGGTGATTTGTTCTGAGGAATTGCAGAGCTCACAGGAGGCAATTCTGCCACTGTAGGAGTTATAAGGAGTGCCTACGATGAAAGAAGAGGAGAAAGATTTTTAAAAATAAAATCCCCCCACCCCCCTACATGCTTCAAGCAGACAAGCTCAGGTGGGCTCAGATAGAGGGGACTCCAGATCCCCATCACCCCTGAATGCAAAGCTGGGTGGTCGGACCTCTTGGGAGCCAACCAAGAACCTTTGTGGCTGCCAGAGTTTAAGAGCCTGGACCAACTGGAAGGGTGGAGTCCCCAAAGCTCATGGTTCTCCTGGTGAGCAGGAGGGACCCACATTCCCACCACAGGCTTCCACTCAGCCTGGTCCCAGGTTGGGATGTGCGTGTGGGAACAAAGGTCATACTTTTCCTCCCTAGCACCAGGCCTTGTCCCCTGGCTGCGGATAAGGTGCAGACTCCTTCCCTAGTGATTCCCAGAGAAGAGCACGTCCTGAGATGGCTTTTCTGATGTTTTCCACAAAGCTTGTGGCTAAGGTAGTTTAAACAGACTTCAAAGCTCCTAAAGTTCTCATTTGTCCAGCAAGCCTTTGGGTTAGAACAGCGAACGTTTGACTCTCCTAAGTCACTGGTGATTTCGAGAGGGAAGTCATCTTATGTGGCAACCTCCAACTGGTAAGAAGAATTTCCTCTTGCCCTGGGGAAAGAGTCGGCTCTGCCCCGCCCAGTTAGCCCAGCCCTACTCTCCTGACTCTTTAGGGCTGCCACCGCCCCTGCAGGAGAGGTGTGGCTGCGAGCCCAGGGCGACTGCCCGGCCTACACCTGCTGGGAGCCTCAAGCCCCGGTTCCACGGCTCCCCCTGGCGCCCCGCATGAAGGTGGGCTCACTGCTCAGGAATCTTCTGGAGGCCACCCAGGCAGAGGAGGCTCCCAGCTACTCCACCTCGCCTCCTGCCCAGGTCCTGGGCCACAGCCGCAACCGGGGGCTGGGGAAACACAGGACGCTGAACCCGGGGCAGCCTGGCCCCTACTGGGGCCTGTCCCTCCGCGCCGAGAGGAAACCGCTGACCGCTCCGCCCTCAGCCCGCAGGACTGGCCACTGTCAGCCCGGCCTGGGTCGGGTGGGGGAGCCTTCACATCGCCAGAACTGAGAGCAAGGGTACTTCCCAATTATCAGAAGGCTCAACTCGTTGCTCAGATAGACGCGTCGCAGCTCCCAAACTTCCCTTAGCGCGTGCAGATTCCTGTCTGCCCTCTCTGTGAAGGAAAGCCAAGGGCTCCTGCAACCTGTTCGGCCCGGCGGGGACGGCCACATGACCTCTGATTCAAGGCAGACTCTGTCTCTCTCTGGATGAGACACACAGAGACCTCCGGTCCTGGAAAGACGACTGACTCTCTGTGGGTAATGCAGACAGGGGCCACCCCAGTCACAGAAGAGAAAGAGGAGAAACCCACTGCGGGGAGATGGGGTGGGCAGGACGCGCCTGCGGAGCACTGGAGAACCCCCACCTCTCCCTTCCCTTCAGCCCTAGGGCCTCCTGCTCCTAGAGGAGCCCGGGAGGGAGGCTGGGCGGCCATAGGAGGGCCTGCACTTCTTCCTAGGCTGTGAAGATTGGCCCCAGGCTTGAGCCCAGCCTTAGAAAGGTCGCTGGGATTCCCGAGGTCATGGGCAACGTTCCAGCCTCGTGGAGCAAGAGCCAAGTTAACCACTGTCACCTCTGGACACTAGAGCACGCGCGGGTACATCTCGGGCTACTGCAGCTGGCGGGCCAGTCTACACTGGGCGCCTTGCGCTTGGGCCTCCATATTGAGATTAATTGAAAAATACGTTTCCGACCTACGAAAATGTTTATCTGTTTTCATCAGAGGGATCACACTGTAATGAATATATTTACATCTCATTTCAAGAAAGGCAGGAAAGATCGCTGAGCTCTCCGAGGCAGCTCGTCTCCCCTCCCCCTCGGAATCCGGTTGCAGCCCACCCCACCCCAATCCGGATCCGGCAGCCAGTGGGGCTCCCTGATACTTCTTGGGAAGCGGTCAGGGGTTAACTATGGACTCTCCCCAACCCCTCCTGCTTTAGGTGTCCAACCTGCAGGGAAGTCAACAGAGGCCCTAAGACGTTATTCCTGGGCGTGGTGCAGAGTATGCGGCCCGGGGAGGGATAAAACGGGTCCCAGTGGCTCCATATCCTACCTGCCTGGCCGCCCTAGCTCAGGCCGGTCCCCAGGCTGGCCCAGGCTGCGGATCGTGGGCCTGCAGTGGCATCTTCACAGAGAGTGCGGCACTGCCCATGCTGCGCTGCACCCAGAATATTAAAAACCACAAGCGGGTTGGAGTGTAGGAGCTTGTTAATGCATTTGGTGGCGGGGGGTGCCGGGGAGACGTGGAGACTTCCAGATAGCACACTGAAAGCAAAACATTGCCAGTGACTTCTGAAAGTGAAGCTCTTCCCTCATCCGGGCCTGTTTGGGGCTGAGGGAAGGGGGAGGGGTGAGAGGTGTTATTTTAAAAGATCTGGCTTTATTAATACGTTAAGAAAGAGCTCCCTTGGCAGTATGTGTTCTCGCAGCGCCCGCTCTGATCCTATAAAACATTCATGCTCCGAAAGCTGTTACAGAGAGCTGACCCCCAAGCACACCCACCGACAGGCCTCAGCGGGAGGCTTCTGCCCTCAAAGGGCCACTAGGGCCCAAATACCTCTTCTGTGAAGAACCCGCTCCAGCCCTCTGACTCCCAGGTTCCGGGTCCACGCCCCTAAGTGCCACAAGCGGGGCGGGGCAGGGGTTCCTTTCACCCATCCGAGTTCCAGGACCCTTCTGAGAACCCATGTCACAGGGTCTGGAGTGAAGGGCAAACCACAGCCAGATCTTCAGTGGACCATAAGGGGGAGCAAAGCCAGGACTCACAGCGCTGAGGCTCCAACTGTCTCCCAGAGCTGGAGAGAGGCGGGTTCTACCAGCGCCGGGCTCAGTGGCGTCTGAACGGCCCACTCCCGTCACCCCCACGTCCCGCTCTCCATGTCCCTCTGTAGCTTCTCCAGCTCAGCAAGTTCCCACATGCGGTAAAGCCCCGGTTGCCGCCGCCAGACACTGAAGCCGGCTGCGCCCCCGGTGCTTGGTGCCTGGAGACTTACCGGGCGCGCGACCCTGCCTACACCACTCCCTGGCCCAACTGAGCACGGGACCGCCCGCAGCCCACCAGGTCTCAACGGCTGAAGTCAGCGACCAAGGCGCCCTGCCTCCCCGCGGACCCCAGCCCATGTAGAGCCTGGCCCTCCGCATTTACAAAACCAAGGTAGCAGCTTGGTTTTTGGAAATGAATCTAACCAACTTTGTAGTAGACTTTAAAAGTCTCCCCTTTTACACACCAAAACCTTCAATTCTAATAATAGTTGAGGTGGAAATTAACCAAGGAGTTCTCTTCCACGGATAACATCTATCAAGCAACCAGACACATGGGTTTTGCTAAATTCTTTTATTTTTGTTTAAATTTTCACTTCAATTTTAATTCTTGAAGAACAGCCTCGACAACATATATCGCACTCATTATAAGAAGCAAAGGGTTATATCAAAAATTATTAGTATAGAATCACAGGAAATCTGGTTTGGAACCAGAAAAAAATACAAAACAGATATAGATACATAGACACAGGACAATTTTTTATAATTATTTGGAAAATGTTATTTTCCCCTAATTCTTGTTTCCTTTTTCTTTATGCGCATACGATGTTTAAATTTTACAAAAAATGAAAATAAAGACTAGTATTTTACAAAATGAATAACAATGTTCAGTGTGTGTGTGTTTCTACATAGGCTTCAGTCCACTTCCATATGTGTTGTTCCTGTACAGAATATATCCACATCCGTCCACAATAAATCCTGGAAGGTCCATTAGTTTCCTTCTGTTTTATTAAAATTCTCATGGTCCTCTCTTCCAATTTGTTTTTCTTTTTTTCACCAGACAGACACAAGGTTCTTTTTTTTGTTTGTTTTGTTTTTCCTCGCCAACGTGCTCACAGATCTGATCCTAAAAGAGTCTCTTTTTCCCATGCTTTGTAGCTCGGATTGTATTTCTGCTGGGTGGGCTGCTCCTGTCTCGGCCCTCCTCCCTCCCACCCAGCCTGCCTGGCCCGCTGCACTTCCCGGTGTCCCCGCGGCTTTGGAGTCCTTGGCCCAGGTGGGTCCTCTGAGTCTCTAGGGGGACGGGGCAGGTGGGAAGCGCCCAAGGTCTAGGAGCACTGGATGGACATGTAAGGCCAGTTGAAGCTGCTCCCAGACAGTAACATATCGCGGATGAGAGTTTCGATGGGGGTTTTACCTACCAAACGGACGAAGAAGAGCTGCTCGATGACGGAGGAGGACACGGTGCGCAGCGAGGGCAGTCGCAGCAGCAGTTTGCCAAAACGGCTGGGCTGGTTGGGGTACTGGCTCCTCACGTACTCCTCCAGTGCGCACTGCGACTTCTCCTGCAGGCTCTCGATGTGGGCCGCATCCGACAGGCCACAGGCGTCTGCCCAAGCAGCCACAGGAGGGAGAGACAGGGAAAGGGAGCACACGGTTAGGCTGACAAATAGCAAAGGCAAAATAAGCCATCAATTTTTTTTAAGGAGAAAATGGAAAATAAAAAAGAAGTAAAAGAGAAAAGAAAAATTCACCCTCCTATACCTCTCCATCCCCTTCTTCATTCCCTCCTCCCCCGCCCCCAATACAATACAAATAAAAATAAATCAAACCCCCACCAAGCCTAGGGGAGCTGGAGAGAGAGGCACACACATGCAGAGGCAGAAACCTCTCTAGTCCCTTTGTTTTTCCTCTTTCACCTTTGGATTAAATAATGTACAATGCTGGAACCATGTTTGCTGCGCTTAACAACCTGTCCTCGGCCTGCAAGGGAGCATCTTTCTGGCCGTGCTCATTAACTTTTGCCCCATTTGCCTCTGATCTGGGGGTGTTCAGTACCCCTTAGGAAATATGCAGCCTGAAGGCAGTTCTTAAAGGATTCCTGGAGTCCCCTCTCAAACCCAAACCACCCCAACCAGAAACCTCCAGGAGAACCTAGATTGTGTAGTGAACAAACACATGGGAGGGGGTAAGGAATCATGGGCTGGCAGTGCCTGGAATCAGATGAAGCCCACGCTTTAGCAATATAGGATTTCAGATCCGTTATCTATGCAAGAAAGGACTCTGCAGCAAATCCTTGGTGAGGGTGTACACTTCTATCTATACCTTAGATCAAGTAATTGAAAATTGGTCACATCTCTGTAAGCTGTATAATAATCAGGAAGAATATGACTCAGTTACTCCAGGCTGCAGAAAGGCGACATCTTCAGCAATCAGACACAAAGCTAGGCTACAGGCAGCAGCTGCTGCTGCTTCAGAACTGGGGGGGTAGGGGGGGATGTGGGTGGTGGGGAGTTGAGGGGGGACTTGGGGGGAGATAAGCTTTTGGTGGCAGGACCAAGGGAGAAAAAGGCACCTCCGCACAATGACAGCACCTCAAAATCTGTGTGCTTAGTTCATGTCAACCAAGGCCCTTCTTGGTCCTCTAAAAGTATTTCAGGACAGCAGATTATATTATATCAACTAACTAGAGGCAAGCATAGGGAGGGAAAGATGGAATAAGAGGAATGGAGTAAAGGCATCCTCTCCTAGTTCAAATACCCACTTGTTTCTTATATTAATAATAAATATTAAAAAAAAACCAGTAAGATCACAGAGGAGCCCTTAGCCAGTCAGGAGGTTGACTAGAGATCAAAGGCAGAATTTGCTAATATATAGATCTGGGAAAAAATTGATGCATGGCAATGCCCCCAAAATGACATTGTATAATTTTGAATGGGCAAGTGTGACCCTAAGAAGACACAACAAATGATTCAAAGTGAAACCTGTGTCTGCTGAGTTTCTGAGCTTTATGACCTTATATTTCAAGAACTGGGATTTACAAAGCATTCTAACACCTTCATCTACAAGGCTATGGCCTCGAGCAAAAATACAAATAAAACTAGTGATAATTCAAGAACTTCTGAGGCAAGTCCCCTTTGACCTCAGATACAGACTAGGTTCCTCTCAGATGTCTAATTACTCCAGCCAGCCAGTTGGGTATATCCACACTGGTCTGATATGGGAAGCCAAATGAGACTTTATGGCTATTAGGGCCAGGGCAGCAAGAGCTCTGTGGGGCTTTGCTGCTTAGAGAGGGGACCGTGAGTTTGGCCCTGCTTGCTAACCTGGCCCTGATGAATGACCCTCACTCAGACCCAGACCCATAATTACATAGAGCTTGCTTTACATGCATTATCTGCCTGCATGCTTATGGATCATTCTCAGCCCTAGACAATGCAATGTGAAAAGGGCCCCTTGGTATCCCGGCAGATTTTTTTTTTTTAAGATCCATCTGGCATCCCCTCAGCTCAGTAAAATATCTATCTGACATTTATGATTAGGGTCCCTGGAGTACAAGGTCACTTCCCAACTCCCAAACAGGCCGCTCCAAGAGAGACAAGAAGCCCAGGAAAGGCCTGCCTGGGTCCTGTGCTGGTTGCTTCCATTTCTTCCCTCCTTTGGAGGTGAATGCCTGTAGCTGGGCCTGCCTGCCAGGTACCAGCCAGCTAGCTCTGTGGCTTCCCTCCGGCAGGAGCCCTGGTTCTGGCCTGGCTTCCCAGTCTGGAAATTCATTCACCCCTTTGCAACAGGATTCCCTCAACTGTGGACAGAAGGTATGAGCTCCCAGATCAACTAGGGGGTTGTGGTGACAAAGCTAGGTGACCAGGGGGTGTAATACAGTATATATTTATGCTCCATGAGTTATACCCCAGATAAGAAAATGAGGCAGAATGTGCAAAATCCATGTCACACTTTTTATACGGTAGTGTCAATGTGGGAACTCTCAATATTTCTTCTACAGTGTATGGAAAAGAAATTATGTAAATAAATAACCATTACTGCTCAGGCCCTCCTGGCCTAGCCTTTGTAGTGCAGAGAATGTATTTCATGTTGTGCATTCAGAAGAGTTTAGTGTTCAGGAAATATAGATGTAATCAGCTGCCATAACTAGAAATCAAAGTTATTATTGTGCTGAAAATGGATTTATTGTATTTATGTTAACTAGATGGCTCCTTTCAGAGAAAGTCTCATTTATTTGAAGGAATATTTAGGTGTATGAACTAATGAATTTTTTAAAAAGTAAGTTCAGGTCATGACCTAGTCCTTGGATGCAGTCCAGAATATTAAGGATTAAACATACCATCCGGAGGCCAAATGTGAAAACCACCACGGGGGACCCCCGTGCCAGCTTCAAATACTTAGCCAAAGCAAACCACATTGGACAATATGTCTAAAACTGTCTTTTCCATCATTCAAAGTTTGCTTAAAAGTTGGATGACTTTGAGAAGGCTTCCCATGAATTCCCTTCTGGCTAGCAATCAAAACAAGTTTAGTCAAAAGTGGAAATGTGTTGCATGGGAGGGGGGAGGTGAATTACTACTGACAGCTCTATTTCCATTTTCAGATATTCTGCTTGCAATTTTCCAACAAAATAATGTTATTGTTCATTTCTAGGCACTCTTTGCACCTTGAAGACTTGATTCAAGAAACTTCCTTGGAAAACTTTTTAAATGAACACTTTTCACAGGAATGTTTTAGTATGGAAAGTTAAAAGGAAAGCATGAATAATTCCACAGTGTTTCCCTGCAGCCTGCACAGTCCTCACCTCTCTCTGGGAAAGGGCATGAGATTAGCAAAGTCAAGGGGGTTCAAAGAACCTTAGGGGGTGTAAGGAAAAGAGAGGAGAGACCTTTCCTGAGAAAACGTCTGTCCAGTTCCAAGTCACATTTCTGCTTCAAGACACCTCGCTGGATGAGATTTTCAAACCCCAGCTTCCCTGACACTGGCTTGCTTCCTGATGAATTTGGCTAAAGAGCCTGGTAGTAGAGAGCCAGCCAGGCCCCAGGCCTGCCAGAGCTGAGGCAGCCTGGTTGCTGCTTCCCAGGCTCTTTGTCACTTTTGAAAAACACGTTTCCATCAAGAAGACTTATTAAGATAAAATGCATTCAAATACGGAGGAGGCTATTCCATAAATCTTCCATTTGTTTTAAGGTTTGCACTTTATCCTCTTGGAAAGAATAACTCCCTCTCTCACTAGCAGACCTGCATTTGCACTGAAAGTAAAAGGGGGGCAGTCCAAGTCCATTGCTCTGGCCACCCTGCATACAAATGAGATGCTCTTGTCTAAATAAATTATCTGCTGTTCAGATCGATATTAATACTACATTTGCTACATTACAATATTGTGCAAATTTAGGAGTCATTTTAATACAATGTAAATACAATTCTTCACACATGAAAGCCAAGAAATATTGATAGATTATACCATTGCTTACTGTTCAACAAGGCCTTATGAAAGGGATTTTGCTATCCCTGTTCAAGAATGGTTTTAATTTGGCCATTGGAAAGCCTGGTTCTAGGATAGATTTATTAGGATGGTTTATTTGTTCTCCGAATGGAGGAATTAAAAACAATACTGCCAATAATGGTGGTAAAACTGCAGCTAACCCTACTCACAGTGGGCAGGGCCCAAGACCCAGTCTAAGCAGCACTACTTGCCACCAGCCTCCTCTCTGGCTTTGTCTCTATTTCTCCCCATTACCTGCTGTCCTGGGTGTTTATATGTTTCCCTCTTACAGGTTACAATAATAAAAAGCGGGGATTGTTCTCGGAGGCTCAGACCAGAGCCCTTCAAAGGAAACGTTAATGCACTTTTCTGGAAGTTAATTTGAACCATCTATCATAAGAGAAATTGTTAACATGCATGTTACCACTGCCTACACATAATTTGATATTTTTTAAGGCACTCTTAAATTTCCAGTGTTCATGTGTTTTGCATAGCTTTGGAATTCATCTTCAGGCGGGGAATCCTCCCATACTTGCGGGTTCTACAGCATTGCTTTTGTTTTTTATCTTTCTTGTTTAGATCGAATCCGTTTTTTACGACCCTCAATAACCTCACCAACTGCAAACATGAATGGTTTCCGATAAGGGAAAATCAGGCAGCGATAAAGCGGGATTATTATGATTTATTTGTGCGTATTCTTCTCTTTCCACCTCTCTCTGTGTCTCTCTGTGTCGGGAAATTCATTCAAGGAGAGTGCCACACAGGGTAAGAAGCCACATTCCCACGTTCTCTTCCTTCCCTCGCCTCCCCCAGAAACGCTGAGCTCTGGCTCACACATAACACGCACCACACACAGACACACACACAGAGACACACACACACACACACACGCGCGCGCGCGCGCGCAGCCAGACGGATCCACAGCACCGCCCCCCCGCCTCAGACACACACCCTCGGCAGCCGCGGCCCCACGTAGGGGTCCGGGCGACTAGGCCCGGCCGCCCGCCGGCCGCACCCGCGCCGCCTCGGTTCCCGCACCGCCGCGCTCCCAAGATGGCAGCGGCGCGGCCAGCCGGTCACCGCGCGGGGGTCACAGACCCGGGCCAGGCTCAGTGTCCAGCGAGGGCCCGGCCCGCCCCGCACCGGCCGCGCGGGAGGCTCCGAAGGCCAGGCCCGGGCGGCGCGGGGCCTGCGCTCGCTGCCGGCGCGGCCTGCCCTCCCCGCGACCGCAGCCTCACCTGACGTGAACAGCACGATGGCTTTGAGGCAGCTGTACTCGGCTGAGTCGACGTGTAGCGCCTTGAGCTTCTCCACCTGCTCCTGGAAGATGCGGATGTGGTCCATGAAGGCCACGACGCGGTCGGCAGACATGGGCGAGGCATGCAGGCCGGCGGCGGCCAGCAACGGCGCCACGTGCAGCGGCATAGAGCACTGGGCCGCGTTGAGCACGAACAGCTCGCTCCAGGTGAGGCGTAGCAGGGACACCTGGTCGGTGATCTGCAGATCCGGGAAGAAGGGGATGTTGCGGGCCCACTCGACGGCGCTGAAGAGCAGGCGCGCGGCCAGCTCGCAGATGTTCTCGATGCCCATAATGTTGTTGGGCTGCATGCACTGGCTGCCGTAGCGCGACGTGGGGTAGGGCTCGGCGCGCAGCAGCAGCGAGATGTAGCCGGACAGGTAGCAGTGGCCGTTGAGGGGGTCCCCGTTGGTGAGTGCGTACTGGCCTGGATTGGGCTGGGTTGGAGGCATTCTTCCTCGCTGAACCGCTGACAAAAAGAAAGAGAGAAAAGAGGCAATGTGCATCCAGGGAGCTTGCGAACATTGCCGCGCCGCAGCGTACCCAACACAATGCAGAAGCTCTTCCCGCAGCCACACGCGCCCCGCGCATCTTCTCCGGCTCGCTCTCACAGTCCACACCGCTAGGAGATCTGGGGTGAGGCCCTCCAGCTCCACAGCTCAGTGTGTCCAGCCACTGCCTGAGCCCCTGGCCACGTCAGCCCCGCCGGAGCTAGGCCTGACTCCAGGGCCCCAACCCTGGCAAGGTCAAGAAAGTGTCATCCAACCCCTAAGCCACCACGGGGGAACACACAGATAAATGAAACCCCACTCACCCCTCCAGAATGGAAAAAAAAAATCAGGGTTAAAAAAAGGCGAAACCGGAGAAAGGTTGTGGTTCTAGGCAAATGCCTAGCGGCCTCCTCATTTGCAAGCAAGCAGCGTTTTGCTGATAAAATGTTTCCACATTCTCTTAAAATGCTATAGAATAATTCTTAAAATAGACACAAGTTACATATCCTACTAACCACTTACAACTTTTGAGTAGAGAACAAGTATCCTGCACCCCTCCCTTCTCCCCTCCTCCCCGTCGCCCCATACAAAGTTCTCACTATTAAAAGCAACAGAAAATTGAAAATTTTCAAGAAAAAAAGTTGAACTTACAGTAGCCAAACATTATTGAAAAAAGTAGGAAATATAATTAATGTCTGTCCTGCGCGGTGCCACTGCAACCTGCAGCCAGCTTTTGCCCAGTGAATGCACGAGCTTTCAACTGCAAAAACACTGGATTCATTAACCATCTGAATGCAAAACGTAAGCATGCTTTGAGTTCTTAAAGCTGACCAAAGTTTTTTTTTTTTTTTTTTTAAATGTGTATGTTTTACTTCAACAGTGCCAGCGTTTTAAATTGCCATATAAACAAAGACAACTTTAGGAAAAGTTAGGGCTACTGAACTCTTCCCCCAACAAATTAATATAGATATGTTCATGTACATGTAGCTATCTTATTTCAGGTTTTGTTCTATTTTCTTAAGTTTGCTTTGATTCTAATTTTAATGCAAGTTCCAGTGCAATTGAAGCTCTTGAAACATAATGCCTAGAATACTTTTTTCTAATTATAGTTTTGAACTTGGCAGTTATTTTTCAATTAAGTGAGAGTACAATTCAAAGTTTTTTTTTTTTCAGATGCCTACAAAATCTCCCTGGAGCTAGAAATGAAGTAGTCATATTTGTCTGCTCCTTGAGATCTGAAGGAATTCAATTTCTTTTCTTGTGGCATATAAAATATAATTTTAAAGTCAATTACAAGAAGGAGTAATCTGCATTCTGCAAAATTGACTGGTTCGCTAATTTGACTATAAGACATCTTTAATGATTGTCAAGAGATAAACTTTAACTGTAAACGGCTAAATATATTTATAAGAAAAGTACTGCATCTCTTGCCACATGAACATGAAGCATATCCAAATACAACATCAAAAGTTGTGTTTTTTTTTAAAAAAAACAAACCCATACAACACAGGGATTAAATGATGTGGAAGCTCATGCTAGCTGCAGTCTATGCATTACGGCCAAATCAGAAGGATCGGTAAATGCCGTTGTAAATTGTAATTTGTATGCAGTATTTAAGCAGAGGGTGGAGTTTGATGAAGAAATAAAACGAGTATCATGCTTTAAAAAAAATGACACAACTATGAAAGCACGGTTCAGTCACAAACTTTCCTTTCAAAGTAGAGGGGTGAAAACAAGGCCACAGCTCTGGAGGAGGCGGCCCCAGCTCCGTGAAGAAGAGAGGGAACCAGTGAACGGGCCAGAAGCCCCCCTTCCCCCCTAATTAGACCTACAAGTGCAATAAATCTCACTCCTCTTTTTCCGAGCTAAGCTTCCAAAAGGATGATGGCAGCAATGAATCTATGGTTCAGGGTACTCCAGCCCCCAGCCCTCCCCCATTTTAAATAAAGGGTATGAAGAGGTGGAGGGAAAAGTGGAATGAAAAAAAACCACAGAAACAGAGTTTTCTGGGGGAAATAAGCACCCCTCCCCAAGTTCATGCCAGCACAGCCCCAAGCAGCCTCACGCACACGCGGGAAAGAGACACACACCGAGCACATCCAAGACAGAGGGAAGAAGGGGATTTTAAGCCACAGCTCACGATCTCAGGGACACAATCCTGAGCAGGCAGCGGGCGGGGTGGGGGAGCCGGGGAGATGAGCGCAGGCCGGGAGGGGGAGGCAGCGGCAGCGAGCTGGGGAGGGCGGGGGGAGACGCCGGGGGAGGAAGGCAGCCGGGAGAAGGAAAGCTGGGACGGGCCGGGACCACAGGAGCCCCAGCCCCACACAGCAACCACCCGGGCGAGAAAGAAAGAAAGAGCCAGGGAGGCGGGCGAAGCGCGGGGAGAGAAGCAGAGAAGAAATATTCACCTTCCCGCCTCATGCCCACTTTGAGGCACTTCTTGAGGCGGCAGTATTGGCACTGGTTGCGGTGGTGCTGGTCGATGGGACAGTTCCTGTTGGCACGGCATGTGTAAGTTAAGTTCCTGCGGACGCTCCTCTTGAAGAAACTTTTGCAGCCCTCGCAGGTGAATTGGCCGTAGTGCTTGCCGCTCGACTTGTCCCCGCACACCACGCACTCGATGTGCTGCTGGCTCTGGCCCGAACCGGGCGGGCCCTGGCCCTTGTCCCCCGCCGTGCCGGGGGTGGCGGGCGCTCCGGGCTGGCCCGGGGTCTGCGGCGTGTGCGGCGCGCCCGAGCCCGCCTGCTGCTGCTGCTCGCCGGCGCCGCCGCCGCCGCCGCGGGCCGCCTGCGCTGCGGGGTTGGGGCCGCCGGGGTTGCCCCCGGCCACGTCGTCCTGCGGATCTCGCCAGCTGCTAACTACCATTGCCATATCTTTGGGCCCGGGGAGCGCTGGGGGGAGCCGAGCTGCTCGCCGAGGGCCGCGGGGCGCGCGGGCGCGCTGGGAGGGGAAGGGGAAGGGGAAGGGGGGAGGGGGAGGGGGCGGGGGGCCCGCCGGGCGCCCCGGGGTCGCAGGAGCCGAGCCCGAGCCGGACACCGGCCGCTGCCTCCGCCGCCGCCGCCGCTGCCGCCGCTACTGCCTCGGCCGCCCCGCTGCTGCTGCGCGCCCGCCCGCCCTGCTGGCGTTTTGTTGTGGTTCCTGCTGTTTTCTTTCTCTCTTTTTGCAGCCCCCCCAGGCTCTCAGGCTCCCCCCCCAACACCCCTGCTCCCCTCGCCCGCTCCCCCCGCGCTCCGTTCCTGGGGGGGCCGCGCTCTCCTTCCCCCCTCCCCACCCCCCGGCGAGCAAGCTCCCTTCTCTCGCTTTTTTCTTCTTCCCCAAGTTGCAAAATCAGAAATGGCACAGGCGGCAGCCGGGAGCGGCGCGGGGCGCAGCGCCGGGGGCGGCGGGCATGGGCCACGGCGCGCGCACACACTCGCCCTCCGCCTCGCCCGCACCCCCGCGCACACACACACTCGCACACACAGTCGCTCACCCGCGCCGGGCGCCCGCCCGCCGGCCGCTCGGGCTACGCGCAGCGCGCGGGCTGAGCCGACATAGAGGAAGCCGGCGAGGGCGGAGGCGGCGGCGGCGGCGGAGGAGGAGGAGGTCGCGGCTGCAGGCGCCGCTGGAGCTGCCGCCGGAGCTGCTGCGGCGAGCGCCGCTGGAGGAGCCGGGACCCGGGCCGGAGTCCGAGCAGGAGTCGGGGCCGCAGCCGGAGCGCGAGCGGAGGCCGGGGCCGCCCGCGGCGCCGCCGCTGTCCCGGCGGGAGCCCTCGCCGGGCTCGGGAGTGCGGGGAGCGCGGTGAGCCGAGCAGGGCGCTGGGCGAGGCTGCCGCCGGCGATCAGGGCGCGCGGGTGTCGGGGGGCCAGGTCCAGGGCCGGACGCAGCCAGCCATTCAGGAAGGCAGCGCTGGAGAGCGGGAGGCAGCCGGCGAGGAAGATCACACACTTTGCTCTTTTTGTTGTGCCGGTGGCGCCGGGCTCTCGCTGCCTTCTTCTTTCGGGAGGTGACGGAAGGGGGAGAAAAATACGGGATAATTCACGCCGGCGACGAAATCACAGCGAAATAGAAAAAATAAAAATCAGAAGAAAATAATTGCCAAAAAAAGGAAAAAGGAAAAGCGAGAGAGACATCCAAAGTAGGTCGAATAAATAATCCTCTTCTTTTCCTCTTTCTTGCTCCTTCTTCTGCTTCTTCTGCTATAACACACAGAGCTAGTTAAAAAAACCCTGGAGATCGCCCAAAAATGTTCTTTTTTTAGTATTTTAAATAAGTGCTCTTCAGCCGGCAACCAACACCCTCCCTCCAAAAAAAATCATATATGTATAAAATAACGATAAGAAGAATACGAAGGGGGTGCCTCCTCCTCCTCCTCCTCCTTTTTTTTTTCTTTAAGTTTAGCCCTCTCTCTTCTGCAGGAATGGAGTAAAAGAGACAAGGAGGAGGGAGAAAAAGGAGAGAAAGGAGAAGAAGAAGGGGAAAACAACTAGTAGAATATGTAAGAAAAGAGAAAGAGAAGAGAGGTTCAGAGAAGAGAGGAGAGAGAGAGGAGAGGAGGGAGAGAGGGGGGAGAAAGAGGAGAGAGAGAGAGGAGAGAGAGAGAGAGAGAGAAGAGAAGAAGAGAGAGAGAGAGAGAGAGAGAGACCCAAAAATTGAATGCGTTTAAACGGGAGGACTCGCAGAGCAATGTTTCCGAAAGGGGGATCTGCGCGAATGTCTGTATATAGTGAACTTTGACACTACTATTGAAACTGACACGTTTCTATGGAGATCGCTGCCTTATATGGAGCTCGTGTCAAGGAGCCAAGAGAAGGGCTGCTGGCAACTGATAATCAAAGGCGACTGACTGGTCAGAGCCCTGAATCGGGGGGAGAGAAAATGGGAGGCTAAGGTTAGCCAAGCCTCCTGCACGCCATTGGTTGGAGAGCCCCTCCCCCCTCCTCTTTTGCTTTCTTTCTCCCCCCCCCGCTTAGCTACCTACAGACTGGGATGGTGTGGGGAGGAGGAGAGAAAGTGAGGGAGGGGGGTGTGTTTCTGACAAGCGCAATTTACATTGAGATCGCCCTGCGCTGCTATTTACTCTGAGACCTGATTAGTATGGGTCGTCTATGGTCACACACACACACACATACACACACACACACTTACGCTCACACCCCAGAGGGGGAAGGGATGACGAGGGGGAGAACGCCTAGCGATGGGCAAAAGGAGAATTAGAGGGAAATTATTTTGATTTCTTCTGAAAAGTTTTTAAAATTAGATTTTATGAGCGTGAAGAGAGTGTCATTGAAAATGTTTGGAAAAATTTTTAATGGGAATGAAACCCCCACCATTTTAATGATTTGTGAAATATACTGGATTTGGATTGTTTTCTTCTCTCACATATAAGCACAATCCAAGTCTGGATTCTGCTCATTTTATATCCTTTTTAGAAACAAGTAGAAACAGGGTAGGATCTCCCTATTTTTTAATCCAAAGTATACCTTGGTTTAAAAGGTTTAATGATGACAAAGCACACTCCTGGAATTTGCAGCTATTGCCACAAATTCGATCGGAATCAAGGGTTCCTATTTATCCCAAAGATGATTTTAAAAATAAACTTTCCAATCAATCCAATTTTTCCTTCTTCTTTTTTTTTTTTTTTATCACCTGGCTGTTCCAAACTCCAACAATGCTTCAATCATTATTAATAAAACAGTAGTAAGTCCCCATATTGTTGCAGGGTGGGGGGAGATTAGTGTGGCCAAGTCAGTCCCGGGAAAAGAGCAAACAAACGAGAAGATGGAGAGGGGGGGAGGCGGAGAGGGAGAGAGAAAAGGGGGAGGAGGAGAGAGAGAGACAGAGAGAGAGGAGAGGAAAGGAAAGAGAGGAGAGAGGAGAGCGCGCGAGATATTGAGAGAGAGAGAGAGAGAAGAGAGGAGAGGGGAGAGAGAGAGAGAGGAGAGAGAGAGAGACCCAGAGAGAGAGGAGAGAGAGAGAGACCCAGAGAGAGAGAGAGAGAGAGAGACCCAGAGAGAGAGAGAGAGACCGAGAGAGAGAGGAGAGAGGAGAGAGAGAGAGAGGAGAGAGAGAGAGAGAGGAGAGAGAGAGAGAGAGAGACGAGAGGGAGAGGGAGAGGGAGAGGGAGAGGGAGAGGGAGAGGGAGAGGGAGAGAGGAGAGGGAGAGGGAGAGGGAGAGGGGGAGAGAGAGAGAGAGAGAGAGAGAGAGAGAGAGAGAGAGAGAGAGAGAGAGAGAGAGAGAGAGAGACCGAGACCCCGATTCCTGAATCCTGAAGGTGATTGGTCGCGGGAGGAGGGGCAGGCGGGAGGAGCGGGTCCCGCGGCGGGGCTTGCAGGAATCGCTGGCTCCGGCTGCCACCTAGCGGACGGGAGCCGCTCCCGGGCGGCACACAGCCGAGTCCCTCCTCCCCTCCCCGCAGGCAGCCTGTGCCTTTTCTCCAAACGAAGACAGCACTTTGAAAATTCTTTCAATGGATTTTTTTTTCCTTGAAAGATCGTACTGGGGGAAAATGATACTTCTATTAGTTACATATTCTCCAATCGCATACTCGCACCCCCCTCGTTTTGAGATCGCTCCCCTAGGCAGGCTCAGGCGGGCGCGGAGCCGCGCGGAGTGACAAAGCCGCCGCTGCCGCCGCCGGGGGTGGGAGCCGCGCTCGCCCGCCCGCCCCTCGACTCGCGAGGGCGTAAAAGTTTGTCTCAGCTCGAGCATTCCTAGCGCCAACACGCCCTCAGGTAAAGGTGGAAGTAAATGGCCACGCTGTATTGACAGAGGTAGGGTTTGTTTTTTAATACTCGTTCTCACTTTAAGTCTCACCAGGGAGGGGTTTGGGAAGCACTGCGTGTTTGGGGGACGTTTTGCGCTTCCTGGTCTCTCCAGCCTACAAGTCGGGAGTCGGCGACCGCTTAGTGACGAGCGATGATTTTAAAGAGCAGAATAAAAGGTTTTCCCGTGCCTGCCCCACAGCCCCTCCAGCTCGAATAATGGAGAACTGTCAATGCACTCCGCGAGCGGTGGCCCATTGTACGCAGCTGATGGCGAGGAGGCGACTGGGGGTAGCAGGGGCTCCTTGCCCTCGTCCCTATGCCCAAATAAACGCGCAAACGCGCTCCCGTCTTCTGGTCAGTTAAAAGGTGAAACGAACACGATTAAAATAGACCAAAAGAAAAGAAAGAAAAGAAAACCTTTCTATGTACAGATTCTAAATCGTACTCCCCATACAGTCAGAGGCAGGGAGTCGAGGGCAGAGGCAGCAGGCGGAGAGAGGGAGATAGGGCGAGGGAAGGAGAACGCGGAGAGAGACGAAGGGAGTGGGAGACCAGCGACAGCGAGCGCCAGGGCACCGCAGGCACACTGGATGCCCAGTCCGCCGGCCCAGCCGCCCTCGGACCCTGGACCGTGCGTCGTGGGCACCAGAAACGAGACTCGGCCAAATCCTGCCTCACCAGGCAAGTAACATAATGGTTGTCGTTTCTCTTGAACTTGGGGTTGGTAACGGGCAGGGCCGGGAGGCAGTCTTGGCTCGCACGGCCTCCGCAGGCCGAGAGCAGAGTCTAGGCAGCCAGGGCGGGACGAGGAGAACTTTCTTCGGGGCCTGCTCGGGAGTTGCCCTCGCTCGGCCTCTGTCTCGCCGTAGCGCTAAGGCGAGGATCGCGGCCGCCGCGCCTCCTTGGAGGGGAGGATCGTGCCAGGCGAGCAGCAATCCACATTCAAAACAGGCTGCTCCCACCCCCACCCGCTATTCCCTCTCTCTCCTAGGCGGGAAACGGATGCCCGGGCGGAGGACGGGGACCCGCACGTTTAACACCGGCCCGGCTGTTCCTGCTGGTGCCGAGCGCGACCCGCGGTGGAGCCGGCTGCAGAGTCCGGCCCGGCTGGCCCTTGTGCCCGCGCCTTGCCTGGTTACGGCCTGAACCTGGCGAGCTTGGCTGCAGCCGCCCACCTGCGGACGCCGTTTGTAACGCCATCCCCTAATGTAACGCGATCGATGGCTGCCTGTCTGATGTGGGCGATAGTGTCAGCGGATTAAAAGGGACATCGAGCCGCTCTCCCGAGCAGACAACCTGCGGCGGCGGCGAGAGAGCACCGGGATTCGCAGCCTAGCAGCCGAGCCAGACTCCCTGCGCCGCTGCCAGCCGGCTGGGGGCGGGGAGGGGGTCGCCTCCCAGGGGTGGGGACAGAGGGGGTGTGTTGAAAGGAAGAGGCTCAATTAAAACCAACAAGAGCGCTTTCCTCCGTGCGGGGCAGGGGCGTGCGTTTGCGTCAGAGGGCGCGCGGGGGGCGGGGGCAGCCGATGCTGGGGACTGCACCCGGGGGCTGGGGGGTCTCGGAAGCGAGGAGGCCTTGCCTAGCTGGGCTGGCCCGGGGTCAGGCCCTGTAGGTGAGGGCCAAGGCGAGACGGGATGACAGCTGAGCCTGCCCGGGAGCAGAGGCGCCCACCCATCCTTACTGTGGGCTCTCCGTGCCCCCACAGAGCTTTCAAACTTGAAAGAGGCCCCTGGGACCCGGCGTGACCCTAGCGGTGGGGAGAAGTTGGGCCCGCGAGGCCTCAGGCGAAGCCGCGGGCTCCTCCGGAAGGAAGGAGGAGGGTGAAGTCCCCTGTCCTAGTCCCAGGGGTGGGAGTGGGAAGCTGTTGGTGGTGATGCCCGGAGCAGCGGAAGCCCGCGGCTTTTCGGAGGAGGGGAGCGGCTCGCACTCCTACGGGGCATCCTTGCCAACTTTCTGTCACAAGAGGGGGCGGGGAGAAACCAAGGCTTTTCGAGGAGGGCGCTGTCCCCCTCTGGAACTCGTCCGGCCTGAGTGGCACTTAGAGCTCAGTTTCTCTTCGGAAGCCTGTGCTCCCCGACCGCGGTTGCACACCCACAGGGCGCCCCACTTGTGCTCATAGCCCTGCCTCCAGCAAAAATGTCTTCCCTAGAGGCACTGAGAGGTCAGCTTAGTTCCTGGGAAGCCCTTTCTTTCTTTCTTCAAGGCTCTCTTTTGATACTGGTCCCAATTGGCACACTTGTCCTGGGCCTAATGCGACCCACACTCAACCAGGAAATAATGATATCTGTTGTTGTGGGGTAGGGTACCTAATAGAAAACTGATCATAGTTTTCGAGAGTACTTAGATCCCCCAATTGGGAAATCCTACATACTTGTCCAGGCACGCTCAGCTGCAGGAGCAGAAAACGCAGTTGTAGTGTCCACGTTTCTTTCACCCACCCCCTCTTCTTCAGATCTCTCTCCCTCCCTTCTAGGCCAGGCCTTTCACCTCGGAACCTTAAGCTGAGTCTGGACGTGGTTCTTGGACTCGGACCGCTGTGGCTCTTGCCTCAGCATCCTACCCGAGGCCTCCAGCCAGGCCCACAGGGGCTCAGCCCTCTCCAGGGTCTCTCTTTCGGTTTGGCGGGTCTGGGAACTGTAAGGGCCTTGCCGGGGCCTGGGCTCCCGGGAGCCTCCCTTCCTTCCTCTGCCTTCCTGGTTCCCACAGACCTGTTCAGTGCACACTAGATCTTTAGTGTAGTTCCCCAAAAAGGCGATGAGAAGGTACCGCTCCGCTTGGGGAAAGGAATTAGGCTGTAAGCCTATAGTACCCCTTGCGGGCTGCTAGCATCAAGCTCAGCGTTAATCACGTTTTAAAAGACATACCAGACAAAGCTTGATCTCTCCCAGCTTGCCACCCAGTAAATTGTGATCTGGTGAGAGAGGAAGAGAAGCACAGATCGGTTTGGCTGCACATTCAGGGTTGACTTGCGTTCCAGGCCCCAGAATCCGGATCTAAGCGGACTGTCTGTCTGTTAACATATCCTCTCCCTCCATATCTTTCTTACCACGAGGCTGAACCATTTTTCACTAATTCTATGGGCTTTTTTTGATATTGATATCTTGGTCTCCCGAAAGTCATTCATTTTAGCTTTTTGGTAAGTCACACTGAACAAAAGTGGCCTTGTAAAAACATTTTCTAAATCTAGTTCAAGAGCCATGGGACCCTACAAATGATCAGATATGTGTAGGAAATTCTCTTTTATACCTCTTCCCTACCTCAAAATCGTTAAAAATGGTATTATTCTGTTTAGCAAGACCACAGAACAGAACTAACCCCGTTTTATCGAGCCCATCTGGAGAGATGAACATGCCTGCAATCATTGAGAAAAAGGTCAGTGCCTCTGATCTTGCTGCAGACCTTTCCCAAAGAGCTTATTTGAAAGGTGCTGAATCAATTAGTCTCCCCTGGCATGAGATTAAAGCCAGGAAGGACATAGTTGAAGATGTATTTAAAATGGTCTCACACAGATCTTTTGGAAGAAAGGGTGGAGAGAGGTGCAGGAATGCCCATCTAATGTTTTGTGATTACTAAAACACAAAACCAAAACAAACAAACTAAACCCCAGCCTATCTCAGAAATCTTTACCCCCAAGACTGAACCCAGCCTATATTGTGGCTGCCTAGTTGTAAAAAGTTCTGCCTTTATCAACAAAAAACCAGGTGGATAGGCCAAGTTAGGAGTCAGGCTTCTGGTGGACTGCCTACCCTTAGCGTGCACATATAGTCAAACCATGAACCCAACAGACTCCAGGGTTTACTATCGCTCTGGTAGCCCAGGCATTTCTTCTTTGTCACCTTTGGGTCGAAATGCTCAGAGATAAGTGCTGTACCTTAGTTTAGTTTTCTATCTCAAACCGGTCATTTAAAGCACGTGTTTTGAAAAAGAGAGATAAGGGAAGCACTTCTCCTTTTGGCCTAGGCCCCCAGTTAGAGGGCCCAGGAGAAGCAGCAGGAGGAAGGACGGCAGGAGAGCAAGCACTGACCTTTGGATGCAAATCGAGCCTTTTTAGAGGAGGAAAAGTGACAATCATTCTTAGCACACCAGTGAAGCTAGAGCCAAATATTTACTTTTTATAAAAATCAAGTCTTAGCTATCTAAATGCATTTATGCAAAAAGAAAAAAGGAAATAATTGAAGACTTTTATGTTATAAAATTTATTTATTTTAAATACCCAGCTTGAGTGAAGAATAAAACCGCATGGCTATTCTTTCCAGGGAAAATGGATTAGGTTTGGATGAAAGTTGAAGTTTTGAAATGAGTCTGAAGGTTGTTGGAGTACCCTGAGAATACAATCAACTGCTCTACATAATCATTTCCCTTAATAGTTACCTGTCAGAGCACCTATTTCTTCTACTACAGGATTAGCCCATCAGAAGTAGATCTGAGTTGGATATTTCACTGACTAAAGACTGCTCTAATATGTTTCAGTGTTTAATGTCACTTTCTTTACTGCCTATGAGATAAACTAGTGGAAAAGTATTGGCTCAAAAAGCCAGCAGGTCTGCTGGTGTTACCAGTCATGTTGCAATTGTATTTACCTATCAGAACGTTGATCTAAATAATAAACCTAACATTTCCTTCTAAACTGTCAGTGGAAAGATATATTTATTACAATGTCCTCCATCGTTGAGGAGAGAGGAGGTTTAGCTAAAGTTTAAATGAAAAAAAAAAAAAAGCACAAGCATAGGACACCACTGATATAAGCAATAGAACAGTAAACAATTATGCCCTTTGTTATGCTATATATATTTTATTTACCCATTTCAAAGGTGGAAAATAAACCTAGCCCATCTTTGGGGGGAGTTAATAAAGTATTCTGAATGCATGATCTAACAAAACTCGGGGATCGTTCTATGTTTTATTGTTACCCCCCTGCATAAAGTCTTCTGAAGCTGAAAAGAGAAAGGAAAGGGCTTTTGTGTTAGTTGATCCTTGGCTATTCTAGGGCTCAGGTTGGTGTGAAAGGGATGAGGAGGTCACTTGAAATCTCCTTTTATCTACTCTTATTTTCTCTCTGGATCAGCAACTTTGAATAGACATCATCTAATCGCTCTTAATGGAAAGAAACTATGGGAGCAACAAAAATGCCTTTACTCCAGAAGTGAATACATGCATGCGGACAGCTAGCTGAGCTTTCATAGAACTGAATCTCTGCACACATGTACTTAAAGATTTTTCAGTTCATGGATATATATGTCAATATTTCCCATACATGGGGGGCGATGATTAGGTAGGTTATTTTACCCTCATGCATAAGTATGCACACACGTCTACCTTAGAATTCTCTAACAAGCAGTCTAGGTGATACTTTCAGCTGACTCTTCATTTAGCTTTTTCATGCCCTCACTCTCTGGGCATATTTAAGTACTGAAAAAAAAAAGCAAACAATTAAGAACACAATGGACAGCTTTTTCCAGAAGTCATCTTATTTCCTTTCTGTTTTCAACTGGAAGTCACAGTGACAGGAGGATTTCTCTTCAGGGGGAGGAGATTGTGTGACAGGTGGGAGGTAATGGGGCAAGACAAGACCTTTACTTTCAATTTCTCCCCACAATTTTTTCTTTTTGCTTGGAGTTAAATTGGTTAAAATACAATAAATAGTGGAAAATAAGAGCCTGACATTAGGCAGTTTAAAAGTTTTACATGCTATAGACACGTCTCCAAATTCTTGAAGCTGAGCAATTTATCATAATTTATTTGAAATAGGAATTATCTTAGGAAGTCTCACATGCTGGTTAAAATGTCCAAGTTGTCTTCCAGGCATTGTTATAGTATTTACTTCAAAAAGAAAAACATCTCCCAGGACATTTAATATGAATGATAATCCAGAAAAGGACATTGGATTTCTAGGACTGAAAGCACTGGGCTTTACCTCCTAAGAGGAGGATGCTCCCCCCACCCCATGTTCTTCTAAGTAAAATTCTCATTGCTCCCAGAGCTTGGGACACTTTAATGTAAAATTCCATCAAGGGAATACTTGGTTACTAGGGATACAAGTTCCCATCTCAACCTGCCAACCTCTCTTCCTCTGGCTCCAGATCGCAGAGACCCTGGGCTGTCAGGGCTGGGACTTGGGGGACACCCCCCCAGGCTGCAGGCGATTGCAGTTCTAAAGTTTGAAGTTGGGTGGGGGAGGATTAATCCCTCTTTAACTCCTCTCCTTCCCACCCTCAATTCTGAACCCCAACGGATATGTTTCCCCGGGTTTCCTAGTGAATAGGAGCATAGGAGCCGCCCTGTCCAATAAAGATTAAATTAAGTAGAAGAATCCCAGCCGCTGGATATTTGGAAGCTCCGGTGGGGCGTCAAACCGACGTTTAACACATTTTTTCCACTCACTGTGCACAAATCCTGGACCTGTTGGGCTTAACTTTTAGAAAGAAAGGAAGAAAAAAAATATAAGAAAGGAAGGGGAAAAAAATCAAACAAAGTCACAGAGAAACCCCACTTTTAAGGGGAAAGTGGCTTTAAACTCAGAGTGGCTAAGGCAGAGGCTGGGCTTCCTGACCTTTCTTTTCTTTTCTTTCCACGAATCACTCCCAGAGTTGAAACCTGTCCCCCACTCCCCCAGGGCTCAGAACTTTTCTGTTTTGGCGGTCTGACTCTATGTTTATTCCTTAGGGATGATGTGGTGGCCCAGGGTCATGACTGGATGTGTGAACAAGGGGTGAGTTGAGAACCCAGTCGCTTTCTCTGTGGTGACAATTTCTAATTTTTTAAATAAAGGTTTTGGTAGCATGAACTGAGCAGTTTTCTCCGGTTACTGTCTAGCAGGAGAAACAATGGTTTTCTCTGCAGGCTTTCAGCCGCTGGACAACTAACCTTGAAGCTGAGGCCCAGTCGGGTGCCTCCTCCCCCGGGGGCCATCCCAGCCCCCAGATATCGGCTGCTCACTCCCACTTGCTCTTCTAGTCCCTGGGCGCAGTCTAGAGGGGCAAAAGGCAAGTCCCTTCGTGGCAAAGGCTTGTCCATGCAAACACAACATTGAATAAATTAAACTCAAACCAGCTAGTTGGGGTGTAGTAGTTTAGCAGGACTAATTGCAGACAATGGAGCTGAAATGACTTTTCCAATTAGCTGCTGGTTGGAGTTTAGTTGGAGGAACTGTCAGCTCCAACGATGGGTAATTGCTTTATTGCTCACAAAACTATCATCTATTTAGAACATATGTGCTAATTACTCTGGATGGGTGTCGAAAAAGAGACCATAAATCTAATAGCACTTAAAAAGGTCTGTGGTGCTTGTAAGCCGCCCCAGCCCCTTGCACATTCTCTCCTGCCCAGGTTGGCGTGATAGATGGCTGTCTTTCAGGAAGAGGAAGGTTTGGACAGGAGGCGAGGACGGGATGCTCTGGTCAAATCGCTTGGAGAGACAGCGTCCCGTGCGTGCTGTGCTGAGGCGATAAATCACTGTCATCAAAACCAGTCCCCTCTTTAGTCGCGCACTTTTCATTTTCGCAAAAGATTACTTTAGAAATCTTTTAATTGGATTATGCTGGGAAATTAATCTCCTTTAGCCTTGGTTAAATTTATTGTGGCCACTGACTGAAGGAAAGCCCTGTCACTGCAGTGAGGGCCATGTCCCCTTGTTCGTTTTTCCTCCGTCTTCCAGGATCTCCCAGTTGCGTGTGATAGTCGTGCCCCAAGTCCTCGGGAGTGACTGGAGTGAGAAAGGGTGGAAAGGCGCATCTGGGCAAAGGCCGCGGAAGTCCCCAGTGAATCCCCTTTGTCCTAAACGCTACGTTTCCGTCCCGAATTCCCTAATTCCATATCCTGCATCCCCACAGCACCTCGCCTTTACCAACAAGGGGTTCTGGAGGCCCGCTGCCGGGAAGGAGTCTGGAGTGGCAGGAAAAGAAAGTGGGGTGTGTCGGGGGAGCACTGCCAGCCAAACTCACTAGTTTGCCCTCTCCCCCGCACTCCCTTTCTGGGCCTTCGGCAGGGAGCTGCGGTCTTGCGAAGACTACTTCTCTGCGCAAAAACGCACAGCTCGTTCTTGGTGTTCTTCCTGGCACAACTCCGGAGTCACTTCCCCTTGACGTGCATGGCGCTTGAGGCCGCGGGTCTAGGGCGCTTCTCACTCCTCCTGGCTCCTCTGGCACCTGCGCATTGTCGGGCGGAGACCTCCCTTCCAGCCTCGCCGCCCTGCGCGGTCAGCCTAGTCCAGCGCGACTCCGGCAGTCGCGGGAAGCGGAGGATCCGGCCCCGCCGGCCGCGCCTCTCAGCGGGAGATAACAACATCTGCCTGAAACGGGATACCTACTTTTGCAGCTCATTTGAGCTCTTAATAGCAGCCCTCTGAGGTGTGGTTAATTGATGGGGATAAAGGCGTAATGACTTGACAGGGAGACGCCAATGATCCTTTAATATACTTTTAAAAGAACAACAACCACCCCCAAACACCGGCCTGTCTTTGCTCGGTGGGGGGAAAAGGCAGGGATCTGGAGTCTGGAATAACGGCGCTGGTGGTGTTTGTACCTGGAAGCGTCAGTGTGGGGTGAGCCCTGGCTCGCAGGGCTGGGGCACCAGAAAGAGGCCAAGGCGCCCAGCTCGGGCTGACAGCGCGTTGTTGCGTGGCTGCGGGGAGCGAGGAGGGACGGGGAGCCAGCCGAGAGAGCACCGGCTGACAGGTGACCCGGCCGATAGGCGAAGAGGAGCACGGAGCCGGGGGCATGTCGCTTCTCCCTGGGCTCTGCCCCTCTATGAGCCCTTCCCCTACGTGGGGCTGGATACCCACAAGCCGGGCGCCTCTGTCTGCCCGCCCTCCTTGACTAGAGAGACCCCGTATCTAGTTTGAGCGACATCATCAAGTGGCCGGCGGGAACAGGGGGGTTCCGCTGCTTGGACAACCTCAGGCCCCAGCGCCAGGACAGAGGCACGCGCCCGTGTGAGTGTGTGTACGTGCGCGTGCGCGCAAACCGCTCCGAAACGCACAGCTGGAGCACAGCAGCCCCGAGCACGTGGCTGTATTTAGACCAAGTCTGTCCAGAACCCCAGTGCCAGGCGTATTGGGATTTACCTGCGCGGCAGCTGGGTCCCGCCGCCCGGTCAGAGGAACCCCTGCGCACTATCCCACCCCAGACCTCCGCTTACCGTTTTCTCCTCAGTACCTTCCCTTTCTTTTGCCCGATTTCCCTTTGCTCAGTCAGTTCTAGCTGAGTCTCTAGAGGGTCAAATAAGTGTTTTTACTCGTCGCAGGTACCGAACTTAGGTTCACACAAATCCTAAAATGAAAAAAAAAATCATATTGCCTTTTCCGTTTGCAAAGGGGAACCCCCTCCAGATGTGAGCTGTGGTGTCCCTAGCAGGTTTTGCAAGTCTCTTGTTTTACCTTTGGAAAAAGATAACCTTGATGCTTCAGGTTTGAGCTCCCTCTGGAAGCAAAAAGAGAAACGACTCCAATCACCGTCTATATCTTATTGCATTGAGAGATAGCAGGTGTTTAGGCTGCAGCTATTGTCTGCCTTCCTCCCTGAGCTCACATAACAAGGATGAAAGAGTCTAAGGAACTTAGTTTCCCCAAACGCTCTTGCATAGGAGGGCGGGGAAACTTCGGAATCAAGGACTTAAAGAAATGCAATTGAGTCCCAACTCGCAAAGTGTGTCAGTCTCCATGTGGTTCCGTCCTTCCGCCGTCACTGTCTAGTCTCATCTAGTGTCGTTCTTCTGCTTTCTGTAGATCTCTAGGAACTCAGGATTCCCTGCCGCTTAGCCGTCGAGCTCCCGACCCCTCCGCATCCCTAGCCGGGAAGGACTGAGAGCTGAGCTCCAAGGTCGTGGTCTGGTCCTCAGGGATGAGGTCCCGGGTCCAGACTCTTTCCTTGGTCAGCAACTCCTGCTTAGAAGCTCCCCGCCCCGAATGGAATCGTGACCTGGCGCTAGGTCCCCCGCTGGGAGTGCCCGAGGCTTTCCTGAAGGCCCCAGGCCTTCAGGCCGCCAGGGTCCTAAGGTGCCTGTGGCGGCCCCTCGTCCGCCTGAGCCCTGAGATCAGCGCGGCCCTCGGTGCTGCAGGGCCCCAGGGCGGCCAGGAAACACCTGCCCGAAGTCCAGGCCCGGCCCCACTGCAGTCCAGGACCCTAATTCTCGAGTGTCTCTTCACGACCCTGACCCCGGAAGGGCGCTCCCTTGCGAACGAATTTTTAATTCTGCGGACTGGGATCCCTTGTAGGGGCCCCTCCGAGGGCCCCTCCCACCCCTTTCCCTGGACTAGCGAACTCCGACCCTAAGCGCGGCCCCGCAGGGAGCGGATCCCGGAAGCTAGGCCCATATCCGGCCGCGGAGCCTTGCGCGCGGGGTTGGCTGCCGGGAGGTCGACGCTAGTGCGGTCCCCCGCGCGGCGGAGGGGCCCGGGCCGCGGTATCTGCGCACTGAGACGTCGGCGGAAGGCTAGAGGCCGTGCTCTCGCCCCCGCAGAAGGCCACCACTCCTTGAGAAGGCCGGAGGGACAAAGCACCGGGCCTGCGCCGGGGGCATTCAAGAAGGAAGCCAGGCCCGACCGGGGGTGGCGCACGCTTCCCGAACCCCAGGCCCACGGCCCGGTTCCGCGCGGGCAGTTGGCGCCCCCTCGGGTCGGCACAGCAGACCTCTTAGTAATGGTCCCCAGGGAGTGTGAGTGGGTCCCCGCCAATCTTTTAAGGTTCAGAGATCCACCGTCGAACGAAGCCGCTTTTACAACTTCCCCATTTAGCCTCTTTCCTCCCCCGCCGCTGGCTAAAGCGCTGAACCTTGCCATCCTCCTGGGGTGCCTAACGATTTGCCCTGCCTTGGACAGCCAGTCCTCTTCAGGTGGTGGGCTGCTGGTAGGGGTAGGAAGCAAGGCCTGGGGCACAGTTGGGGACCCTCACACCTGATTTTCTGTTTTAAGGAGGAACTGGGTTTCAAAAAGCTGTAGAGTCAGTGGGAGTTTCCTTTTGTGGCCCTTGGCACTTTTTAAAACACCCATCTGCAAGGCGGGAACAGCGGAGAAAGTGCTATGTAGTTCATAAAAAGGATATTGGGAGACTGTTATCTTAAGAGTTTTTCTAGAGATTGTTTTGTAATCTCTCAGTTTAGAGAGTTGATATGTCCCGCGCCATCAGCCCGCTGAATGGGATCTTCCTTCAGACAGGGACTGAGAAACGGAAATACTACCATCCTCCAGCCAATCTGTTGGGAGGACTGCTTGCAGAGGACTCGTGCTCCAGATGTTGCACTAGAGGCGCTGCAAGTGTGAGCAGGTAATGTGGAGAAGAGTGACATTGTTAACAGAAAGCATCTAATTAAAAATGACTTCATTTGATTGGAAAGATGAAAAAACCTTTTTAAATAAATCCAGATTCACTGGCCTAAGCTCAGCCAATTTATGAATATGGAGCCCGACTGGGGTCTGCTTTCTTTCAAAGATGTCATCTTAGAGGTAATAACATAGGTGAAGTCATTTGGTTACACTGTGGAAACTTTTATAGTGCCTTCCTTGGGAATTTAATTCAGTGGTTCTTCATTTTATCAGGAACAGACTGACTCCATCAACTGTACTCTCTCCATGTTTAGAGGCAGGACTGCTTGAAGCAATTAGGTTCACCAATTAGCATAGTTTTACTGACCTCCGCAGCAGCACCACCAGCGCTCCATTTCTTCAAAGTCAGGGAAACGCTGAAGCACAGCATGCTTCCCAGGTGTCCAGGTTGGGGAGATAAGCCCAGGAGCAGGGTAGTGCAGCAGTGCAAAAAGCTTTCTAATAGTCCCCAAGTGTTTGTTTCAGCAACTTTTGTGGATTTTTTTAAACCCGCTTTCTGATTCTGGATCTTGTAATACCTCCTTACTTTGACATAGCCCTTAAAGCCTCTCTTGGCCGAATTGCTTTTAAGAAGGTTAATTTTCTATTTTCTCCCTTCTCTTCTGTCTTCCTGTGTACTAATGATGCTGTGGGAAATTTTAGGGTCCAGAGAGAGGAAATCGCTGACAGGCTCGTTGAAACCTTGTTAGGTGACAAGGTAAGGGTTGAGGTGTGTGGGTGCGTGTGTACCTCAAACCTATGAGGAGAGACTAGAGTGGATACTGGGAGAAAGTCATTGCTTTTCCTAATTTTTAAGGTGTACCTACAAGGCTATCCTGCAACTTTTTCACCATAAGCTCAATCAGCTGGTACATCTTTAATCAAAGAAAATGTTTGGGGCCCAAAGCAGTCTAGAAAAGAAGGGTTTTGCTCTTGTCACTGTCAAGGGTAGTAAAGGAATTAAATTTATTTACATGGCTGTTGTTCCTCTCGTTCTCCCCTAAAATAAACATTTCTGTGTAAGATTTCACTGGATTAAATTGCTGACAGTTCATCAGTAGCAGCAACAATGTAATTCTTCTAACCTTATTAAATCAATAAATACTAGATCCATGCATTGAATTAAAAATGCATCAGCATAGCCAGGAATTGTGATCATATGGCCACGGACCTCAGACTCGAACATGCCACTCAAAAATTGAGTAGTTAGCATTTATTTAATCTTTTTCTGTTTTGGATTTGTGACTAGGTATTCTGGGGTTTTACCATTTCAGGGACTCGTGTCAAGTTTTCTTTGGTTTATAATCTTGAAAATTCTTTTCTTTTACTGACTTCTCACATTTAACCATGAATATGATGCATGCATTTAGAGTAGTAATGCACTGTGACTTTGTAGTTCTTGCCATTAGTTTTCATCAAGGAAATATACTTCTACTTAGAATGCATTACTCTAGTAAGACATAGTAAGGTGCATAACTTTCTACAGAAGCACAAATAAATTTAAATACATAGGCTTTTGTAAAAGTATAAATAAATATACTTAGTTTGAATATACTGCTGTACATTTATTATGTTTATTTGTAAAAGAAAACCACATTTATCTTCCAACACTGTCAACTACATTATGAGCAAAATTATTATTTATCATTTTAAAATAAGTCATTTATTTATAATCTGACTTGCTTGCTGGAATTTACACAAGAGCTTGAATTAAAAATTTTAAGTCTTTAAACTTAACACAGCATTAGGAAGTAACATATATCTTAAATGGTTACATTTTATGTGTGAAGAAGTACCTCAAATATGGTGTACCAGGAATTAGTCAGTTAAGTTGTAGATTAGTAGGTAAATTTACACTTAGTTTCTGGTGAAAACAAGGACCATGTATAACACTTTGTAGTTGGATGGACAAAGTAATATTTATTTTACCCAGATATTTGACCATACTGATTAATGATGCTAATTATTTAAAAACGTTCATCTCCTATTGGTGTCAGCCAGCATAGATGGTACTGAATTCTGAAGATACAGTCACTGGCCCTTGGGTTCACCACACTGTGGAAGAAAAATCTTTATTTGACGAAATAGGCAATCAACTGAAATCTATCCTCTTTAAATAAACTGATTCCTCAGTATTTTCTCAGTGTTGGTGTAAGTTGTTGCCTGTGATATCCCCCAGGGCTCTTTTCCTCTGCTCTCTGATTTGGTATATAAAAACAGCTCTGAATGATGGATTACTGTGTCATTGCAGCCTGCAAAGGATTAATTTGTTTCATTGATTTCTCTTTAGGCAGATTGCCAGAATTTGCTGCTTCCCACCTTTGCTCAAGACTTCTACAAGTAATAGACAGTAATAGCCTAAGACAAATCAGCTTCTTCTTGTAAAAATAAAATCAGGAAACTAAGAGTCCTAGGAAAGCTATGGCAAACTTTTTTACTGGCATACTGAAACAGCAATCAATAGGCTACTTCATTTGCTTTACAAATATTTGTAATTGAAAATTTCCTTGAATTAGCAACATACTACATATCATATTAATAGATCTTAAGGAAGCATTTGTAATGTTTGTTCCATAAAAATTTTCCCTAATTTGTAAGGATTCCGTTTAACCCAGGAAAAAAAAAGGTGTTGTCTATGTGATTGACAAATACTTCTTTTTCTGTGCCAGATTTCAGGATCAAATAACATATCAACATAACTTTAAGTCAATTTACCTGTAAATATTTATAGGACTCTTTTGCCCAAAGAATTTTAGAAACTTTGGACTGAGAATATCAGATGATAGAAATAGAACTGTTTAAAGAAAAAATAACTTTTTCTGATAAAAGTAGTATATGCCCATAAGACAGAATTTACAAAAATTAGAAATGCCATTTTGTATAATAAGGTTTTCTCTAAACTTTATTCTTCTAAGCATTTAATGTAATATGATTAAAATTATTAAAGTCATTTATATTGACTCTATAATGTTTTAACATATCTACTTTAATTATTGCTCTATTAGACAACTCAGATGTTTAATTTTCATTTGTATAAACTAAGTTGTAATGAATAGCATTTTAAATAAATCTTTAGCCATCCCTATGGTTATTTCCTTACAATATGTTATTAAAAGAGAAATTACTTAGACTGAGAATATAGACTGTTTTTTAAGGTTCTTGATATTGATTGCCCAATTGTTTTCCAGAAAGGTTCTACCAATTTATACTGGTACTTAAAAAAAATTCCTCTGTAGAGGCAGCATTCTAATTCATGTTACATGAGCAAAGAAAACAGAACAACACTCTTTTTCTTGTGTTCTGAAAGCAGTGGTAGCGTTTTGCATATATTTAATCTGTCAGAAGTATTTTCCCAACTGCAGATGTGAAATAGGCTGGTTATACACATCTATTTGTTTCTCTTCTGTAGTGCTGAAAATTATATTGATTTAATGATCTCAAGTTATACTTTTTATGCAATTAGTTGTGTAGTAAAAACTAATATTGTCATGTGCTAATGTCTTTTTTCCTCTATTGTGCTATGGTAGTAGTCTATGCAATATCAGCAAGTTTATACTTTCCCTTTGCTTTGCTGAAAGGAAAAAGGAACATCTGTTTCCATTATATATCTACATCATAATGATAACAATTAAATAGCTATTATGGTAGTATACAGTAAATATATTTTGCTGAATGACCTGTACTTTCTTGTTGGAAAATTTCAGATATTTTGGAGGCACTTAGTTTTTACACATAGGTTCTATGTAGATATTTAGATAGGCCTTTGCTTACTTTAGGTAAATTATTGCAGTTCTTATTTGTTTCAATAAAAACAACCAGCCAATCTGACGATGAAACACTAGGCTACTAGATGTGACTCTTGAATGTATTTAAAGTACAGATTGTTAAGTATGTCTCTCAATAGTCTTAAATGGGTTTATCATGCTATTAGTAATAAAATTTATTTTGTGTTTTGTGCTATTTGTGTAGTACTTTTATATTTTACTAAGTTAGATTAGAAATAGTTATATATATATATATTTTAGCACATTACGCTTTTTTTTTCTTATGTTGGGGGACACAGTGATATTTACCTTTTAAACTCAGCAGGAGAATATTTGAAACCATACACAACTATTTTCATTGACCTTTAAAGTTCCAGAGAAGTGTTTTCATTTATTTTACCTTTTGATTAAAGATGTTTTGGTGATTACATAAAAAAAGACTAGAAAGTATTTCATACAAAATGGTATATGAAGAAAAATAAGCATCCATATACCCCAAACCCAGTTCGAGAAATAAAATATTAACAGTACAATTGAAGCCTTCCAGAATATATTTCTTTATGGCTTCTTGAAAAGATAATTATCCTAAATTTGGCAGTTATCCTTTTTGCTACTTAGTTACTTTTTTTTACATGTTCTAAAAATTTGATGTAAATAAATTTAAATAAATACTTTTTAAATAAATACTTTTTTAAATGTTGGAGCTGTGACTGTTGTTAGAAGTCTTTTAATCTTATCACCTATGACTGGGCATGTTTCTCTGTTTTAGTGTCCTCACCTGTGAAGTTGGGGGTAGGCCTCTATGGTCTCTGCTGTCTTTCTAGGTGTAATTAAAACATTTTTTTCAGTGCTTCTTGTGTTCCATATGAAACAAAATGAAACAAACAAAAGACAGAGGCCAAGAAAGGCTAAGTAACTTGCCTAAGACTATATAATAAGTCACAGGGCAGGGAATAAAACTCAGTTTTCCTGACTTCCATTAAGGTTGTCTTTTCCTCACTCCACATTGCCTGTCATTTTTTTTCTGATTATTCTTAAGAAGGAGTGAGGAGAGAGAATAGAGAAACAGATTTTTTTCTCGGACTATCTTTTCTGTAGGGAAAAACCACTGAAGCCCTATTAGCCTGGAAGCTGCTTATAGGGTTACAATACTGTGTGTCCTGCAGAACCTGTGAAGCTCTTCTGTATTTTCTGGACTTTCCTGGAAAGTCATTTAGATATAATGTAATAAATATAATAAAGTAGTTTAGATATAATGAGGTTTTCAATAGGCTTCTTACTCTACAGTTAATTTTTTGATCTCTTTAAATACCAGGAAAATAGGATGGGCATAAACACAAGCGTCTTTTTACATGTATATGTCTCTGAAATTCAGTGTTTTAGCAAGCAGGTCTTTAATAAATTACTTTTCCTTTTTTATGTAGTTTATACTATGTTCAAATCATAAATGACCTTCTGTTGGAAAATGGGCTTGTTTCTTGTTTCTATTCAGTAGCCAATATGCCAGAGTACTAAAGTGAAAATAGCACAAATAATGTGGAAATACATTTTTAAAATCTCTTTGGAGAAAAACCCCATTCTAAAAATAGCAACTTAGAATTACATGCATGTACTTTCCCTTTCAGGTTTTTACTCTAACGAATTTAATTCATTCTTAGTTGAGATGACTAAGCTTGAGTCATAATATTCACACAGTGCCATGTCTGTCCTATGAAAAAATAGCAATGTAACTGGAGGTTGGAGTTATATATTTTATTGTAAAACCATCTTTTCCCAAATCTGTTGCTTCAAGATCAAAAAGTTGGTTTAATAAACTACTGCTTCCTTCTACAAATGCATACTTGGGAACTTATAATAGTAACCATTTTCTTTAGGGTGGGTGACGCTGCTAATAGTAGCTTTGTCTGTGCTGTAAGTATTCTCCAGGTAGTTGTGTGTTTTTTTTTTTTTTTTTTTTTTTTTTTTTTTTTTTTTTTTTTTTTTTTTGAGACGGAGTCTGGCTCTGTCACCCAGGCTGGAGTACAGTGGCGTGATCTCCACTCATTGTAAGCTCCACCTCCTGGGTTCACGCCTTTCTCTTTTCTCAGCCTCCCGGGTAGCTGGAACTACAGGCGCCAGCCACTACGCCAGGCTAATTTTTTGTATTGTTAGTAGAGATGGGGTTTCACCGTCTTAGCCAGGCTGGTGTCAAACTCCTGACCTCGTGATCCGCCCACCTCAGCTTCCCAAAGTGCTGGGATTACAGGCATGAGCCACTGCACCCGGCCTGGTAGTTGTGTTTTAATAAGCAGACCAGGTAACACATTTATTTGTCTGTATTTTAGGTCAAATTATCTTACATGTTCGTCAGCTTCTAATAGGAAAATTTCCGTGGTATATTAAGTTGGGGAAGAGAGATCTAATGTGATTGAGATACCAGTATTCAGTACACCTTTTATTTAGGCATTGCTTTATTTGCTCACACTTACTAAATATACTTTCTTTCATTTCTGTCTGGGAAAGCTTCTTTAGGGTGTGTGTGAGAATATTTCAAAAAGCAACTCTTTGTCTAATAGAAAATTCCAGCAAATATCTGTAATATAAGGAATTTTTTACACTGATTAAATTTCCCTGTGTTTCTCCAGCAGGTAGATGAAACTCAAGAGAAAAGGTGTGGATAAATGAAACTAGCCCATGATGAACCTGTTTTCTCCGTGACCACAATATTAACCAGGATGAATGGCGGTAAGAATATTGAGACTTAACCACTAAACCAGCAATGCTAAAACCAGAGACCCTAGTGAAACACAAGAATATATAGTCATTGTGTAGTTCATATATGTTACCTCACTTTCTTATTTATTATAGCTCTCCATAGAGATGTGGTGTGGTGTTAACAAAAATAACACAGAATGTGGTAAATTTACTTTCTTGCCCATATATAATCCCAGAATTATAGGGGCTTAAATATATACACCATTTCTACTCAGTTCTTAATGACTTCACTTTAGACCAAGTTGAGATTATTTCAAAACCAGCATTGGCTATATATTTTCCATTGACACAGCCAGTACATAATTTGTAGCTGTGACTTACAATTCGTGGATACAAGGGGTAGAATTTTCTCTTACCAATGTTAGATTTGCATGATGTAAAAATTTGTTCATGTCCTGTTTTGAATGCCCAGTTCTTTAAGATTTTTCTGTATTTGATTCTTAGGAGAATTATGTGACCATTGTGCTTATTGTTCTCGAAGTATAGATATTCAACACATATTTATTGAGTTTTTATCATGCTTAAGGCATGTGGAGTAGATAAAGGCATACTCCCTGCCCCAATTACTATCCATAATAATTGATATGGTCTTTTGCTAATAATTTAACGGATTATATTTTCTTAATATAATGTATTCATGTGATTTTTATTAATATTACTATATTGGGACTTTAAGATAAAAAGAAAATATATTTAATTTTTCCTTGCTGTTCACTTTTTGAAAAAATGCTTGGAATTGAGGCTGGGTATGGTGGCTCACGCCTGTAATCCCAGCACTTTTGGAGGCTGAGGTGGATGGATCGCTTGAGCTCAGGAGTTCGAGACTAGCCTGGGCAACATGGTGAAACCCTATCTCTACAAAAAGAATACAATAATTAGCCCAGCTTGGTGGCATGTGCCTGTGGACCCATCTCCTTGGGAGGCTGAGGTGGGAGGATCACTTGAGCCGGGGAGGTCAAGGCTGCAGTGAGCTGAGATTGCGCCACTGCACTCCAGCCTAGGAAGCCTGGGAGATAGGAATTGTAATTTGGGGACAGCCTAAATTATAGTATTATTTAGTATGTATCTTAAATAAATAGAATATGGCATTTGCTAACTTTATCTTATTATTTTCTTTTCTTTTCTTTTCTTTTCTTTTTTTTTTTTTTTTGTAGAGATGGGTTTCATTATGTTGCCCAGGCTGGCCTTATACTCCTGGCCAGAAGCGATTCTCCCACCTTGGCCTCCCAAAGTGCTGGGATTACAGGTGTGAGCTATAACACCCAGCCATGTTTGCTAACTTTAAATCAGTACTTAAAAAAAATCTTAGAGTTTTTCTTAATACTTCAAAATATTTTGTTTAAATTAAATGTGTCAATTTAGTTATCTCCTTGCAAATAACATTGTTTTCTGAAAAGTGACCTTTATGTTGTTTAATTGAGCAAAAAGCACATTCATATTTCGAAAACTCAGCTAACAAAGTCTGTTTTAAAGTTAGGAACTACACTAAGAATAAAGGCAAAACATGTTTTCATAAATATGTATGTGTATAAATATAATTATAAAATTTGTTTTGTTTTTTTTTTGAGACAGGGTCTCTGTTGCCTGAGCTGGAGTGCAGTGGTGTCAACACAGCTCACTGCAGCCTTGACCTCTTGGGCTCAAGTGATCCTTCCGCCTCAGTCTCATATGGAGCTGGGACCACAGGCATGCGCCATTATGCCCAGTTAATTTTTTAATTTTTTGTAGAGACGGGGTCTCACTTTGTTGCCTGGACTGGTCTTGAACTCCTGGGCTCAAGCGAACCTCCCGCTTTGGCCTCCCAAAGTGCTGGGATTACAGGTGTGAGCCACTGCGCCTGGCCTGTTTTCATAAATATTAAAAAAAAATACCTATGTTTGGTCTTGACCATACATTAGCTTTGATGCTGATGCTAATATTGTTGAACTTATTATAGCATTGAACATATTTTTATAACTCACTAAAATTTTTAAAAAGATGCTAAGAATAGTTATCTCTTGCACAAGGAGAAGTGGGTTGTTGATATATTTTCCAACAAATTTGACCAGTGCAGATAGCTTTTTTATTTTTTTTTTGGAGATGGAGTTTCGTTCTTGTTGCCTGTGCGATCTCGGCTTACCGCAACCTCTGCCTCCGAGGTTCAAGTGATTCTCCTGCCTCAGCATCCCTAGTAGCTGGGATTACAGGCATGTGCCAGCACACCCAGCTAATTTTGTATTTTTAGTAGAGATGGAGTTTCTCCATGTTGGTTAGGCTGGTCTCGAACTCCCGACCTCAGGTGATCTGCCCGCCTCGGTATCCCAAAGTGCTGGGATTACAGGCGTGAGCCACCATGCCCGGCCATCAGATAGCTCTTTTAGATAAAGAGGTTAACAAAAATACCACCATTCTTTCCATAATAATTGCAGTCTTTCTGGACTTAATTGTGCAATTTCTTCTACTTCTTTATATGTAGATATAGGAGCAAATTTCAGTTCACAGGTATTGAAATTCATATGGGAATATAATTTGTATCTTTTGTAGATTGTTTGCATGATATAACAAGGTCCTTTTGAATTTGGTGATTTGTTAGGTTTTGCATTATTTAAATATTTCTCAAAAGAAGTATGTGAATTCAAAATATGTATTTTCTTCAATTAGCTGATTTTTGAGATGTATATTTTACAAGATTTATATTTAAAAGAGATAAACAAACACATCACTAGTTCCTGGTAGAAGGTTCAGTGGATTATACCATCCTATTTGAGTTAAATTCATATGACTCTAAATTGTAAAGGTAGTTTTTCTGGACTGGCTAAAGCTTACAAATTTGAGGGAATAAAGGAGTGGTATTGTAGAGCTTTGAAAGCTGCATACCAACTAATGTCAACGACAAAGCCAAAAGTCACTGAGATCCTGTTTGTATTTTAGTTCCAAGATTAGGTTTTGAATGTGTTTTGAGTTTTGACAAATAGTTTTAAAATTCGGAAAGTCCTACATTTTATAGTCAGGAACTAGCCAAAGGCAATATTTTGTGTACAGTATACGTGAACAAGACTTTTGTTCTTACATGAGCTTGCTTAATTATTTTTCCTACCCAAGAGAAGTGTAAAAAAATCCTTAATTTATAAACATTCCTTTTAATAAAAATAGTAAAGCCCTATTATTATTATTAATATCTGTTAAGCACATTTCATATATCATCTAATTTCTTCAGTTTTTATAAAATGTAAAACTACCATTTTATTGATGAAGAGTTTGAAGCTCAAACATGGTTAAGTAATTTGCTCAAGTCATATACAGGCATATTTTGTTTTATTGTGGTTCATTTTATTGTGCTTCACAGATACTACGTTTTTTACAAATTGAAGGTTTGTGGCAACCCTGTATAGAGTATGTCTATTGGTGCCATTTTTTCAACAGTATGTGTCACTTAGTGACTCTGTGTCATAATTTGTAAATCTCACACTATTTCAAACTTTTTCATTACTACAGTATCTGTTAGGGTGATCTGTGATCTTCGATATTAGTAATGTAATTGTTTTGAGGTGCCACAAATTGAGCCCGTTGAAGACAGCAAAGCTAATTGATAAATGTGTGTATTCTGACTGCTCCACTGATCAGCCATTCCTCTTTCTCTCCTTGGGCCACCCTATTCCCTGAGACACAATAAGATTGAAAGTGTTGTGCCAGTTAATAACGCTAAAATGGGCTTCAAGTGTTCAAGTGAAAGGAAGAGTCACACCTCCTTTACTTTAAGTCAAAAGCTAGAAATGATTAAGCTTAGTGAGGAAGGCATGTCAAAAGCCAACACAGGCCAAAAGCTAGGCCTCTTGTCAAACATCCAAGTTGTGGAAGCAAAGGAAGTTTTTGAAGGAAATTAAAAGTGTTATTCCAAGGAAAACACAAACAAAAAAGCAAAACAGTCTTATTGTAGAGAAATTGTGAGTGGTCTGGGTAGAAGATCAAACCAGCCACAATATTAGGTGAAAGCCTAATCTAGAACAAAGCCCTAACTCTCTTCGATTCTGTGAAGGTTGAGGAAGTTACACAGAAAATGACTGAAGCTAGCAGAAGTTGGTTCATGAGGCTTAAGGAGAGAAGTGGTTTCCAGAACATAAAAGTATAAGTAAGTATACAGCAAGTGTTGCTGTAGAAGCAATAGCAAGTTATCCAGAAGATCTAGCTAAGATCATTGACAAAAGTGGTTACAACAAACAACATATTTTCAGTGTAGATGAAATGGCCTTCTATTGGAAGAAGATGCTATCTAGGACTTTCATAGCTAGAGCAGAGAAGTCCAATGCCTGATTTCAAAGCCTCAAAGGACAGACTGATTCTTGTTAGAGGCTAAACCAGCTGGTGACTTTAAGATGAAGCCAATGCTCATTTGCCATTCCAAAAATCCTAGGGCCTTTAAGAATTATGCTAAATCTTCCATGCCTTTGCTTTTTAAACGGAACAGCAAAGTCAGGATGACAGCACATGTGTTCATCACATAGTTTATTGAATATTTTAAACCCACTGTTTTAGACTTGCTGCTTAGAAAAAAGATTCCTTTCAAACTATTACAGCTCCTTGACAGTGTACCTGGTCACCCAAGAGCTCTGAGGGAGATGTACAAGGAGATTAATATTGTTTTCATGTCTGCTAATACAACATCTGTTCTATAGCCCATAGATCAAGGAGTAATTTCAACTTTCAAGTTTTATTAATTAAGAAATACATTTTGAGTCTAAGAGTAGTGGCTCATGCCTGTAATCCCAGCACTTTGGGAGACCGAGGCAGGTGGATCACCTGAGGTCAGAAGTTTGAGACCAGCCTGGCCCACATGGTGAAACCCTGTCTCTACTAAAAATACAAAAAATTAGCTGGGCGTGGTGGCACACACCTGTAATCCCAGTTACTAGGGAGGCTGAGGCAGGAGAATTGCTTGAACCCAGGGGGTGGAGGTTGCAGTGAGCCGAGATTGCACCACTGCACTCCAGCCTGGGCGATAGAGCAAGATTCCATCTCAGAAAAAAAAAAAAAAAAAGAAATACATTTTATAAGGCTATAGCTGCCATACGTAGTGATTCCTCTGATGCATCTGGGCAAAGTCAATTGAAAGTCTTCTAGCAAAGATTCACCCTTCTAGCTGCCGTTAACAACGTTTGTGATTCATGGGAGGAGCTCAGAATATCAACATGGACAAGATATTGGAAGAAGTTGATTCCAACACTCATGGATGACTTTGAGGGGTTCAGGACTTTGGAGGAGGAAGTAACTGCAGATGTGGTAGAAATAGGGAGAACTATAATTAGAAGTAGGGCCTGAAGATGTGACCGAATTGCTGCAATTACATGATTAAACTCGAATGGATGAGTTGTTTCTTACGGATGAGGAAAAAAAAGTGGTTTCTTGAGATGGAATGTACCCTGGTAAAGATGCTGTGAACACTGTTGAAGTAATAACAGATTTAGAACATTATATAAACTTAGTTGATAAAGCAACAGCAGGGTTTGAAGGGATTGACTCCAGTTTTGAAAGAAGCTCTACTGTGGGTAAAAATGCTATCAAACAGCATTGCATGCCACAGAGAAATCTTTCATTAAAGGAAGAATCAATCAATGGGGCAAACTTTATTGTCTTATTTTAAGAAATTGCCACAGCTACCCAAACTTCGGCAATCACCACCTTGATCAGTCAGCAGTCATCAACTTCAAGGCAAGACTCTCCACTAGCAAAAAGATTACATCTCACTGAAAGCTCAGATGATCATTCACATTTTTTTTTTTAGCAATAAAGTATTTTAAAATTAAGGTGTGTACATAGTTTTTTAGACATAATGTAATTACATATTTAATAGACTTCATTATAGTGTAGACATAACTTTTATGTGCACTGGGAAACAAAATTTGTGTGACTTGCTTTGTGCAATGTTTGCTTTATTGCTGTGATCTGGAATTAAACTTGGAATATCTTCAAGATATGCCTGTAACTAGTGAGTGACAGAGCAAGGATTTGAATTGAAGTATGTGTTACTTCAGAGCCCATTCCTGGTCTATACCAATATTATTGCTCATCAAGTAACTCATTATACTATGTTTTGGTTGTATTATGGGTCAGATCACATTTTCACAGCATGAAAATTCACGAAGCAGCTCTACGCATTACCAAGAAAAATTTATATAACTTCATTTTACTCTCTTATCCTAATATCTATAGAATGATTACATTCTCTGATGTTTGATTATGTGATGCTGTCTGTATAAATGATACTATATAGGATGAAGGATGAATCATGTTTATTCTTAGAAGTTTTTGGCACTAGATTGGCTTAGCTATTAAATAGCACATTTGCTACCAGAGTGAGAAATGAATAGCAAGATATTTTTTTGATTTGTAATCTTACAAATGTTTTTGTTTTTAGTGACTTTCAGCAAAAGAAATCATGGTTTCCCTTAGTAGTTGTGTTATTTTGCTATGGTGGCTATAACAAAATACCACAAACTGGGCGACTGACTCAACAGAAATCTATTGTCTCTCAGTTCTGGAGGATAGAAGTCTGAGATCAAGGTGTTGGTTCTTTCTAAGGGGTATGAGGGAGAATCTGTTCCATGGTTCTTTGCTAGCTTCTGGTGGTTTGCTGGCAATCTTTGACATTTTGTGGCTTACAGTCTATCACTGTGATCTCTGCCTTCACATGGTGTTCTTCCTGTGTGCATGTCTGTCTCTGTGTCCAAATCTACCTCTTTGTAAGGATACCAGTCACATTGGATTAGGGCCCACCCTAATGATTTTGTCTTGATTATTTGCAAAGATCCTGTCTCCAAATAAGGTCACATTCACAGGAGTCGGAGGTTAAGGCTATAACATATTTTGGGGGGAAACAATTCAACCCATAGCAGTAGGCAACTTTTCTGAAGATAGATTCGAAAACTCTTTAGTAGTGGTTATATACATAAGTTTGTTTATCAAAACGTTGGAATAATGATATGTGCGTATGTCCATAAATGGGTCATGTATGAACATTTGCTTTGGAATAGGACTGACTTGCACTAGTCTGTTCTTATATAAAAACTGTAGGAAGAACAAACAGGAGAACTCCTGAAGATGGTTTTCAATAAATTAAATATGATTGGATGTAAAAATGTATGGAGCAGGTAATGCGTGTTTGAGATAAGTGTAACTGGTAGTACGATGAAGTTGAGATTTAGATGGGCATTCGGGGCCAGAGAGTGCTACAGAAGCAGAAAGAACATGGGATAAAGTCCTGATGTAGGAATAAATACTTTAGGGATAGTGAGCTGTGGTGGTGAAGAAGGCTTTGGGCTCAGTTATATTGTCAAGGGATCCTGGGTGAGGCTCTTTAGGGTTAATGCAAGTTTTAGCTATCACAGCTTCGAGAAATTGTTGTAGAATTTATTTTTAATTTTATTATGTAGAACATTTGGAATATATCAATGACAAGAAGAAAAACATGACCTCTAATGCTACTACTCATTATTAATATTTTCACATGTTGATATTCCTGTGTCAAATTCCTGCCACTTTTTAATTGAGATTATATTACATAAACAGTTTTCTAAAATAAATTAGTGTCTGTAGTATTGTCTAAATATGTACCTGGATTTGAGACTTAGTGGGTAACAGACCTAATGGTCATTGGTGATGAGTTGGGTCACCATAACTCCATATACCATTAGGTCAAGCCAGCTTTGTCTTGTGTGATTTAGTCCATTGCCTTCAGTCTTGTTCTTCCTCCCATCTTTCATACTGCTGCCAAGATCTTTTTAATGATCACTTCACTTTCCTGTCTTCACTCCTTTAGTCAGAATACAGGTTCAGCTTTTTAGCATATAAGTCATCTCCGTTATCTTTCTCCTGCCTTTGTCTTCTTATTTGCTGCTTTCCCAAAAAGCTACTTGAAATTCTCAGAATATTATGTGCCCTTTTGTACCTCCCTAACTTTTTACCTTATTTCCACTAAGAATGCTTTTTCTGTACTTGTCTCTCTGTCCAGCAGCAACTCATTCTTTAAAGCCAGTTTTTCCTTCCTTTTAGTATCTGTAGTACTTTCTATAAAACTTATTATAGAACTGGTTACAGAGTATTATAGTAGCCAGTTTTAACCTTAATTTCTTACTAGACTGAGTTATTTGTTCGGCTAGGCGTTGTAGAAATTGGAAACCAAAATGAAGAGGAACTTTAGGAGTTTGCAATCTAGTGGAAGACATCCAATTTTGGTGAGTTGGTGGGGGATGATAATGGAAAGCTGTTAAAGAGAATATGCTTGCTGCATGACCCATTAAAACAGAATTGTGACTGGAAATGTTTATATGGTGTCTTAAAATTAATGAATTTTATTTGTTTGCAGGTGGCAGTGGGCCTGCATCACAGGTTGCAGCAGATGTTCTCAATATTTCTATTAAAATTTCCTTATTTCCATATGCAAGAGGAGCCCCAGAGCTGCATCCTTATGGTAGCTACCATGCCGTGGTAGGTGATGTTGTACTTTTCCACATCATCCTTCCTGTGCTAACAGAGGATCTGGGTTAGAATCTAGCTGTTTGTTTTTGTAAACAACTATGGAGCACTGAAAGAAGAATGTTTCAATAATATCTAAATTGTGATTTCTTTGAGGTTATGTACTATGCCTTGTTATTTTTATACTTGTTCACAGAACCTCTAAATAGTGCCTTGCTCATCATAGGCACTTAACATTGTGATTTTGTTTTACTTATATCTAGTTTTAATGGCTTCTTATTAATTTTTAAGTTGTTAATCTAATTTCTTATTCTTCTAAATAATAAATAAGCATGTAACATTAATTTTACTTACAAACAATGTCTTCCAGTAATATTTTATCAGCTTCTCAGCTTTATGAAGGAGATTCAACTAGAAACTGATAAAATTCCATATCAGGAGTCAGTAGAACTATTTTATTGTAAAACCTCGGTATTAACAAGAATGAACACTGTAGCTAGTAACTAAAATATTTTTTCTTCATAAAAAATGGAAGTGTTTTTCAGAATTCTAGGAAATGTCAAAGTAATTTTGGCTGTAGTCATATTACATTTAATGGTATAGAGAATATTTCTAACATTAACAACAATATTCTGTAATTTCCTCAGTTATTGCTACTGGTGATGAGGGATATAAAGTTGGCATGCTTTCATGTTTTGAGCATCATCATTATATACTTCTGATTTTGCAAGTCAGAAACAATCTTCGTTTTAGTTAAGATAGCTGAGAACATTCTGAGGCAGGGGGTCAGGCTTTCATTATTTGCATATTTAGGTAAGTAATATATAGACTACAATGAATTGATCAGAGTAACTACATATATCATTTTTAATGAAAGAATCATACAGTATTTATACATTTCTGTGACTTTTTAAAAGTTTATCAGAATATGGTAGTTTGGGACCAAGGGCATAGGTTTTATTTCTGTATAGATCATTTTATTTTGTTATTTTCTGTGACCACTGGTAATAATCATCTTACAGATGTAAGCTGCCATTCACTGGGGAGCTTTGGCAATAGAATTGGCTAGATCAGGAAGCCTATGTCAACTATGGAACAACAACTTGCAGCTCATCTCTATTGATGGTGAGTCAGTGTCATCTTAATACATGAAGGATCATGTTAATGTTATTTTATCTTCGCAGCATTATCAAACAACAGTTTGTCTTAAACTTTGTTTTATGAGACATTATTGGAATGTTGAACCATGATGCTTCATTACTTGAACCCAAAGGACAACAAAGAAATCAGCACAACAGTGAAAAATAAAGGAAGTTATAATTTGTTATCTGTGAATATACTTAAAATTTGTTTGAGTAGCTTCTGTCATCTCCATTCTCATTCCTTATAACACATGCCAGCTAACTTGTAATTCATGACTCTTATTTGAATACATACTGATTAGAAAAGAGTGATATTGATCACATATGTTGTATACTTATTTTAAAAATATATTACTAGGCCAGGTGTGGTAGCTTATGCCTGTAATCCCAGCACTTTGGGAGGCCAAGGCGAGATCACTTGAGGCCAGAAGTTCGAAACCAGCCTGGCCAACATGTTGAAATCCTGTCTGTACTAAAAACACTTCACTTGGGAAGCTGAGGCACGAGAATTGCTTGAATCTGGGAGGCAGGGGTCGCAGTGAGGTGAGATCACGCCACTGCACTCCGGCCTGGGTGACAGAGCAAGACTGTGTCTCCAAAAAAAAAAAAAAAAAAAAGTGTATTACTGATATCAGGAAATTTCAGGAAAGATTCTCTTCCATTTTCAAATAGGTTATTTAGTCAGTCAATGGGTGGCCATCGTTAATGCTTGTTGCAAGTTTGCTATTCCAGAGACATAGTGCTTGACTTCTATATATTTAATATTACTACAAGAGTCAGTAGTATATCTACATAGCTATCTGCAGTTCAGGGTCAATATAATTTGATAGTATTTAATAATCATAACTTCATTTTGCTGTACTAATTACATTTATAATTTGACCAAATCTTATATAATCATGAAGTATATATACATATGTGTGTGTATGTGTAAGTAACTTGCTACAGTCACTTATGTTGCTTTGGCCCTCTTTATTCTAGTTGCTTTCACTTGAGTTATCACCATTGTCAGGTTGTCAAAGTAAATTTTCTTTACAGTCTTGCTTTGCTCGTGTCCTTTTTTTTTTTTTTTGTAATTGTTATTATCTTTCAATTTTTCTTCTTTACAGTATAAACAAATCCCAAGGTCAAAAATTTGTAGGACTGATGCTCACTGAAGTCAAAACTACTTTTAGTTATGAGGAAGAGGATCCTTATCCTACAAGTACATGACATCACCTGATTATAACTAGCCTAACCATCAATATGAAATGTTTTTGAAAGAGGCTTCTGGCAGCCTTTTCCCTTACCACCCAACATGTAACATGTACTTCTTACATGTTAAACCCCAGTTAAACTGACTAGCTTGTATTTATCCTACCATGATAAGGTATTTTGCACTTTTGGCTTCATTCATATTCTCGTTCTTACCATTATAGTCTTTCCTCTTTGCTCCCTGATAGGTACCAACTTTCATTCAAGATTGAGCTTGGTGAACACTTTGAAGTCCTCTACTGACCTCTGTCACTGACATTTCCAAGATATAGATCTCTTCTAGAGCCTGTATTTCATTGTTCTTATTTACTTATGTCTTCTTCTTACTAGACTGTAGATTTCTTAAGGGCAAGTACAAAGACTATGTTTTAAATTCATCTTTATATCCCCAATTTCTAGCATAATACCTGGCAAGAGTAGGAGCTTAATGAGCATTTGTGGAATGAATGAATGAATAAGCTAAATAGGAAAGAAAAGGTGATTCTAGCAGTTGGTCTGATAATGGTGATAACGTGAATTCCCAAGTGGAGTGCTGCTACGCTTTTCAGGGAATATTCAGTGTGGAAAACAGTATCTTTCCCAAGGTCTCACCATAATTATACTAGTTTCTTGGAGTCAATGTATAATGTGTGTCTGGAATTTTGTTATTTTGAAAAACCAAGCATTTATTATTGGAAATTTACCCACAAAGTTTATACAGCTGAATTTAAAAAATAAATATTAGATTTCAATAATGAGTATAATGGAACTTAAGAACTCTATTACTTTCCCTAAGGAGATCTTGTCTTATAATCAGTCTAAAGTTGGAAAAGGACCCTTCTGCTTGAAAATTATGAAGAGTAAATCAAAGGAGGAGCCCATTTGTTATCATATTTAAAGTTCAATTTACTTTAAAGCTGTGTAGTTCTGTGTCATGCAGTGCTGATGAAAAAGCTTATAATGGCCAATATTGTCAGAATGGCACATTCTTACATGGCTCAGTAGTTTACACTTTGAAAAACACTCATTTATCACATTACCCCTTTAGTAATATGTCAGGCTATAAGTTGATTTTATATTTTGTCTATTTACTGAGATTTTATTAATTAGAGGTTAAATGTTCTTTGACTATTGTATTATAATATAGTTTTAACTGAGGAATTACAATGAAGATACTAAAAGGAAGCTTAAGGTTTCTGGTATTAACTAGGTTCTGTTAAATGATTTTACTTGTTTTAGAATATATAGAAATATACTGAGTTAGAATGAGTGGCGTATTTTCTAAATAATTCAAATAAAATGGGGAGAGAGAGGAGGAGATTGGAAGGAATGAAATTTTCCTGTTCAAGCTGTAAACACTAAAACCTTTAATTTTGTAGGAAGACATTATATACTCTGGTCATTCAACTTGTGTATCCTTAGTCTATTTAGTAGTCAAAAACTTCTAAGTAAATATGTGTGATTTAATTTGTGCTGCTGAGAAACAGTGATCAAAAATGGCAATAAAAGTCACATAACGAAATAAGAATACTAAAAAAAAAAAAACCTAAGAATTTTACTGTGTCCCATTCTTCATTCAATTTCTGGCAGCCTTCATGATTACAAATCACTTGATTAACTAACTAGACATTATCAAAGTGAATTATGAATCAGGTTCATTTTTCCTGGTTGATAGTTGACACATGCTGTAACTTTCACTTTGTGATATATCAAATTCTTGTAACAGTAATAAGAGATATAATCAGCTCTTTATTTCAGGAAAACTACATTGCCTTTTAAAAAAATGAAATGCACTTGCTAACATTTTAACAACACAATGTAATTCCTGCCTTCGGATTTCAGGGTGGAATCCACAGTGATGATGTTATTTTTCAGATTAAAAAAAGTCTTTAGAATGATTTTCTGACAGGCATAAAACTGTTGATATCAGTTCTATAGGCTGCCTGGGCAGTTGCCTGAGCCTAGTTGCAAAACAGTTAGATTTTCTCTTCTTCTTATTTAAAAAATGCGTGATAGAGAAATTGTGCATTTTTAAAACATTTTCCTTGGAAGGAAATGTAGTTTTCCCTAAATACCCAATTTGCAATGAGGCCATGATGTTGCAAACTTAAAAATGTGGAGCATTCTAATGGTTATTAATAGGGAGGGTCTCTTTTTGAGTAGGGAAAAGGGCCCATAGTGACCTGAATCTTGAGTATTTCCATTCGTTAAACCGAATGAAGGGGGTCAACTCTGCTTTCAAATATATTCTGCTCTCTTTTGACTTAATAAGAATTCTTCATGCATAACTCTACTGGCAACTGAGTAGTAGAAAATTCCTTTAGTATAACTGTATTTTCTTTAATCCCATTTATCCAAGTGATTGAAAATAAAATGGGCACTCTTTTTTTTTTTTAATTATACTTTAAGTTCTGGGATACATGTGCAGAACATGCAGGTTTGTTACATAGGTATACACATGCCATGGTGGTTTGCTGCACCCATTAACCAGTCATTTACATTAGGTATTTCTCCTAATGCTATCCCTCCCCTTGCCCCCAACCCCTCGACAGGGCCCCGGTGTATGATGTTCCCCTCCCTGTGTCCATGTGTTCTCATTGTTCAGCTCCCACTTATGAGTAAGAGCATGCAGTGTTTGGTTTTCTGTTCCTGTGTTAGTTTGCTGAGAATGATGGTTTCCAGCTTCATCCATGTCCCTGCAAAGGACATGAACCCATCCTTTTTTATGGCTGCATAGTATTCCATGGTGTATATGTGAAAATGGGCGCTCTTTAATGTGATTGATATATTAAGAATTTGAGAATCCTGCACAAAATTCAGTCTTGAGAATCCTGCACAAAATTCAGTCATTCCCTTAGTAAAAGTGAAGTCACTTCACTGAAAATTCTCATGCATGGGAATGTAGGGCCTGAACTGTGTGTCATTATGAGATCCTCTTACTAATTAAAAAAATTGTATATGAGAAAGTAATTCTGTGTTTCTCATGAAGGCAGACTCATCAAAAGTTAATGGAAGCTTTGTGTATATAAGGACCATAGAATTGTACTGCTTTACTTACCCCCATGTAAAAGCAGAGTAATTAGTACCTCAGAGTTTCAGTGCCTTTCCCCTTACTTTCTTTGTTTTCCTTTGTGAATAAGATTTATTCTATTAGAGCTAAAAATTGTTTTCTTGCTATTTCATTGTCTTTATAAGGATATATTTTATAAAAAATCCCTTCTGAGTAATATTCTGAATTTATATGAACGTATAGAATAGCAATGTGTTGTTACACATAGTTGTATAAACATGGCAATTTTTTATCTTAGTATTTTGTTCTCTTTAAAATTATCTAAAGTTCTTGAATTTATGCTTTGGCTACCTTGAAATTTAATTTTCAATCCCCTAACACTATTAATTTTATGCTTAGTAGTTAAAATTGCTATTAAACATCTTTTATGGGATTAAAGTCTTATTCATGATTAGGCAATGAATTATATATATAATCAGTTATTACATTCATTTAAAAATTATGACTATTAATCCTCCAAATATGTTTTTAACATATGTTATACCCTGGTATAATTGAAATTAAGGAATTAGAAATGGAGAGACAAAGCATCAATTTACTTGTTTATTTTTTATGTATTTATTTTTCTTGAGGCAGATTCTCACTCTTATCATCCAGGCTGGAGTGTGGTGGCATGGTCTTGATTCACTGCAACCTTTGCCTCCCGGGTTCAAGTGATTCTCCTATCTCAGCCTCCCAAGTAGCTGGGATTACAGGCATGTGCCACTACACCCAGTCAATTTTTTTTTTTTTGTATTTTTAGTAGAGACAGGGTCTCACCATGTTGGCCAAGCTGGTCTCGAACTCCTGATCTCAAATGATCCACCCACCTTGGCCTCCCAAAGTGCTGGAATTACAGGTGTGAGCCACCGTGCCTGACCCAGTTTATTAATTATAGAAAAAAACTTTAAGTCTTTTTTAACTTTAGTAGGTTTTGTGAGAAAACCATAAACTGAACTGGAGCTGTAAAATAATGCCATTCTCCAGTCTGACTCTGTACTTTCTACGTTTTGACATAGCTGGACATTTGGAATCTAGAGGCATTGTTGTTCTTCTGTAGACATACTGAGGTAAACGATATATGGTAAAATGGGCTTTTGTTGCTGTGACTAGACCATAGATGTGGGAATGAAAGAAGAGCAGGGGAAAGCAGGAGACAGAAAATATTTTTTTTTGACCACATAAATTGATTGAATTAGCTTGATTGTTTATATTGATTAAATAGATTGCTAGGTTGTTTCCATTTGTGATGTACAACTTGATGCTTAATTGCTCCCATTGAGCAATTTAGTAATAGGACAGTCATTGAGAGAGGAAATGAAATATCTGGAGATTTCCTTCAGGAAAACTGAAGGAAAATATTTAAGAAGGAATTTCTGGTTTTTGCTTTTCTAAGTAAGTGTGTAAAGTGGTCAGGATGTCCAGTATAAATAAAATCTGCCAGCCTTACGTTCCACGATTTTTATTTTAACCCTTGACACTGATTCTCTCTCCCTTTTTCCGATTGACATGTGCAAGACAATAACATTTGCATTTTTGTAACATGGTCCAAGTGTCTCACATTACATAAATTTATATTGTATTTGTCAATATCATTGACACCAATATCATCATATCACCAACATTACATTGGTATGCCTATTCTAGTTTTGTATGTTAACACTGACATTTTCTATTCTGGTGATATAAACAGGTTTTAAATAGTATCTGGTATATTAATATTTATGGCCCTTTTGAATATTTCTGGTTAAATCCTTCCTTGGCCTGGATTTGGTTAGTTCTTTATTTCTCTTGCTTAGGCATATGCTAAAAGTTGGAACTACAGATTAATAGGTATGGAGTACAGAATTATGATATCTTTTTATTACATAAGCACTAAAATAGCATAAGTGTATTTTGTATTATTCTAGGCCTCCTTGCTGTTGATATTATAGATAATATGTAAAATAATTCTTTTAGATCCCCCTTTTAATTGGATTCAATGATATTTGGTTTTGATTCTGAGAAATGTATACATTATTATGCAAAGAGATTCAAGGGACATGGACATTAATGGTGATAGATGTTGGCTGGAATCAGTAATTTTATATTGATATCAAAGAAGAACATAAAGAAGGCATTGTTTTAGTTAAAACTAATGGTCTACAGCGACATGTAATAGCATTTAGTACATTCTACTTTTGATGTCTACCTAGTACTTTAAAGCCTCAAATAATGTACACTTTTGTTGGTGTATCAGTCAGTGTTCCCCAGAGGAACGGAACCAATAAAATACATATATATGCATATACATATGCATATGCATATACATACACACACCCACGCACACACATATATGATTTATTTTAAGAAATTGGCTCACACAATTGTGGGGACTGGCAAGTCTGAAATCTGTAGGGCAGGCTGGCAGGCTGGAAACTCACACAGCAGGTGATGCTGCAGTCTTAAGGCAGAATTTCTTCTCATCCAGGACCCTCAGTTTTTGCTCTTAAGGCCTTCAACTCATGGGATAAGATCCACTCACATTATTAAAAGTTAATCTCTTTTACTTAAAGTTAGCTAATTGTAGACATTAACAACATCTACACAACACTTCACAGTAACATCTAGGTTAGTGTTTGATTAAATAAGTGAGTACTATAGCATAGCCAAATTGATCCATAAAACTAACCATCACAGTTGGTCATTCTCCCCCATCCCCCATTATTTATGTCACAAGTCACAGAAATGGCTAGTGTCAAACTGTCAAACTATCATCAAAGAATATATTAGGCAACTTCCTTGAAACGAAAACGATCAATTCCAGAGATAATAGCTGGCATCCATTTGTTCATTAACAAATATTTATTGAATGCTCTGTATGTGCCAGTAATGAAAAAAAATGACATGCAAAAGCACTTATGGACCCTATTCTTTTGTAGTTTACTGATTAGAGTTGATGCCTAGGAAAGAGGCAAAATGTGGTTGTTAACCCAATGAAAAAACCATTTCCCTCTGACTTGCTTCATGTAAATTTTTATTACATAAATCTTATGATAATTGCAATGTATAAAATAGTCAACCTTCTCTTTAAATAATTTATATTTCTTTGATATTGCTTTCTAGAAATTTTTGAGAAGAGTTTTGGAAAATTTTGATATTTGAGTTCATTGAGTATTTGAAGCACCATGCCCTTTATTTAATCTATAAGTAGAAACTCCTCTCCTTCTGTGTCAGTTTACATTGCCTTTCTGTTTATTGCTCAGTCCATGTACAGTAGTAATAATAATTCTTTCGGTTAAGACTTCTTATATGCTAGATACCTTACAAACCTTCTCTCTGATTCCTGTATTCATAGTTTCATTTTAGAGAGGAGGAAACTGAAGTTCGGAGAGGTTAATTAACTTGCCCACAGTTATACAACCACTAAGTGAAGGAGCAGGAACTCAAACTCAGTCTGTCCGAATCTGAAGACCATGATTTTTTCCTATCCCACTCAGGTTGTCTCTATATAAAACTTCTTAGCAAGGCTCCTGGATCCCTTGGGATAGCCTCTTGTCTGTGTAAAGAGATTCCTAGACTTCCGTGGATGAAATTTCCTATGATCTCTTTTGGTAACGACAAGTGAATTTATTTGACTGACTTTGTCTCCCAAGTAGTATGAGAATTATTATGTGAATTATGTGGGTAGAATGAAATGTTTAACAACTGAGGTTAAGGCAAAATTAATGAAATTAACAACAAAAGAAGAGTAGGTTAAGTAGGTGCTAGGAAAGTATTACAGTGTATCCAGGCTTGGGCCAAAAAATGACTAATGTTTAAAGAAATGCACAGCAGTAAAAGTGTGAGAGAAGGAAGAGAAAAAGAGCAATTTGCCTAAGAGGCAAAAGTGTGGATTAATGCCCACCTACTGCCTTTTATTACTTAATAGAAGTTTAGCATAGAGTAAAATGAATTTGGCCTTAGAGATAGTGGATGTTTCTATTTTGTGACTCTTCCAAAACATTAAGTCATTTTGTGGTACAGAAACACTAATAGCTGGGAATAGTTACAGAGATACTTAATGCTTGTCAAATAACCAAGTACTCCTCTATTTTTCTAGCCACTTTGTAGGGTGATGGGATTGTGGGGGACTGGGGGTAGGTCACCAGTACTTTATGGTGTATCCACAAAATAGCAGAACCTCTGTCAGCCTTGGTTCTTAAGTGAATATGAAGTATAAACCCTCATTGATGAATTTTGTGCACATAGCATTAAGTGAGAAATAAATTTTTGTTGTACTAAGCCGTGGACATTATGGGATGTTTGTTATTAAACGGTGTAACCCATCTTAACTCTATAGGGACTTAAGTGTTCCTCCCTGCTTCTGGCCCTGCTAAACTGTCCTCACACTGCTCCTACTAAGTCTTTAATATCCAATCCATCTCTTCATGTATACTTTTTCTTATCAAAAGCCCCCCATAGGTGCAAACTCTTTGTAGTCATTCTTATAATTTCTGATATCATTGATGTTATTAGATTAGACGTACCTACAGAATAACTCTTTTTTTTTTTTTTTTTTTTTGAGATGGAATCTCGCTATGTCACCAGGCTGGAGTGCAGTGGCGCAACCTCGGCTCAGCGCAACATCCGCCTCCCGGGTTCAAGTGATTCTCCTACCTCAGCCTCCTGAGTAGCTGGGATTACAGGTGCACCACCACGCCCAGCTAATTTTTGTATTTTTAGTAGAGATGGGGTTGCATCATGTTGGCCAGGATGGTCTCGATCTCTTGACTTTGTGATCTGCCCACCTCGGCCTCCCAAAGTGCTGGGATTACAGGCGTGAGCCACTGCACCCGGCCGAATAACTCATTTTTTTGCATGGCTATTACAAATTACTAACAATTACTCTAATTTTATATTTAAGATTAAGACTTTAAGATTAGGATTTCATATAATTTATTAAGATTATTGGAAATTCTTCAGAGTATGCTGCCTGGGGACTCAAAAATAATAGCAGGCTGTGTAAAGTCAACTATTTTGAGATGTCTGTTTCTTCTCCAAGATTAAATTATATAATGTGCCAACCCATATAATTATATATTCTATGGCATAATAGAATCCATGCTAGTTTTTATAATAATTTAGCGTTAATGAAAGTTTCTGTCTTCTAATGATTATGCAACTTTTGACAAATGACTGTAATGCACCATTTGCCTTTTTGTCTTGGCTGCCTGTGAGCTCATTGTGAAAATTAGTTTTCACTTTTATTAATTTCCTGATCTATGGTTCCTCATATAATCATGTTCTATATTTGTTCATTTAATTACTGAGTTCCCACTTATCTTTAGTTTTAAATTAACTTTGTATAAAAATATTTTATTTTATTTTTTGAGCTAGAGTCTCAAATATTTTCATTTCTTAGGTCCTGTTAAGTACTTAGTCCCTCCTTTCCCATTTCTCTTTTCTTGCTTTGCAGGAATCTAATGACCATTGAACTGTGGCCATGACTTCAATTACAAGTATTTTCTTCACTAATGTCAGACTGTGGGCCTTTGTATATACACTTTTAACAAACTTTTTGGAAGTGCAATACATATCGCAACAACTTCTCAATGCTGAATCATAGTATTGGAAGACATTTTAAGCAACAATTAAACTCAACTTATTTACTACCAATAATGTACATAAGTCAGCTGAAGTGAGGATAACATGAATAGCACAAATACATTATGATTGCTGCCTGGCCAACAGTAATTATAAGAAACTGTCAGTTTTGAGATGTGTCTTGATTTCAGAGATGTTAAAAAAGTTTGTAAGTTACCATTGATAAAATATGAGTTTGCTTCCACAAATATTCTTTCTTCTGTCCTTCTGGAACTCAAGAGTAAACATATATTAGATTTTCTCACCATTTCATGCATGCTGGTTCCTAGGCTACTCTCTGAGTCATTTTTTTTTTCTTATCTGCCCTCCAGTTCACTAGTTCTGTCATTTTCTGGGTCTGATCTGCTGCAAATGCAATACATTGAGTTTTAAATTTCAGTCATTGTGTTTTCATTTCTAGAAATTTCATTTGACTCTTTCTCAAATTACTTTTCCATTTTTTTTGTAGTTTCCTATCCCTGGAGATATTTTCAATCATGCCATTTAATTTTTTAAATACGCAAGTGTAGTTTTATAATTTGTGTCTGATAATTCTAATATCTGAAGTCTTAGTAGGTCTGTTTCAGTTGTCCTGTAATTATGCATGTTTTTGCCCATGTTGCTTTGTTTCCTTGTATGCTTGGTTATCTTTCTTACTGCCCTTGCAAAATTATTTGGAGAGTCCTGGAGGCTTAAATGAAGATAACTTTTAGGAATAATTTGCATTTGCTTTTGCCGAGGATCTTGGGATCATTTCAACCAAAATCTTAGCTTGAAATTCCGCAATCAATCAAGGTGATGAGAACCTGGTCAGTAAATCCTAATGAGGGCCAGGCTGTGGCCAAAGATTTTTAGACAGATGTTTCCCTCCTTTGCCATTTCTCTTTTCTTTCCTCCTCTGCTCCTCTTAGTGTCCAGACAACCTTCATGGAAGTCCTTGGGGTGGGTGGGAAATGAGGACGGCAGGTTTCATTCTAGGTATAGCCCTTTGAGGTCTAACTTAATGCAGAGAGAGTTTTCTGGTCTATGTGCCACCTTACATGGGATCTTGAGCCTTGATTTCTAAACCCCTTGCCTTTGATGTTTCAGAATTGAAGCTTAAATTTGCCAACAGGCAAATGTCCTCAAGGCAAATTGGCTTAGGTGTTCGATATTCTTCTTACCAGAAAGGTAAACTTGGGTTTTTTACTTCACCCAGGATTTGGCATGACAGTTCCCCATTATCTTGTCAGCTTAGTGCTTTAAGTGATTGCATTTAAAAAAATTCTGCATTTTCAGTTTTTAGCAGGAGGAATGGCCTCAACTAGTGGTTTTCAACTGGGGATGATTTTTTTCCCCTAGGGGACATTTGATAATGTTTGGAGATGTTTTAGTTGTTAGAACTGGGGTTGGGGGAACTACTGTCATCTGGTGGGGAGAGACCGGCAATGCTGTTGATCTTACTATAATGCACAGGCCACCCCCAACAACAAACAAATTACATAGCCCCAAATATCAATAATGCCAAGGTCCAAATAACCTAACCTTCCATTACTGAAAATAGAAGTTCAAGAAGATAGTTTATAATTTAAAAATTTTTAGGTCTTAATAAGTTGTCATACTTTCACAGGTTTTATTTCATACTAAGTAATTTATTTCAAATTTTACATTCCAATTACAGAAAATTTTCTAAGCCAGTTTTTGTTCTTCATGAGTATTACTATCAAGGTCACATTTTTCATCTAGTATGTTTTACCCTGGTACTTGTTGGCAGGGTCAGGACTAAGGTGAGATGCGCAAGGCATTTGCCTCACACAAAATGCACAATGAATAAAATGTCAAAACTTTAAATAAAGACAGAATCACTAAAAGTACTTTGCCATATTGGAACCTGAGGCAAAAAGAAAAATAAGTAATAATATTTAAAATTTTGATCTCTTGTTCATTGTAGATTTTTACATTAATTTTGATTGTTTAAAACATTGCATTAAAATATTATTTAATGTGTTTGCTGAGTTTTTTTTTGACACCCCCTTAAATTTGCACCAATGTGAGTGTCTTGCTTTCCTTATTTGATTCCTGCCCTGCTTGTTATTGAGTCAGTCTGGTTGGGTAGCTCATACAGGATGGAGAGGCCAGGGCTGACAATAGGTTTCATTTCTCAAGCAGGACAGGTGGAAAGGTTGCTGTCCTAATAAAGGGGTAGTGGAAGGTTTGAGGGACAATGGTGCTGATGTTCAAATTTTCGATTATATCCAGTTATACTTTGAGTAAAAACTGTTGTTCAGGGGATCCAGGGTAAAGTTGCAAAGTCCCCACAGGTATACCAACCAAGCAGTAAGAAACTGAGTTGGTGATTCCAATTTAAGAGAGCAGTCATATAGGAAGAAGTCCATTGATACATTTAGGGAGGAGGCATAGCCACTAGGTTTAAGACCACAGCTATCAGGATTAGGGTTATTGATTTCCATTGAGGGAGACTGAAAGACCATGGCTTAACATACTGTTGTTCCCAGGAGGAAAAAGTATAGTGAGAACTCATTTATTCTGACTGGAATACAGGAGAGGCAAAGGAAGCCTCAGAAACTTTATGGTGGGCCTGCTTATCACATGGGAGGAGTGAAGCTTGGGAGACACCATGGAAACCAATTGATTGTATTTACCATTCTCACCTCCTTCCAATTTACCCCTCCTACCTCAATGTGGTGAAAGACCAAATGGTAAGAGACACATGAAGTGTGCTTTAAAGCAGTTGTGTATTTCTTACCTCAGTCAAAATTAACTCAAATACAAGGGTAGGACAGAATCTGCAGGTAGAAGGTGACACTTAGAGGTGGTTAGGGAAACCTGAGGCAGGAGAAAAGAAAAAGTGAGGGCTAACGTTGGAAAGTGTTTTGAAGCATTAATTTTTAAACTGTTATAAGTAAAAAGTCATTTTCTTCTATCAAACCAGTAATATGTGTGTCATCATAAGCACTCATGTACTTGCACAGTAGAACGGAGTGACCATTTTTTTGTATTGGTGTTCCCATGCTTTTTCTCCCCCAGAGTCTCTCAATTTCAGCTGTACCACAATTTTATTGTATTTTCCAGTGGCAAAGTGTACACTTGTGTGTGTTTTTTTGTGTGTGTGTTTTAAATTTTTTTTGAAGGGAAAAATTCTTCTTTATCTTGGCTTGCACATTTCTAGGATATGTTCCTGTTTTAGATTTTTAGCACAACTCCACTAAAACCATAACAGGTCACTTTTGAATTAAGTGTCAAAAATCATGTTAAAACTACCTCTATCTATTTGCATTATAGAGGAAACACTGAAGGCTTCAAAGCAATTTTTAGTGCTGGAATGTCAGAAAAGTAAATGGATGCTGGCAAGCAGATAAGATTCCATGAGAATAGCCCCTTGAGCCTATTGGGTGAAATACTAGAGCTGCAAAGAATGATGGGCTTTGCAAGCAGAGTGAGCTACAGCCCTTGAAATACAAAGAAAGAAAAGGAAACAGAAACCAGAAACATCTTTTTGGAGAACAGATCTCAGGACTACTCTGAAAGATCTTACTTTTTTTCTTTTTAAACAGGTGACAGACACTCATCAGACATATTCCTTCCATTCAAAGAGAGTATTCAACATTAGTGATTCTCTATTTTCTTTTTCATGACACATTTATCCCCAGATCCCCAAACAACATCATTTTTGCATATTTATAAAACCAGTGACAACTGTAGTATAAAATTTTTGAAATGATACTGGTGATGATTTTAAAACATTGAGAATAAACTGATCACATAGAAATTTATTGAGTTAATCAAGATCCCTGAGTTGCACTTGTGGTCATGAGGCATATTCTAGGAGCCAAGTGATTTGCTTTTTTGTTGTACATGGTAGGCTTATCTTGGGCTAATTCACATAGGTTGTCTTAGTATCTTGAGACACTGACACTGCTTTATTTTTTATTCCTTTCTGTCTCTTATTTAGTTAAATTAAAATTTAATTGACACATTATAATTATATATGTTTATGGGGTACAATATGATATATTTGTTGTATAATCATCCAATCAGGTTACTTAGTGTATCCATCATCTCATACCTTTATCATTTCTTTGTGGTGAGAACAGTCAAAGGCCTCTCTTCTTGCTGTTTGTAATAGAGAATACCTTAATGTTAACCATAGTTACCTTACTGTGTAATAGAACACAAGAATTTTTTCCCCTTGTCTAATTGTAACTTTGCACCCATTGACCAACCTCTTCCCATCCTCCATTCCCTCCTTCCCCTGATCCCTCTCCAGTCTCTGGTAACCACTGTTCTCTCTGCCTCTATAATTTTTTTTGAAGATTCAGCATATGAGTGAGATCATGTGGTATTTGTCTTTCTGTGTCTGGCTTATTTCACTTAACTTGATGTCCTCCAGGTTCATCCATGTTGTCACAAATGACAGGATTTTATTTTTTTAATGGACGATTAGTATTCCATTATGTATATATACCACATTGTCTTTATCCATTCATCTGTTGTTGAATACATAGGTTGATTCCCTATCTTGGCTATTGTTAAGTAGTGCTGGAATAAACATGGGAGTGAAAATGTATATATATTTTTTTGATATGGAGTCTTGCTCTTTCACCCAGGCTGGAGTGCAGAGGCGCAATCTCAGCTCACTGCAACCTCCACCTCCCAGGTTCAAGCGATTCTCCTACCTCAGCCTCCTGAGTAGCTGGGATTACAGGCTCACACCACCACTTCTGCCTAATTTTTCTATTTTTTGTAGAGATGGGTTTCGCCATGTTGGCCAGGTTGGTCTCGAACTCCTGACCTCAAGTGATCCGCCTGCCTCGGCCTCCCAAAGTGTTGGTATTACAGGCATGAACCACTACGCCTGGCCCAGATGTCTTTTTGATATACTGATTTGCTTTCCTTTGGATATACAGTAATCCTCCCTTAACATTGTCTATAAGTTCTTGGAAACTGACTTTAAGTGAAGTGATGTATAACGAAACCAATTTTTTCAAAGGCTAATTGATAGAAACAAGGGGCAGTTCCTATGGTATATTTCTGATTATAAAAACATCACTAAACTTCTAAAGACCCACATTTCTAATACTAAACATTGAAATAAATGTGAATTACATGTATATTTAAGAAAGATTAATAAAAACAAGATAATTATTTACTCATCTTTTTGTGAATCAGTGAGTGACAGTGGCTGTAGTGGCAATGCATTAAATCAAGGAATAAATGTTTGTAAAGAAAAATTATAAGAAGTATTTCCTACAACTGTTAGGTTCAAAAACAATCACAAATATGGTGGGCATGCTCAACACTTTCGTGCAGCATTGTTTGTTGTTGTACATTTGTGTGATTATTGTATATTTTGTGAATATTTATTTATTTAATTATTAATTTTTGAAACAGTCTCACTCCCATCACCCAGGTTGGAGTGCAGTGGCGCAGTTATGGCTCACTGCAGCCTCAACTTCCTGGGTTCAGGTGATCCTCCCATCTGAGCCTCCCGAGCAGTGGGGGACTACAGGCCCATGCCACCATGCATGGCTAATTTTTTGTATTTTTAGTAGAGATGGAGTTTTACTATATTGTCCAGGCTGGTCTTGAACTCCTGAGCTCAAGGGATCTGCCTGCCTCAACCTTCTAAAGTGCTGGGATTATAGGTGTGAGCCACTGTGCCCAGCCATGACTTTTTAATTTAAAATAATTTGTATTCATTCATTCATTCATTTTCCAACCCATTATGCCAGTTCAGGGTTGTATGTGGCTGGAGTCCATCCCTGCAGCTCAGGGCACAAGGAAGGAACTAGCCCTAGACAGGACACCATACCATTGCAAGGCTCACTCACACACACCCATACTCACTCAGGCTGGACTATGTATATATGCCAATTCACCTACCATGCACATCTTTGAGATATGTGGGGAAACTGCAGTACCCAGAGAAAACCCACACAGACATGAGTAAAATGTGCAAATTCCAGACAGACAGTGGCGTAGCTGAGAATCAATTTTTTTTCTTATATGCCTTATAATGAAGGACATTGAATGAAATGTTATTGGAGTACCTGCTGTATATCCAGTAGTGGGATTGCTGGATCATATGGTAGTTCTATTTTAAGATTTTTAAAGAACCACCATACTCTTTTTTATAATGACTACTAATTTACAATCCTGTTAACAGTGTGTTTCTTTTCTTCCACATCCTTGCCAATACTAGTTTTCTTTTGTCTTTTTGAAAATAGTCATTCTAACTGAAGTGAGGTGGTATCTCATAGTGGTTTTGATATGCATTTCCCTACTGATTAGTGATATTGAGCATTTTTTCATATACCTATTGACCATTTGTATGTTGTCTTTTGAGAAATGTCTATTAAGGTCTTTTGCCCATTTTAAAATTGAGTTTTTTGTTGTTGTTAAGTTCCTTATATATTCTGGATATTAACCCCTTGTCAGAGGTACAATATGCAAATATTTTCTCCTATTCTGTAGGAGAATAGGAGAATATTTGTTTCTTCACTCTGTTAATTGTTTCCTTTGCTGTGTAAAAGCATCTTAGTTTGATGTAATCTCATTTGTGTATTTTTGCTTTTGTTGCCTATATGTTTAAGGTCTTATTTAAAAAATTCCTGTCCAGCCCAATGCCATAAGCATCTCCCCTATATTTTCTTCTAATAATTTCATGGTTTGGATTTTATAGTTAAGTCTAATCCATTTTGAGCTGATTTTTGTACATGATGAGTGTATTAGTCCATTTTCACACTGTTGATAAAGAAATACCTGAGACTGGGCAATTGATGAAATAAAGAGGTTTATTGGACTTACAGTTCCACATGGCTGCGGAGGCCTCACAATCATAGCGAAAGGCAAGGAGGAGCAAGTCATGTCTTACCTGGATGGCAGCAGGCAAAAAGAGAGCTTGTGCAGAGAAACTCCCATTTTTAAAACCATCAGATCTCATGAGACCCACTCACTATCTCGAGAACAGCACAGGAAAGACCCACTCCCATGATTCAATCATCTCCCACCAGGTCCCTTCCACAACACGTGGGAATTATGGGAGCTACAAGATGAGATTTGGGTGAGGACACAGAGCCAAACCATATCAATGAGAGGTAGATATCTATTCTCATTCTTCTACATATGGATATTCAGTTTTCTCATCATCATTTATTGAAGACATTGTCTTTTTTGTAATGTTTATTCTTTGTGCCTTTGTTGAAAATCAGTTGGCTGTAGGTACATAAATTTATTTCTTGGCTCTCTAATCTGTTTCATTGATTTATTTATCTATTTTTATGCCAGTACCATGCTGTTTTGGTTATTATAGCTTTGTAGTATATTTTGAAGTCAGATAGTGTGATGCTTCCAGCTTTGTTCTTTATGCTAAGGATTGCTTTTGCTATTTGGAGTTTTTGTGATTCTGTATGAATTTCAGGATTTTTTTTTCTATTTCCATGAAAAATGTCATTGGTATTTTGACAGGTATTGCATTAAACCTGCAGATCACTTTGGGTAGTATGACAGTTTTAACAATATTCTTCCAGTCTATGAACATGGGATATCTTTCCATTTATTTGTGTCCTCTTCAATTTCTTTCATCAGTGCTTTATAGTTTGCAGTGTAGGGATCTTTCACTTCCTTGGTTAAGGTTATTCCTAGGTATCTTACTTTTTGGTAGCTATTGGAAATGGAATTGTTTTCTATGTTTTTTTCACATAGTTCACTATTAGCATATAGAAATTATGCTGATTTTTGTATGTGGATTTTGTATCCTGCAACTTTACTGAATTCATTTATTCTAACAATTTTTTTGGTGGAGTCTTTAGGGTTTTCTATATATAAGATCATGTCATATGCAAACAGTTTTACTTCCTCCTTTCCAGTTTGCATGTCTTTTATTTCTTTCTCTTGTCTAATTGCTCTACTTAGAACTTTCAGTATTATGTTGAATAGAAGTGGTGAAAGTAGGCATCCTTGTCTTCTTCCTGATCTTTTGCATGATGTTAGCCATAGGTTTGTCATATGTGGCCTTTATTGTGTTTAAGTGTCTTGTATATTTAATATGTTGAGAGTTTTTATCATGGAGAGAAGTTGAATTTTGTCAAATGCTTTTCTGCATCTATTGAAAAGATTTTATAGTTTTTGTCTGTCTTTCTGTTAATGTGGTATATCACATTTACTGTTTTGCATCTCTACGATGAATCCCACCTGATCAGAATGAATGATCTTTTTAATGTGCTGTTGAATTTAGTTTGCTTGTGTCTTTTTGAGAATTTTTGCGTCTATGCTTATGAGGGATATTGGGCTATAGTTTTCTTTTTTTGTTGTGTTCTCAGTATCTTTTTATTTCTTGCTTCTTACAGACTTATTCTGTTGTATACATCAACATGTTAACACTGTTTTAAAGTTTCATGTTGTCATGTATATGCTGATTGTTTAAAATTTTTCCGTTTATTGTAGAAGGAAATCTCTAAGGACTTCTGTTTCTATTTTAATTTTCCCTTTTAAATTTTTTATATTTATTATTTTAAAATACTTAAATTTTTTCCTCAAATATTTATTTTCACATTGTTTTTTATTTTTTTCTTTTTACCTTCTCTAATACATTTTTTAACTTATTATTTTATAGTGGCTGTAGTTATGCCACAGACATGACCAAAGAGAGAGCTTTGTCACAGATGAGCAAAGGTACGACCTTTATTCCTTCCATTTTTTTTTTTTGTCTGAGTCTCTCATTCTGTTTAAGGATAGCTTTGTAAAATCTCTTGCTCTAGTAACTCATGAGTTAACTTTCCTTAACATACTTTCTGCTTTGCAGATATTGTATTTAGTCTTTTGGTAAATATGTTGCTTCCTAAAATTGCATACCATCTAATTCCTATAGATGCCTATTTTAAAATCTGTGTTTTTCTGAAACAGATAGTTTTTGGCTTTTGGACAAACAGTGACAATGGAGAACCAAGAGTTAGGAGCATCCCACATTGGAAATGATCTTCGATGTAATATGCCTAGCCTAATATTGCTAATAATGTAGGTGGTGGTGAACCTCTTTAAAAATGTTCATAGGAGGTGGACCAATAGAGGTTTTTAAATCAGATTTTTGGTATAGCTTTTACACCGGCTGGATCGTAATTTACTTGTTTCCTGGATGATCTACTTCTCTGCCTGGCAGGGTCATAGGATAATCCTTTGGGTATAGGCCTTCCGTATAGGCCTTCCTACCTCTTTTTTCTCATTATTTGAATTAAGAATGTATTTATGGACACTAAGTAAGGAAAATGAAAATCTTGCTACTAGGAATCATATGATTTTAAGTATGGAAAATGGGATTTATTTTCATTAAATTGTTTCATGATAATTTGTTTAATGTTAAATTAAGGATGCCTTTATTTTGTTATTTCTTATCTAATTCTTATTGGAGTTCTTCATTTGAATTGTTGTTGAGTGAATAATATTTCATCTTAGAAAAGATCTGAGTGTGAAATAAAAAGACTCATTATAGTAAGAAAAATATAAGGTATGGTATTAGAACACATGTATTGGCATCTTCACTTTATTATTTGCTAGCCAAGTAACCTTGGATAAGTCAAATCTTTCTTAGCTTTACTTTTTTCATCTGTAAAATAGGAATGATAGTATTACCTCACAGGGTAATCGTGAGACTCAAATGAGATAATTTTTGTGAGGGTGCTTTATGAAGCTGTATTTGATATTATAATTCTAAGTAATAACATGTTATTTTACTTGAATGCTTGTATACTTTGTTTTCTAAAGGCTATGTTATTTTGTTGTTGTTGTGACACTCGCTCGTTCCCCAGGCTGGAGTTCAGTGGCACAATGTCGGCTCACTACAGCTCCGCCTCCTGGGTTCAAGGGATTCTCGTGCCTCAGCCTCCCAAGTAGCTGGGATTTCAGACAGTTTCACTATGTTGGCCAGGCTGGACTTGAACTGGCCTCATGTGATCTGCCTGCCTCGGCCTCCCAAAGTGCTAGGACTACAGGTGTGAGCCACTGCGCCTGGCCTAGAGGCTATGTTTTGAGAGGCAGTAAAGTTAAACGACATTGCTTAAGGCCAAATTTTAAGCCTTTCTCTTACTAGAGATATATCCTAACCTCTTTAAGCCTTACCTTCCTCTTCTGTAAAATGAAAATGATAGTAATATCTATCTCATAGAGTGGTTTGAAGATTAAATCAGCTAATCGATGTAAAGTGCTTGCAGTAGTGCCCAGTACATTCAATAAATGTTACCTATCATCATCATCATTCTTAGATTAAAAAAGAGAACTCTTTTCCTAAATTAAAATCCATTATTTACCATTTATCTAGTGGCTGCCCTGCTGTGAAGTATCCAGGCAATTAATTTAATTTTCCTTAGTGGTGAATATATATGTAAATACAATGATACAGTTTTCTTGACTTAAGAAAACTCATTTGTGCTGTACTTATTTCAGAGAGTAGATATTCCTGATAAATTGTGTGCATACAGCATTTTTGTAAGTTTAATTATGTTTTGAGTGCGGCTAGGAAATTCAGAAAATAACTCGTGAAAATAAATCCATTGAATAATAAATGACCCTTTGAAATGTGATCACTCACTAATTTATTCATTCTTAAAATCAATTTTCCCAGTTTAAAAAAAAATCTGGCCACATTTGTACTCATTAATAATTTGTGAGAATTAATTATTTTAAAGGAATCACCAAAATGATCAAAGCATCAGCCTTGAGGGATTAGTTCAAACATGCTGGAGATAATGGATTTAATCAAGTAATTTTTTCAGGTAAAAGCCTAATGTAAGGTAACGTCTGACTAAGACAAACACTAGAGTTTTGAAAACACATGAATAACTAAAAGATCGTGTGATTTTTGTTGTGTACTGATAAATTTAGCAGGATCTAGGACAGTGTAATAGTTGAGATTAACTTGTAATATTCAGTTTAAAAATTTATGCTTTTTCTCTTTTCTGTGGAAGCCATGACTTATACCATTTGTGGTTCTAGTATGATTGCTTTCACATTTTCTGTATTAATAATTTGGTGACATGAACACATAAAAGTAATTAAATGATTGATGATGGCTGCATAATCCAATACTGATTTCAGCCAAAATGTTGCAGTTTTCACTTAACCACGAATCTGAGGCTCATGGTTTCTGTGACAACCCAAGGTCAGGTGACCTGGATATGTCCTGCCAAACCGTTCCTGTGGAATAAGTCAGCTGTTTGTAAACAGGTTGGCAAAGAATTCTCTCATAAGACTTCAAATTCGTAAACTATGAGGTAGCTGGGCCACAGGTCAAAGGTGAAAGGTAATAAGCCATTTTGGGCCTGTTCTTTTGTGAAGCCTTTGGCTGCCTTTCAGACCGAGGTCTTGGAAATAGTTCACACACAGGCCTTCTGCCAACAGACTACTGAGAGTTGGCTGAGGCAGGATTCTATTGCACAATCCCCTCCCTCTCTTTCTCTCTCTCTCTCTGTCTTGGTGTCTGAAAGTTATAAAAATGCAAGGAATTTTATAAAAACTAAGTGTACAAAAGAAGCAACAAAATAATATATATTTTAAGAAATTTAGAACTTTTTTTTTCCTAGGGACAGAAGTCCAAAATTTGAATTGTGATAAATTCTTGCAAAATTAGTTGCAAAGTATGTTTTATAAAACAGTAAGTATGTTAAAATAACGAAGAACATTAAAAATATTGGCAGAAAAACTTGGGACAATTGTAGGCTTTTTGAGGAGGCAATGTATCTCTGTTCCACCTAAGCCACCAGAGGTAGTCTTTAAACAGTCTAGTAAGATATTTTGATTAGTGAGCTTATCTATAAGTATATGTTATGATATTTAACTGTGTGTGTTGAAGAAAACACACACTTATGAAGAAAAAAGGTAGAGAGGTAGGCTTCCTTAAAATTTCTTGTCTTACTTTAGATTTATTGCTGCTGTTATTCTTGCTTAGAGTAGGAATTCATTCCAGGAATAGAAATAAATAAAGTGAATTTTAGGTTTACCTTCTCTGACATTAGAGCTTGGCTTGAAGAACTGTTTCAGTTCATTGGTTATTGTGTTAGTCTGCCTTACTAGTTTGTTTTCTCTTTCCTGTTTGTATGCTACTACGGAGTTATAACTTCGATCTTGGTCAGTTTTGATGTCTTTTCATTCCTGGATTGTAATACTTTGTTAATAAAGATGTGAGGCACTGGAAATTCTTAAAGTAGATGATAGAAAGTTGAGAGACAATGAAAAGATGGTAAAGGAACCATTCTCAAAAACAAAGTATGAGTCATTAGCCACTTTAACTGTAAATATACTTCTTTGAGATGGTATTGATCATTTACAAGGAAATCACCCAGTTCAACGGGAAAAGAAAAACATTTTATTAGGAAATTTAGTTTACTTCCTAGTGGAAACCAGACCATGCAGTTTGGATCATAACCAGTGAGACCTCGGCTTTCGTTATTTCATCTGTACTAATGAGGATACGCATAGGTGGGAAGGATGGGACTTTCCAATGTGCTTCATAAAGTCTGATTTCTTCCTTCGTTTTAGAACAGTCAAATACAATTTTTACTTGCAAACAGAATTTTCTGGGAATATCTTACTTCATAGGTGATCTTGTCTTTATCTACTTTCTTCAGTAAACTCTGGAAGAAAAAAACTTCCTGGAAGTTTGGGCAATCATTTGCCATTATTTTCCTTTCCTTGAATTTCTTGATATCATGAATACTGCTGTAGTATGGGACATTATGTATTTTGGTAAGCAGACTTCTCTTCTGTATTTGTTTTTTATTAAACAGAATGACAAGTTCCTTTTCCCTGATTTATTCACTTCCAGCCAGGATGTTGAAAAACAAAAAAATGGCAGCTCTTAAAATAATACATCTAAAAAGTTTGGGCAGATCTTCATTTGTTTTCCCCATGTAAAAGTTGTCAAAGACAAATTTGAAAAACATTTACTCCTTTTTTATTTTTTTTCAAAAAAAATTAAACTTAAGAAAAGTAACCTTAGACAAATCACTGAGTCTTTCTAAGCTGTTTTCTTATATAGTAAATGAAGGATATAACCCAGTCTTTAAAAGGTTTCTTCCAGCTCCAAACTATCATGGATTTGAGCAAATATTGTTTCTAGGACTGAAGAACTCTTTGTGCCTTGCTATCAAATTAGGCATGTCCGTCATTTTTCTCAGTGAATGAAATGTTAAAAAGCAAATCAAGACCTTGAGGTATGAAATATGCCACAAATCCATTTTAAGAGGGGGCAGTTAGCACTGTATTCCCTTGTTTATCTGTTTCTCTTTGCCACTCAACTACTAGTAAGGTTGTTACCATTGGTCCTTCTGCTGCTGCCTCCAATGAGAGGCAAAGACTAGGCTGATGGGGCTGGCAAGTGGGAACTCTCTAGGGCCTAAAGGAGAGGAACCAGATGTTCCTTGGTGGAACCAGAGATTCGTATTACTGGTACAGAAATCTCCACTTAAGAGCCATGGCTAGAATGAATATATAAAAGCCTTCAAATCGCCTGCAATCCCAGCACTTTGGGAGGCCAAGGCAGGCGGATCACGAGGTCAGGAGATCAAGAGACTCTCCTGGCTAAAATGGTGAAACCACATCTCTACTAAAAATACAAAAAATTATCCAGTTGTGGTGGCATGCACCTGTAGTCCCAGCTACTGTGGAGGCTGAGGCAGGAGAATTGCTTGAACCCAGGAGGTGGAGGTTGCGGTGAGTTGAGATTGCGCCACTGCACTCCAGCCTGGGCGATAGAGCAAGACTCCGTCTCAAAAAAAAAAAAAAAAAAAAAAAGCCTTCAAATTGTAGGTGGGAGGCAGGCCCTCTAATCTAAATTAGAAATAATGATATTAAAATCTGAGCTTGAGTCTGTCTTTTATGACTTCTGTGATTTATTTTTGGACAAACCATTCAACATGTTTGAGCCATAGTTTTTAATTTGTAAAATGGGATACAGAGCTGATGTAAGGGTACAATGAGTCAATTAATGTGAAAAAACTTTGGAAACTCTTAAGACTTATCACACAGGTTACCTCCTGTTTTTGCTAAGTGTAAAAAGTTGTGACTATTGTACAAAATAGTTACAGAAAATAGCGTTTCCTTTTTTTTCTGCAACCTAGCAATTTATTATTTATATTTTATATTAACTGACCTACATGTGAAAAACGTGGTTAGAGTTTTACTACAGTATCATAATGGGTTTGAATTGAGAACAAGGAAACCTGGATCCACAATATTTCCTTTATATGAATTAATTTATTTTATTAAAAATGAGGCACCATATGATTAAATAATTTACCTATGGTCACCTTGGCCTTGACTCCCCAGGAAAAGAGATGAAGAGAGTTGCAGGTACTTTCTAGTGAATAAAGTATTAAGGCAGCGGGAGGGGAAGAGAAGATTTTTAATTTTTTGGTCAAATTTCTGCTTCAATTAAGATGATTACCAAATTTTTCACTATGTCTGTAATCCAAGCGTTACTAAGACAGTGGTGGTTACTACTATATTTGAAACTTCTTGACTTCTTTATCTGTCTTCTGGCATATATGAGTTGACATTTGGCTCCTTTCAGTCTCAGTACAATTGCCAGTAATTTTGGTGAGCCCCATACCTTTAAAACAGAGCTGTTTCAGGAAATTTATTTCCTTCTTTTTTCTCCAGCAGTAATAACAGCAGCTTTACCAACTGTCATTTGCATTATGTGAGAAATAATCTTTAGCATCACTAATCAAGGCTTGTCAGCATAAGAAGTTTAAGAAGTCTACACATTCTATATATGAATGTATATTTTTCTTCTTCATTACTCACATTCTATTTTTTAAAACTATACTTTAAGTTCTGGGATATATGTGCAGAACGTGCAGGTTTGTTACATAGATATACATGTGCCATGGTGGTTTGCTGCACCCATCAACCCATCATCTACATTAGATATTTCTCCTAATCCTATCCCTCCCCTAGCCCCCCACCCCCGAGAAACCCTGCTGTATGATGTTCCCCTCCATGTGTCCATGTGTTCTCATTGTTCAATTCCCACTTATGAGTGAGAACATTCAGTGTTTGGTTTTCTGTTCCCGTGTTAGTTTGCTGAGAATGATGGTTTCCAGCTTCATCCATGTCCCTGCAAAGGACATGAACTCATCCTTTTTATGGCTGCATAGTATTCCATGGTGTATATGTGCCACATTTTCTTTATCCAGTCTATCGTTGATGAGCATTTGGGTTGGTTCCAAGTCTTTGCTATTGTGAATAGTGCTGCGATAAACATATGTGTGCATGTGTCTTTATAGTAGAATGATTTATAATCCTTTGGGTATATCCCCAGTAATGGGATGGCTGGGTCAAATGGTATTTCTAGTTCTAGATCCTTGAGGAATCACCACACTGTCTTCCACAATGGTTGAACTAATTTATACTCTACCAACAGTGTAATAGCATTCCTATTTCTTCACATCCTCTCCAGCATCTGTTGTTTGCTGACTTTTTAATGACTGCCATTCTAACTGGTGTGAGATGATAATTTCATTGTGGTTTTGATTTGTATTTCTCTTTTTTTAGTACATGTGCTGTCAAAGTGAGCACTGATTTGCTTTTCTCTAATGACCAGTGATGATGAGCTTTTTTTCATAGGTTGGTTGGCTGCATAAATGTCTTCTTTTGAGAAGTGTCTGTTCATATCGTTTGCCCACTTTTTAATGGGCTTGTTTGTTTTTTTCTTGTAAATTTGTTTAAGTTCTTTGTAGATTCTGGATATTAGCCCTTTGTCAGATGCAAAGATAGATTGCAAAAATTTTCTCCCATTCTGTAGGTTGCCTGTTAACTCTGATGATAGTTTCTTTTGCTGTGCAGAAGCTCTTCAGTTTAATTAGATCCTGTTTGTTAGTTTGGCTTTTGTTGCCATTGCTTTTGGTATTTTAGTCGTGAAGTCTTTGCCCATGCCTATATCCTGAGTGGTATTGCCTAGGTTTTCTTCTAGGGTTTTTATGGTTTTAGGTCTTACATTTAAGTCTTTAATCCATGTTGAGTTAATTTTTGTGTAAGGTGTAAGGAAGGGGTCCAGGTTCAGTTTTCTGCATATGGCTAGCCAGTTTTCCCAACACCATTTATTAAATAGGGAGTCCTTTCCCCATTGCTTGTTTTTGTCAGGTTTGTCAAAGATCAGATGGTTGTAGATGTGTGGCATTATTTTTGAGCCCTCTGTTCTGTTCCATTGGTCTATATCTCTGTTTTGGTACCAGTACCATGCTGTTTTGGTTACTGTAGCCTTGTAGTATAGTTTGAAGTCAGGTAGCATGATGCCTCCAGCTTTGTTCTTTTTGCTTAGGATTGTCTTGGCTATACAGGCTCTTTTTTGGTTCCATATGAAGTTTAAAGTAGTTTTTTTCTGATTCTGTGAGGAAAGTCAATGGTAGCTTGATGGGGATAGCATTAAATCTATAAACTACTTTTGGCATTATAGCCATTTTCATGACATTGATTCTTCCTATCCATGAGCATGGAATGTTTTTCCATTTGTTTCTGTCCTCTCTTATTTCCTTGAGCAGTGGTTTGTAGTTCTCCTTGAAGAGGTCCTTCACATTTCTTGTCAGTTGTATTCCTAGGTATTTTATTCTCTTAGTAGCAATTGTGAATGGGAGTTCACTCATGATTTGGCTCTGTCTGTCTATTATTGATGTGTAAGAATGCTTGTGATTTTTGCACATTGATTTTGTATCCTGAGACTTTGCTGAAGTTGCTTATCAGCTTAAGGGAATTTTGGGCTGAGATGATGAGGTTTTCTAAATATACAGTCATGTCATCTGCAAACAGAGACAATTTGACTTCCTCTCTTCCTGTTTGAATACCCTTTATTTCTTTCTCTTGCCTGATTGCCCTGGCCAGAACTTCCAGTACTGTGTTGAATGGGAGTGGTGAGAGAGGTCATCCTTTTCTTGTGCTGATTTTCCAAGGGAATGCTTCCAGCTTTTGCCCATTCAGTATGATATTGGCTGTGGGTTTGTTATAAATAGCTCTTATTATTTTGAGATACGTTCCATCAATACCTAGTTTATTGAAAGTTTTTAGCGTGAAGGGGTGTTAAATTTTATCGAAGGCCTTTTCAGCATCTGTTGAGATAATCATGTGGTTTTTGTCATCAGATCTGTTTATGTGATGTATTACGTTTATTGATTTGCATATGTTGAACCAGCCTTGCATCCCAGGGATGAAACCAACTTGATTGTGGTAGATAAGCTTTTTGATGTACTGCTGGATTCGGTTTGCTGGTATTTTATTGAGGATTTTTGCATCGATGTTCATCAGGGATGTTGGCCTGAAATTTTCCTTTTTGTGTTATGTCTCTGCCAGGTTTTGGTATCAGGATGACCCTGGTCTCATAAAATGAGTTAGAGAGGAGTCCCTCTTTTTCTGTTGTTTGGAATAGTCTCAGAAGGAATGGTACCAGATCCTCTTTGTACCTCTGCTAGAATTCGTCTGTGAATCTCTTTGGTCCTGCGCTTTTGTTGGTTGGTAGGCCGTTAATTACTGCCTCAATTTCAGAACTTGTTATTGTTCTATTCAAATATTCCACTTCTTCATATTGGGAGGGTGTATGTGTCGAGCAATTTACCCATTTCTTCTAGATTTTCTAGTTACTTGCATAGAGGTATTTATAGCATTCTGATGGTAGTCTGTATTTCTGTGGGATCAGTGGTGATATTGCCTTTATCATTTTTTATTGTGTTTATTTGATTCTTCTCTCTTTTCTCCTTTGTTAGTCTGGCTAGCAGTCTATCTATTTTGTTAATCATTTAAGAAATCCAGCTTTTGGATTCATTGATTTTTTGAAGGGTTTTTTTGTGTCTATCTCCTTCAGTTCTGCTCTGATCTTAGTTACTTCTTGTCTTCCTATAGCTTTTGAATTTTTTTGCTCTTGCTTCTCTAGTTCTTTTAATTGTGATGTTAAGTTGTTGATTTCAGACCTTTATTGCTTTCTCCTGTGGCCATTTACTGCTATAAATTTCCCTCTAAACACTGCTTTAGCTGTGTCCCAGAGTCTTTGGTATGTTATCTCTTTGTTCTCATTGGTTTCTAAGAACTTATTTATTTCTACCTTAATTTTGTTATTTACTCAGTAGTCATTCAGGAGCAGGTTGTTCAGTTTCCATGTAGTTGTGCAGTTTTGAGTGAGTTTCTTAATCCTGAGTTCTAATTAGATTGCACTATGGTCTGAGAGACCATTTGTTATGTTTTCTGTTCTTTTGCATTTGCTGAGGAATGTTGTTCTAATTATGTGGTCAATTTTAGAATAAATGCAATGTGGTGCTGAGAAGAAGGTATATTCCGTTGATTTGGGTTGGAGAGTTGTGTAGATGTCTATTAGGTCCACTTATCCAGAGCTGAGTTCAAGTCCTGAATATCTTGTTAATTTTCTGTCTTGTTGATCCGTCTAATATTGACAGTGGATTGTTAAAGTCCCCCGCTATTATTGTGTGGGAGTGTACATCTCTTTGTAGGTCTCTAAGAACTTGCTTTATGAATCTGGGTGCTCCTTTATTGGGTGCATATATATTTAGTATAGTTAGCTCTTCTTGTTGCATTGATCTCTTTTACCATTATGTAATGCCCTTCTTTGTCTTTTTTGATCTTTGTTGATTTAAAGTCTGTTTTATCAGAGACTAGGATTGTAACCCCTGCTTTTTTTTTGCTTTCCATTTGCTTGGTAAATATTCCTCCATCCCTCTATTTTGAGCCTGTGTGTGTCTTTTCACATGAGATGGGTCTCCTGAATACAGCACACCAATGGGTCTTGACTCTATCCAATTTACCAGTCTGTGTCTTTTAATTGGGGCATTTAGTCCATTTACATTTAAGGTTAACCTTGTTATTATATGTGAATTTGATCCTGTCGTTATGATGCTAGCTGGTTATTTTGCCTGTTAGTTCGTGCAATTTCTTCATAGTGTCAGTGGTCTTTACAATTTGGTATGTTTTTGCAGTGGCTGGTATTGGTTTTTCCTTACCATGTTTAGTGCTTCCTTCAGGAGCTCTTGTAAGGCCGGCCTGGTGGTGACAAAATCTCTCAGCATTTGCTTGTCTGTAAAGGATTTTATTTCTCCCTCGCTTATGAAGCTTAGTTTGGCTGGATGTGAAATTCTGGGTTGAAAATTCTTTTCTTTAAGAGTATTGCATATTGGACCCCACTCTCTTCTGGCTTGTAGGGTTTCTGCAGAGAGATCTGCTGTTTGTCTGATGGGCTTCCCTTTATAGGTGACCCGACCTTACTGTCTGGCTGCCCTTAACATTGTTTCTTTCATTTCAGCCTTGGTGAATCTGATGATTGTGTGTCTTGGGGTTGTTCTTCTCGAGGAATATCTTTGTGAGGTTCTCTGTATTTCCTGAATTTGAATGTTGGCCTGTCTTGCTAGGTTGGACAAGTTCTCCTGGATAATATCCTGAAACGTGTTTTCTAACTTGGTTCCATTCTGCTCATCACTTTCAGATACACCAATCAAACGCAGGTTTGGTCTATTCACATAGTCCCCTATTTCTTGGAGGCTTTGTTCATTCCTTTTCATTCTTTTTTCTCTAATCATGTCTTCATGCTTTCTTTCATTAAGTTGATCTTCAATCTCTGATATTCTTTCTTCTGCTTGATTGATTTGGCTTTTGATGCTTGTGTATGCTTCACGAAGGTCTCATGCTGTGTTTTTGAGCTCCATCAGATCATTTATGTTCTTCTCTAAACTGGTTATTCTAGTTAGCAATTCGTCTTACCTTTTTTCAAGGTTCTTAGCTTCCTTGCATTGGGTTAGAAGATGCTCCTTCAGCTCGGGGGAGTTTGTTATTACCCACCTTCTGAAGTCTACTTCTGTCAATTTTTCAAACTCATTCTCTGTCCAGTTTTGTTCCCTTCCTGGTGAGGAGTTGTGATCCTTTGGAGGAGAAGTGGCTTTCTGTTTTTTGGAATTTTCAGCCTTTTTGCACTGTCTTTTCCTTATTTTCATGGATTTATCTACCTTTGGTCTTGGATTTTGGTGACCTTCAGATGGAGTTTTTGTGTGGTTGTCCGTTTTGTTGATGTTCATGCTATTCCTTTCTGTTTGTTAATTTTCCTTCTAACAGTCAGGCTTCTCTGCTACAGGTCTGCTGGAGTTTGCTGGATGTCTATTCCAGATCCTGTTTGCTTGAGTATCACCAGCAGAGGCTGCAGAACAGCAAAGATTGCTGCCTGTTCTTTCCTCTGGAAGCTTCGTCCCAGAGGGGCACCTGCCAGATCCCAGCTGGAGCTCTTCTTTATGAGGTGTCTGTCCAACCCTGCTGCCCAATGGTGTCTCCCAGTCAGGAGGCATGGGGTTCAGGGACCCACTTGAGGAGGCAGTGTGTTTCTTAGCAGAGCTCAAGGGTTGTGCTGGGAGATCCGCTGCTCTCTTCAGAGCCGGCAGGCAGGAATGTTTAAGTCTGCTGAAGCTGCACCCACAGCTGCCACTTCCCCCAGGTCCTCTGTCTCAGGGAGATGTGAGTTTGATGTATAAGCCCCTGACTGGGACTGCTGCCTTTCTTTCAGAGATGCCCTGCCCAGAGAGGAGGAATCCAGAAGGGCAGTCTGGCTGCAGTGGCTTTGCTGTACTGCCTTGGGCTCCATCCAGTTGGAACTTCCCAGAGGCTTTGTTTACACTGTGAGGGGAAAACTGCCTACTCAATCCTCAGTAATGGCAGACACCCCTCCCCCCACCAAGCTCAAGCATCCCAGGTCGACTTCATACTGCTGTGCTGGCAGAGCAACAATTTCAAGTCAGTAGATCTTAGCTTGCTGGGCTCCATGGGAGTGGGATCCGCTATAGACCACTTGGCTGCCTGGCTTTAGCCCCCTTTCCAGGGGAGTGAACAGTTCTCTCTCACTGGTGTTCCAGGCACCACTGGGATATGAAAAAAAAAAAACCTCCTGCAGCTAGCTTGGTGTCTGCCCAAACGGCTGCCCAGGTTTGTGCTTGAAACCCAGGGCCCTGGTGGTGTTGGCAGCCAAAGGAATCTTCTGGTCTGCAGATTGCAAAGACCATGGGAAAAGCATAGTATCTGGGCCAGAATGCACCGTCCCTCATGTCAGTCTCTCATGGCTTCCCTTGGCTAGGGGAGGGAGTTCCCTGACCCCTTGCAGTTCCTGGGTGAGGCAATGCCTCACCCTGCTTTGGCTCACCGTCTGTGGGCTGCACCCACTGTCTAACCAGTCCCAGTGAGATGAGCTGCATACCTCAGTTGAAAATGCAGAAGTCACCCGCCTTCTGCGTTGATCTTGCTGGGAGCTGCTGACCAGAGCTCTTCCTATTCGGCCATCTTGCCAGCCACCCACCTCATTTCACATTCTATGTTTGTACTAAGTGGAAAATAAAAATTGCCCATCATACTGTTCATTTTTAGTAATTGTTGTATTTTTAAAAAAGGGAATGAATTAGTAATACCCTCATTCTTTAAATTTATCAACAAACAGTATGGAACATTGCACATTTATACTATTGACTCTTTTTTTAAAGTAACTTTTAGGTTCGGGGATACTTGTGAAGGTTTGTTACATAGGTGAACTCATGTCACAGGGGTTTGTTGTACAGATTATTTCATCACCCAGATATTAAGTCCAATACCCAATAGTTATCTTTTCTGCCTCTCTCACTCCTCCCACCCTCCACCCTCAGGTAGACCCCAGTGTCTATTGTTCCCTTCTTTGTGTTCATAAGTTATCATTTAGGTCCCACTTAAAAGTGAGAACATGTGGTATTTCGTTTCCTGTTCCTGCATTCGTTTGCTAAGGATCATAACATCCAGCTCCATCCATGTTCCTGTGAAAGATATGATCTTATTCTTTTTTATGGCTGCATAGTATTCCATGATATATATGTACCACATTTTCTTTATTTAATTTGTTATTGATGGGCATTTAGGTTGATTTTATGTCTTTGCTATTGTGAATAGTGCCGCAATGAACAGCCACATGCATGTGTCTATATGGTAGAATGCTTTATATTCCTCTAGGTATATACCCAGTAATGGGATTGCTGGGTTGAATGGCAGGCTTTTAGCTGTTTGAGGAATCGCCATACTGCATTCCAATGGTTGAACTAATTTACATTTCCACCAATAGTGCATAAGTGTTCCCTTTTCTCCACAACCTCACCAGCACCTGTTGTTTCCTGACTTTTTAATAATAGCCATGCTGACTGGTGTGAGATGGGATCTCATTGTGGTTTTGATTTGCATTTCTCTAATGATCAGTGATCTTGAGCTTTTTTTCATATGTTTGTTGGCTGCATGTATGTCTTCTTTTGAAAAGCGTCTGTTCATGTCCTTTGCCCACTTTTTAATGGGGTTGTTTGTTTTTCTCTTGCAAATTTGTTTAAGTTTTTTATAGATGCTGGATATTAGACCTCTGTTGGGTACATAGTTTGCAAATATTTTCTCCCATTCTGTAGGTTGTCTGTTTGCTCTGTTGATAGTTTCTTTTGCTGTGCAGAAGCTCTTAAGTATACCTAGATTCCATTTGTCAATTTTTGAATTTTGTGTTTTGGTGTTTTTGTCATAAAATCCTTGCCCTTTCCTATGTCCAGGATGGTATTGCCTAGATTGTCTTACAGGATTTTTATAGTTTTGAGTTTTACATTTAAATCTTTAATCCATCTTGGGTTGATTTTTGTATGTGGTGTAAGGAAGGGGTCCAGCTTCAATCTTCTGCATATGGCTAGCCAGTTATCCCAGCATCATTTATTGAATAGCGAGTCTTTTCCCCATTGCGTGTTTTTGTCAGCTTTGTCGAATATCAGATGGTCATAGGTGTGTGGCGTTACTTCTGGGCTCTCTGTTCTGTTCCATTGGTCTATGCACTTTTTTTGAACCAGTACCATGTTGTTTTGTATACCATTGACTCTTAGTGGGTGTTTAGGGAATACAACATGTAAAATGTAAGTATTATCTCATCTGTTTATTGATGAAGTATTGTGATGTTTCTAAGTGCTTCATTTTGTAATTTTAATTCTTATTTTGGTCAAAGAAATAGAAAAATCACAGCTTTCTTTGGGGGGAGGCTTGCAATATGTAGAAGCTGTATTTTATATGGTCACAGAAGGGGAGTACTATATTATTCTGTTTTTTCAGCTGTGTCTATCACCTTCCTTTTGCTCATTTAAATAATTTCCTTTGTTTTGTTTTTGATGGAAGACGAGAATTTATTTGGATTCATTAGAGTCTCTACCATATCTGGTACAAATCTACTTGAGAACAGGCCATACTTCTCTTGAAAAATTTCCTGGAGTTTATAGGTTGAAAATCTGGTCCTAGATTAAATACTTTCTAATTCAGATAAAGTCATTCTTCATTCAGTAAAACCTGTATACTTCCTCTTGTTGAGTGAAAAAGGACACTATTAATAAAATAAAATTATATATTTTTTGTTTGAGCTTATTAAAATTTCAGTGATTAGTCTACTTTTAAAGGAATGTTTCTTTGAGTAATTGAGCATTGTCAGTATGTGAAAATGGGACTGTGGATTTGACAGCTTTTTGAAGTGGATTTGGTGTTCTTCAAAAAGAGCACAATATGGAAGTGTTCATTAACAAAAAAGTGGAGAGTAACCAAAACAAATATATTTCCAGGCTTCAAAGATGCAAAAGTAAACAACTAATCCTGACTATTAAAAACTAAAATTTAAGCAAACTTTAGTTTTAAGCATGTGGAAACTATTACAATAATAGGTATGCGTGTAGTTCAGTTTTTAAATAGGTAGATCATATTTTTCTCTTTGATTTATGTGATTTACATGGAATTTAATAGGATCTATATATTACTGAAAATAGTAGTGAATGTGAATTTGTCTTTTTAAAGCTCTCTGATTCTTAACATTGAGACCTTAGATACTGTGATGCTTAACTGTCTTTCCATAAATAGAGAGGATTTTTAAAAACCTCTGCTAGGAGAAATGTCAGTTTATACTGAGTCATCATAGATGAGTAATATTCTAGAATTTCTTTCTTTTAGTTTAGACTTCTTAAATGTTATTTTGTCTAATTTTTCAAACACAGTATATTGTATTTTAAGTGTTATGTTGAAAATGTGTAGTAGCAGTTGTTGCAGAATTTTTTTTCTGTAGAAGATCACACATTTCTTGGAATCAAGTTGGATATTTTTCTTTTTGTTAAACATTAAGAATTACTGGGCAATAGCAGCAGACATGGTGATTCTAACATGCATGTCTAAATAGAAGCATTGTTTTAGAGGTCCTTTGGAAATATCCTTTGGAAAATTTAATATACACTTATATATACTTTCACATTCTTTGATGGGGGTTATGTATACACTGACAACTAAGTTATTACCAAAACATACAGTGTAGAAATAGAAATTAAGGGTCCTTTCAGCATCATGCAGTGTGGGCAATTATTTGAGATATATTCCCACGTATGTGAATATTAGTGTGGCTATATATCTTTATGTTTTCTATTTTAATGATTTACACAGTGGAGTCATATCATACATTTGCTTTACTTAAATACATATGCATATAAAGATTTGGCCAAAAAGAAAGAGAAGTTAAAATATTTCGCTCAATGAATGTGTGCCCTGGAATGAATGTGAGATGTAAATCTGCTATTCCTGTCAGTCTCAGTTCTTTTATGTGTGCTAGGCTGAGTGTGTTTCTAGGGTTTAAAGTTATGTATTTTTTTTATATACAGTATGAAATACAAGCCAACTAATTCATCTAGTACACAACCAAAGTAAAAAGATAACTGGTATGAGAGAAAGTATGTCAGTCTTCAACATGACATTGCCTTAAGGGATTTTGACCATATGCAAATTTTTCTTATGTGCTGACTTTAGATTCTAATCTCTCAGAAAGAGGCCACTTAAGTGTAGTGATTTTTATTGTGTTTAATTAAAAATTTTTAATAGTCTGGTAGACTGTGTTAATCTACTTTAAGTCTACTTTAATAAATTTCTTCACCAGTCTGTACCATGATGATCTCTTAGATGTACATCTTAGGAAGCCTGAAGGAGCATAATACTGTGGATGAAATTATCAGCTTTGACATCAGTCCCCTTTCAGACCTGACCAGTTTCTTTACTGCTACCACCCTATATTATGTGGAAATGGTGGTTTTGTTTTTATATACTTAAATACCAAAATGCTTTCAAAATGCATATTATTTAGTATTATCTGTCATAATTGATACTAAATAGTTGAAGATTAAATGAGAAATGTAATTATATCTGTGTCACATAGATATAATTGTTACCATTTTAAATATAAAGAAACTGAAGTACAGATGAAGGCAAATGTATCATCTTGGAAATAAAAAATCTGGGTTCATATCTTATTTCTGAAATTGTATGATCTTTGGAAAATCCCTTAGTCCCTGCTTTCTTATCTGTAAAATGGGGATCTTATCTCCCTGAAAGGGTTATTGAAAGAATTGAGTGAAATCATCATTGTGAAAATACGTTGAAACTGTAAGGTTCCATACAAAGATAAAGCCAGAATTGTAGTAATCCAATACACTACCAATTGTAAGACCATCAGTCTAATAACATTGAAAAAGAGCAGTTCATTGGTCATTCTACTGTTTCTACACAGCCTCAGGTCTGGAGACACTAGGTCTACTTACCACTAGGTCTGTATCACATTACTAACATTTATCATAAAAGCAATTTTGAAAAACTCTTGTTCTCATGAGCCTAAATTTCAAAGGTAATTTTAGGCCTGTAATATATTGTGGAGGTCTTTTGAATAATAATAATTCAAAAAATCTCAGAGAAGGTGGGCACAGTGGCACATGCCTCTAGTACTAGTTACTCAAGAGGCTGAGGAGGGAGGATTGCTTAAGCCCCAAGATCAAGGCCAGCTTGGGCAACATATCAAGACCTTGTCTCTTTGAAAAAAGAAATCCAGATAATGAATGGTTTTTTTAATCTTATTTTTCCTTCTAGTTGAAACTTATTCAAGTTTGTAAACTACAAAAAGTGGTATGTAATAGGTCACCCACATAGTCTCATTCTTCCTACTTTAACCCAGTTTTCCCTAGAATATGGCATAAAAGTATTGGTGGCCAATTTGTTTATATCATTCAACTCTTCTGATAAGAATATAAATAAATGTGATTAGTTATTACATTAAAGTTTTATGGCATGCATATATGACTGATGGTGTTACCTGATTATTATTGCTTAGTAACATTGTAAATCTGTAAGAAAAGTACCTACTTCATTCTTTTAAAATTTGCTTCCCTTTCTAATGAGATCTTTGAGGATATTCTGCAATTACATAGTTATATTTTTTAGTCTGAAATATCTAATACAATGTATATTGAAATAATGTGATTATACTCTGAGACATACAACAAACAAATAAAACTAACAAAAATTAAACTAACAGGAGAAAATGTGAAAAGAGAAGTATATAATGAAGTAAATTAAAAAAAAGTTTTGATTAGGATTGTAAAGAACTAACAGGAGATATCACCAGCATGTTTCTTACTTGGTGCTTTTCTTTCAGGAAAAGTCTTATCAGCTGGAGAAAGTGGCTCTTTTATTTGAACTAAATTCTGGTTTCTCTGAAATCAGATTTTGTATTCCCAAGGCTCTACTCTACAATGCCAGCACAAACATACATCAGCAGTTGTATAGTACTTTAAAGACTTAGCAAGAAAGTATCAAACAATTACTTATTCCATTTTGAACCTGAGGATAACTACAAAAATCTTACTGGAGTTTTAGGGAAGATGATAATAAGACAAACATACTTTATGAGAAGTATATATAAAACAATAATGTGAATTGATTGATAAGATTGCATTTTATCAGTGAGAGATTCAGGAAAATATCTTTATTCTTCAATAAAAACTATATAATAGTTTGTATTAACTGTGTAATTGAGTGAATCTGCTGTTAGATTTATTTTTGAGTCTGGTTAATAGGTGCCATTCTAGTAAATTTATTGTTGACTAGTGCATTGCATGGTGGAAGAAGAAATGTAATATTCCAAATGAAATAGTGATATTTCTTTTCTGATAATATAAAAGACTCAGATTATTCTGTCCTAGTTTCTAAACTCACAGAAATACACTGCTAGTTTAATATTTGGTGTTGCCACTATGTATTTTAAATACCTCTAACTTTACATTACTGTTTGTGGTACAATGAAAAGATGAAGAGTCAGAACATCTGGGTTACGGTCTTGGATTTTCTGCTTATTAGTTTTGTATCTCTGACAGTTCACTTAACTTTTTTGGCCATTAATGTTCTCGTTTGTAAAATAGGGCTAACAGTATTATACTTACTTATATAACTTATAGGGTTGTTGTGTAGCTTAAATGAGAATTTATGTGGAAGTGCCTTGTAAATTATAAAGTACTGTTTAATATACCATCTAAAATACTTTCTTTAGAATGGGAAGGGATATAAAGAAAAACAGTACAAATGTAAGTTATTTATTATTATTTCTTTTTACATTAATATGAGAGATATCAACCATACTCTTTATTAGAAAGGGTGAGAACACTTCAGAAAGGTCAACTGTTTTGTCTGTTGTCAGAGGATTAGAGAGAAGTTTAATATGGGCCATAGATTTCAGGTCATGTTTGTCCTTATATTTAAAATTCCCTTCAGGTTAGAGTCTTGTAATCTTACCTTTTGACCTTGTTTACTTCCTTTGAAAACACTCTGTAAGTGTGTTTGTGTGGAGTATATATAAAATGCACATACACATTTTGTCTGGATGTTGAAAAATACTGCAGTAGGCATAACAAGAAGTAGTTCCTTTTGAGGAGAAGACTTCATTCATTCATTTTTTGCGCAGTTATTTGTGTCAGGCACAAATTGTCTTTGCTCCAATATTTGACCATATTAACTATGAAAACTTGGCCATCAGTTTGTTGGTTACATGGTTATTAATTTCTGTTCTTACTATGTACCTTTTCAGCAGATCCTTGAAGTCTTCATTGGTTGTAGATATTGATAAGGGATGTACTCTGTTTTCAGTTTATTACCTTATGTTTAACCATAAATAAGTAAAAATGATATAAAAAAGAGACAAAAATGTTATGTTTCTTGGATGTACAGCTGCATGTGAGAAAGATCTTCTGGCATTATCTCTATTCAATCATCTATTTATTAAGGCCCAATTTATACTGCAGACAGGAAAGATTTTCTGAAAGTGAAGGGAAAAAATCACCATTTATTGTTAATATTATCCATCGATTAGCACATATTTATTGATCACATATTCCAAGCCAGACACTATGCTAGATGTTGAGGATAAAGTAAATGTAAAAATAGACATGGTTTCTGTCCTTGCTTATAGTCTAGTAGAAGAGATAGATGTTAATCAAATAATTTCAAAATTAAGTTTAAAAATTAAAACAGCCATAAACACTAAGGAGAGGTATGTGATCTTATGAGAACTCACATTTGAGAGAAATAGAAAAAGTAATGATGGTACATATTTGAATGATGAAAAGAAGTGGAGAACTACCATTAGTAATCTATAACATTATTACAGATATCTTATATATCACAGGGTTCTAGTGTAAGAGTTTTGATACAATTATGGTCAGGAGTAACTATCCCACCCATAATTAGCTAGGTAAACTTAAGCAATTTTGATATAATAAAGAATGATTTGAAATCAATTTAAAAAAATAATGTTAAAGATTAGAGAACAAAACCCACAGTTTCACTTCATACACTTAAAATCAGTGGAATAAGTCCATATGCTAAATTATCTCTTTACACATGTCACTTTATTATATATAGTGTTTCTTTGCTTGAAAAGTAGGAAAATATGACTTTGGGAACTAAGAAGCTTGCCAAATAAAGTTCTTCCCTTAAGATATCAATGGAAGCATTAAAGCATTAAAAATTTATATTATTTCTTATTGATGTTTTTACTTTTGTTGAAATTTAACCTTATAGAGGGAACCCATTAACTTCACTTTAAATTTTGCTTTGTTACATGGACTATTTATACTGTTTGAATCACAGAGCTTATAAGAAATTTAAAACATTTTTAAAAAGGATATTTTGGTTTCATGAAATAACAATATTCTCCTTTTCTTCATTTCTTTCATAAGCAAAGCTTAAATATCAGCTTAAAGTTCTAAAAAATTAATTGGTTAGCCTTTTTGATTCCTAATTATACTCTTGTATAATATTAGATCTGTTTCCTCAAGTACAGATTCAGTGCATCAGCAAGAATTGCTCCAACTAAAATGCTTTTCTTAAGTGAAATAAAAGAGATATGTTAATAATACTTAAGTTCTTATTGATTGCTGAATGGCAAGTAATTTATAAATAATGTCAGCGCTTACATACTCTCAGTCTTTCTCCTAGATTTGCAGGGGAAACTGGCCAGACTTTCTGACAGCAGCTTTTACTTTATCACTCATAGAGCTCCCTGAATGAATTTCATGTTTAATGGGTGCTGGAGGTAAAAATCCTTTGGCAGGTTGGAAGCTGGAGGAAGAAAAATGTATGTCTTTGAGCTGTATGCTTTAATCATGAGGATAGTGTAGCTTATATTCATGTTTCCTTTTTCATTTGGATTTAGGTTTATCAAAGAGTAACAATTTATTGCATGTTTAGTAGTTGGAATGGAGTATGCAGCATTGGGTGTTACTAGAAATACCAATTGAAAAATTTTTTTCTCTTTTTCCTCTCAATTCTTGGACTTAAAACAAGTGTTCCTGTAAGTAGTCCTGTATTTAACATCCAGCAGTGTTATGCTGACTTTGAATATATAATAGAACATGAAAGGTAAGTTGTGTTTCAGACTGCATTGTAATTATATACTGAACTACACTGTAATCCTATCTATCAAATCCTGGTTTATGGTGTTCTCATGAGGGTCAACTATTGTAATTAGAATTAATGAAACATAAAATGCTTTTTCCTTTTTGGGTAGGGGGGATTCTGTTCCCTTGTACTTTACAAGCTTGAATCTTCCCATGTGCTAAAAATAGTACTTATGTTTAGTAAGAAAAATATTGCCTTATTAATGTTGGGAAGCTAATTAATTCCAGGAGACATTAAAGAATAATTTCATCTTTTATTTTAGATTCAGGGTTACATGTGCAAGTTTGTTACCTGGGTTTATTGCATGATGCTGAGGTTTGGGATGTGATTGATCCTGTCAACCGGGTAATGAGCATAGTACCCAGTAGTTAGCTTTTCAGCTTTTGCCCCCTGCCTTCTCTCTCCCCTCTGGTAGTCCTCAGTGTCTATTGTTGCTGTCTTTATGTCCATGAGTACCCATTGTTTAGCTCCCACTTATAAGTGAGAATATATAGTGTTTGTTTTTCTGTTCCTGCCTTAATTCACTTGGGATAATGACCTCCATGTTGTTACAAAGGATTTGATTTTCTTCTTTTTTATGACTGCATAGTATTCCATGGTATGTATATACCACATTTTCTTTATCCAATTCACTATTGGTAGGTAACTAGGTTGATTCCATGTCTTTGATATTGTGGATGGTGCTGCGATGAACATACAAGTACATGTGTCTTTTTGGTAGAACAGTTTATTTTCTTCTGGATATATACCCAGTAATGGGATTGCTAGGTTCAATGGTAATTCTGTTTTAAGATTTTTGAGAAGTCTCCAAACTGCTTTCCACAGTGGCTGAAGTAATTTACATTTTCTCTAACAGTGTATAAAAATTCCCTTTTCTCTGCAGCCTCACCAGCATCTGTTGTTTTTTTACTCTTCAATAATCGCCATTCTGACTTGTATGAGATGGCATCTCACTGTGGTTTTGATTTGCCTTTCTCTGATGATTAGTGATGTTGAGAATTTTTCATATGTTTGTTGGCTGCTTGTATGTCTACAGGAAACGTTTGTTAACTGTGTTAGTGAAAGTTCTCAAGAGAAACAGAACCAACAGGATATACAGTCATGTGTTGCTCAAAGATGGGGATATTTCCTGAAAAATGTGTCATTAGGTGACTTTGTCCTTGTGTGAACAGCATAGAGTATACTTACGCAAACCTACATGGTATAGCCTACTACACACCTAAGCTATATGGTTTAGCCTGTTGCTCCTAGACTACAAACCTGTACAGTGTACAAACAGCATGTTAATGTGCTTAGTACTGTAGACACTTGTAACACAATGGTAATTATTTGTGTATCAAAACATAGAAAAACTACGATAAAAATACAGCATAAAAGATAAAAAATGGTACACCTATATAGGGCACTTACTGTGAGTGGAGCTTGCAGGACTGGAAGTTGCTCTGGGTTAGTCAGTGAGTGAGTGGTGAGTGAATATGAAAACTTCGGACATTACTGTATAGTACTGTAGACTTTATAAGCACTGTACACTTAGGCTATACTAAATTTATAAAGAAATACTTTTCTTCCTTCAAAAATAAATTAACCTTTTTAATAAATACTTTAAATAAAGTTGATAAATTAACGTTTTTACTTTATAAACTTTTTAAAAACATTTTGACTCTTTTGTAATAACAGCTTAAAACACAGTAACACTTAGCTTAAAACATAAACACATTGTACAGCTGCACAAAAGTCATTCATTTCCTTATTCTATGAGCTTTTCCCCTATTTTTAATTTTTTTACTGTTAAAACTTTTTTATTAAAAACTAAGATACAAATACACATTAGCCTAGTCCTACCCATGGTTAGGATCATCAATATCGTTGTCTTCCATCCCACATCTTGTCCCACTGGGAGCTCTTCAAGGGCAATAACATGCATGGAGCTGTCATCTTCTATGATAATAATGCCTTCTTTTGGAATATCTCCTGAAGGACTTGCCTGAGGCTCCTGAAGGAGCACACTGTAAAATAACAATAAAAAGTCTAGTATTAGTTGATACATAAGCCAGTAACATAGTCATTTATTATCATTATCAAGTACTATGTACTATATATCAGTGGTCCCCAACCTTTTTGGCACCAGGGACCTAAACGTGGAAGACAATTATTCTGTGGACCAGGGATGATGGGGCATGGTTTTGAGATGAAACTGTTCCACCTCAGATAATCAGGCATTAGATTCTCATGAGGAGTGTGCAGTCTAGATCCCTCGCATGCATAGTTCACAATAGGGTTTGTGCTCCTGTAAGAATCTAATGCTACTGCTGATATGACAGGAGGTGGAGCTCAGGTGATAAAGCTTGCTTGCCAGCTGCTAACCTCCTGCTTTGCGGCCCAGTTCCTAACAGGTGACAGACTGGTACTGGTCCATGGCTTGGGATTTGGGGACCCCTGCTGTACATAATTGTATGTAGTACATTATGATGGCTACAGTGTCACTAGGCAATTGGAATTTTTCAGTTCCATATAATCTTTTGAGACCACAGTCATATATGAGATCCATCATTACCTAAATATTGTTAAGTAGCACCTGACTGTAAGGAACATTTATTCTGAGGAATTAGCAGAGAAGTCCTGTGATCTGCTCCTTGCAAGCTAGAGACCTAGGAAAGCTGGTGGTGTAACGTGATTCTGAATCTGAAGGACTGAGAACCAGGTGAGCTGATGGTGTAAATCCCAGTCCAGCAGCAGGAGAAGACCCACGTTCTAGCTCAAACAGGCAGGCAGGAAGCAGAAAGCTGTGAATTCTTCCTTCTTTCACCTTTTGTTTTATTCAGGCCTTCAATTAATTGGATGATGGCCAACCACATTGGGGAGGGCAATGTACTTTACTGAGTCTACTGATTCAAATGCTAATCTCATCTAGAAATGCCCTCACAGACACACTCAGAAGCAATGTTTAATCTTAGCACTCTGTGGCCCCATTCAAATTGACACATAAAATTAAGCATCACATGAATTTAAGTTGTATGTATATTTTATGAAAGGTGATAGAGGTCAGGAATGTCTCAATAATTTTGCCAAAAAAATTAACAAGTAGAAGAGAATTACTGCCATTTCCTGTCATTTATACCACCATCCAAAATAATTTAACCCAAAGCCTTATTATGTAATAACAGTTGTGCAGGTCAGTTAGAACAATAATAAACAATCAAACTTCTCCAATCTTGGCATTTCTGTCATACACTGAGTGATGTAACTAAGAGTTGTATGGATGAATAGCACAGAGAGACCTAATTCTTCCGCATTCTTTGGCTGCATGATAACTTGGAGAGAACACTGAATGAATTGATGTTCCTGGCTAATATATGTTTTAGATTTTTGTGAATTAAAAACATTAATGTGAGCAAAGATGCAACTTATATAGAGAATCAGTTTTCTCTCCAGAGTCTTGGGATATCTAAAAGAAAATAGCTGGAGGATTTTATGTGTTGATTATAAGACCCATTAAAAGTCACAAAAAGCTAGTAGAAAAGCTTCCATTTTTGAAAAATGAGGTTCTTTGAGAACCATGGATCATTGACTAGCCGATCATGTATTTACTTTCTTCTTTCTTTTTCTGTCTTTTCTATGGGCAAGGAGGAGGAGTTAGATGCCACTAAGGGAATATGGATTTCAGATGTGCAGAGTTTTGACACTTTGATACAAAGGAATGATTATCCTAAATAACTTATTACATATGCATTTGAAAGAATAAATGAAACTTGATTAAAAGTTCTAAACTTAAAAGAATTGCAGTGAAATCAGAGACTCTTTAGTTCAGCCTGTACGAATGAGGAAACCTAGATAAATAGAACACACAAAGTTAATATAAACTGGTACTAGAAAGTTAATAAAAACTGCCATGACCCTGGGTCCAGTGCTATTTTCAGTATTTTATTTAATGTATTTTTAATCGTTCTAACTTACCTGTAAGATAAATTCACGTTTGTCTCCATTCTATTTACAATCTAAGTAAAATAACACATTTTTAGATATTTTGGTTGGATCTTTGAAAATTAATTGTAAAACATCACATAAATTAGGAACTCTACAAGCATATTGTATCATTTTTTTTGCTCTAGTTTCTTATTTTCTCAATGTTTTACATATTCATCGAGACTATACATAAGATAGTTGATCTCTTGGGTTTAGCTCTACAGGTATAAAGATTTAAATACAGTTTACTTTCAAAAAGTTATTTAAATATTTTAAAAAGGAAATGCTTCAAAGAAATGAAAATAAAACATTTAAAATAGGAAATATTAAAAATTTTAAATAGGGAAAAATTTCAAACATACTGAAAAAGCAGACTAACCAATATTAACAATATTTTAACCAAATTTAACAATGTTAAGTATTTTGACATGTTTGCTTTATATTTATTTTTGTTGTAAAGAAATAAGTGTTCATAAAGACTCTTGAGTTCCTTCACATCCCATTCTGTCTCATTTTACTTCTCCAGAGATAACCACTTTCCTGAAGTTGGTATGTATTCTTCCTCCAGCTTTATATATTTGATTGTATGTATTTATATTTATGTATTCATAAATTTATATACCTGCTCTACCAGTATGGTATCTGCTATAGCCACATGTGGCTATTTAAATTAATTAAAAGAAAACACATTCAGTTTCTTTGGAGTACTAGCCACATTATAAGTGTTTAATATTCTTTAATATCCACATATCGCTAGAGGCTGCTGTATTAGACAATGCAGATACTGACCATTTTCATTATTGCAGAGAGTTCTGGTGTATACTATTGTTTGCATATTCTTAAACTTAACATAAATCATATCATGCTGTACACATTCTGGAGCTTGTTTTTTTACTCAGCATTCTGTTTTTGAGATTTACCTACAGTGATACACATAGTATCCTTTTCTCAGTGTTTTATTATATGAATGTACTGCATTTTATTTATTCACTTATTTACAGATGTTTAGTCTATTTCTAGGTATTAAATGTTAAAACAATGCTGTAAGGAACACTTTTATCCTTGTTCCTTTGCCAGGTGTGTGTAAAAGTTTCTTTAGGGTGTGTGCTTGTTGGTTGTAATCATTATCAACTTTGCCTGATGTAGCCAGTCATTCCCCAAAGTAGCAATACCAATTTATGTTTCACCAGCAGTGGGTAAGATTTCCTTTTCCTCATATACTTGCTTATACTTAATATTATTAGAATATAATGTGAAATGTTGTTTTATTTTCATTTGCATTTCCCTAATAGTGAGGATGAACAACCTTTCGTATGTTTATTGTCCATTTACATTTCATTTCTTTTGTTTTTACCTTTTTCTTTTTTATTTCATTTTTTTATAATCATTCATGTTTGGTCATATGCATTGTAAACTTGTACCATTTTGTGGTTTATCTTTTTACTTTGTGATGTATCTATTTATAGAGGTTTCAAAACTTACTGTGTAAATATTTTTGGCCTTTCCCTTTAAGGCTTCTACTTTTTTGGGTCTTAAGAAAGCTTTTCCTATTTTGATGTCATATGGTTAATTTTCATTTTTTCTTCTAAAAATGTTACAATTTTGCTTTCTAGCCTTAAGTTTTAAAAATCCACCTGGAGTTTATTTTGCGAGATGGTCTAATTTTTTTTCCGTATGTAACTAATTTTCTCAGTATCATTATGAAAATAACTTTTCGTTTCCTCAATGATTTGTATTGCCAACTTTCTAATATAGCGTACCAACAATATTCAGTACCAAATTGCCATATATACGTGGTTCTGTTTCTGGGTTCCCTATTCTGTGTGGTTGATTTGTTTATCTCTATGACAATATTATGCCATCTAAATTATCATAGCTTTATAATAGGATGATGGCTGTTAGGATAAATCGTTCCACCTTGTTCATCTTCTTAAAAAGTATCTTATTTTCAGTCTTTTCTTTTACATGTGAATTATAGGGTCACATTGTCAAGTTCTGTTAACAACCTTCATGGAATTTCTAGTGGAATTGAATTTATAGAAATAATTTAGTGAGAACAGACATTTTTATGAAACTGAATTTTTTTCATCTACCAACATGGTATATGTTCCCATTCATTTAAGTTTCCATTTATGCCTGATGTTAAAGTTTTAGAATTTCCTCCATAGAAGTTTTAGTCAGATTTTGTTAGATATATTCTAGGTACATTATGATTTTGTTTCTATTGGAATGAGATGTTTTATTATATTTATGCTTGGATATTGCCTCTGTGTAGGAATGCTATTAATTTTTTGTATATTGATCTTATTCCCAGTAACCTTGTTGAATTGTCTCATTAGTTTTGACAGTTTGTAGATTCTCTTGGATCTTCTGTATAATCATGTTATTTGTAAATAATAATTTTTATTTTTTCAATTCTTATACTTTTAAAACTGGTTAGGGGCTGGGCATGGTGTTTCATGCCTGTAATCCCAGCACTTTGGAAGGCCGAGGCAGGCTGATCACCTGAGGTCAGGAGTTTGAGACCAGCCTGGCCAACATGGTAAAACCTCGTGTCTACTAAAAATACAAAAATTAGCTGGGCATGGTGGCAGGCACCTGTAATCCCAGCTACTTGGGGGGCTGAGGTGGGAGAGTCGCTTGAACCTGGGAGGCAGAGGTTGCAGTGAGCCGAGATCGTGCCATTGCACTCCAGCCTGGGCAACAAGAGCGAGACTTCGTCTCCAAACAAAACAAAACAAAACAAAACAAAACAAAACAAAACAAAAAAAACCCCAAATCCCAAAAAACTGGTTAGGATTTCCTGTATAGGCCTAACTAGAAGCAGTACTAACACACATTTTTATCTTGTTTCTGATTTTAAAGAGAATGCTTTAAAATTTTACTATTAAATATCAGGTTAAGAGAATTTTCTTGTATTCTTAGTTTGCTAAAAGTTTCTTAATATAATATATGGATGTTGAATTTTTTTTCCTGTGTCTTTTGAAATGATCTTATGGTTTTTCTCCTAAATCTGTTAATATGGCAGATTACATTACTAAATTTAGCAATGTCAGTCTATCCTTGAATTCCTGGGATAAATCTTACTTGATTATGACACAGTTAAGTAGATATGTGTATGTAGACATAGACATTTAGATGATATAGATGGACACACTTTGCTTGACTAAATCAATTAAATTCATTAATTTATGTTGAATATTTTCATCTCTATTAGTAAATGAGCCTGCCTATAGTCTTTTCTTATCCATTTTTGCCACGTTGAGATTATACTAGTTGATATGGTTTGGCTGTGTCCCCACCCAAATCTCAACTTGAATTGTATTTCCCAGAATCCCCATGTGTTCTGGGAGGGACCCGGGGGAGCTAATTGAAACATGGGGGCTGGTCCTTCCCATGCTATTATCATGATAGTGACTAAGTCTCACGAAATATGATGGGTTTATCACGAGACTAAGTCTCACGAAATATGATGGGCTTGCTTGTTCCTCATTTTATCTTGCTGCTGCCATGTAAGAAATGCCTTTCACCACCTGCCATGATTCTGAGGCCTCCCCAGTCATGTGGAACTGTAAGTTCAATTAAACCTCTTTTTCTTCCCAGTCTTGGGTACATCTTTATCAGCAGCATGAAAATAGACTAATACAGTCAATTTGTACCAGTAGAGTGGGGTGTTGCTGAAAAGATACCTGAAAATGTGGAAGCGACTTTGGAAATGGGTAACAGGCAGAGATTGGAACAGTTTGGAGGGCTCAGAAGAAGATAGGAAAATGTGGGAAAGTTTGGAACATCCTAGAAATTTGTTGAATGGCTTTGAAAAGAAGCTGATAGTGATATGAACAATAAGGTCCAGACTGAGATGATCTCAGATGGAGATGAGGTACTTGTTGGGAACTGGAGCAAAGGTGACTCTTGTTACGTTTTAGCAAAGAGACTGGTGGCATTTTGCCCCTGCCCTAGAGATTTGTGGAACTCTGAACTTGAGAGAGATGATTTGGGGTATCTGGAAGAAGAAATTTATAAGCAGCAAAGCATTCAAAAAGTGACTTGGGTGCTGTTAAAAGCATTCTGTTTTAAAAGGGAAACAGAGCATAAAAGTTCCTGATGATTCAGTAGCCTCATGATGCAGTAGAAAAGAAAAACCCATTTTTCTGAGGAGAAATTCAAGCCAGCTGCAGAAATTTGCATAAGTAGCAAGGAGCCTAATGTTAATCCCCAAGACCGTGGGGAAAATGTCTCCAGGCCATGTCTCTAGGCCATGTCAGAGACCTTCACAGCAGGCCCTCCCATCACAAGCCTGGAGGCCCGGAAGAAAAATGTGGTTTTGGGGCCAGGCCCAGGGTCCCCATGCTGTGTGCAGCCTAGGAACTTGGTGCCTTTTGTCCCAGCCGCTCCAGTCATGGCTGAAAGGGGCCAATGTAAAGCTTGGGCTGTGGCTTCAGAGGGTGGAAGCCCCAAGCCTTGGCAGCTTCCCAGTGGTATTGAGCCTGCAAGGGCACAGAAGTCAAGAATTGAGGTTTGGAAACCTCTGCCTGGATTTCAGAAGATGTGTGGAAACTCCAGGATGCACAGACAAAAGTTTGCTGCAGGGGCAGGGCCCTCATGGAGAACCTCTGCTGGGGCAGTGCAGAAGGGAAATGTGGGGTTGGAGTCCCTACAGAGAGTTCCTACTGGGGCATTTCCTAGTGGAGCTGTGAGAAGAGGGGCACCGTCTTCCAGACCCCAGAATGGTAGACCACTGACAGCTTTCACCATGCACCTGGAAAAGCTGCAGACACGCAACATTAGCCTGTGAAAGCAGCTGGGAAGGGAGGCTATACCCTGCAAAGCCACAGGGATGGAGCTGCCCAAGACCATGGGAACCGACCTCTTGCATCAGCATGACCTGAATGTGAGACCTGGAGTCAAAGGAGATCATTTAATTTGACTGCCCTACTGGATTTTGGACTTGCATGGGCCCTGTAACCACTTTGTTTTGGCCAATTTCTTTCATTTGGAACAGCTGTATTTACCCAATACCTGTACCCCCATTGTATTTAGGAAGTAACTAGATTGCTCTTGATTTTACAGGCTTATAGGCGGAAGGGACTTGCCTGGTCTCAGATGAGACTTTCGACTGTGGACTTTTAGGTTAATACTGAAATGAGTTAAGACTTTGGAGGACTGTTGGGAAGGCATGATTGGTTTTGAGATGTAAGAACATGAGATTTGGTGGGACCAGGGGCAGGATGATATGGTTTGGCTGTGTCCCTACCCAAATATCAACTTGAATTGTATCTCCCAGAATTCCCATGTATTGTGGGAGGGACCCAGGGGGAGGTAATTGAATCATGGGGGCTGATCTTTCCTGTGCTATTCTCATGACAGTGACTAAGTTTCAGGAGATCTGATGGGTTTATCAGGGGTTTCCACTTTTGCTTCTTCCTCATTTTCTCTTGCTGCTGCCATGTAAGAAGTGCCTTTTGCCTCCCACCGTGATTCTGAGGCCTCCCCAGCCATGTGGAACTGTAAGTTCAATTCTTTCAATTCTTTTTCTTCTCAGTCTCGAGTATGCCTTTATCAGCAGCATGAAAATGGACTAATACCCTAGTCTTATAAGATGAGCTGGATAGCTTTTCCTATTTTTTATTCTCTGGAATATCATGCTTAAAATAGGGGTTACCTGTTTCTTTAAGATTTGGTGATACTTGTCTATAAACTTTTGACTGAGGTTTTCATCATATTTTTGACTGCTGAATTAATTTCTTTGATATCTTGAATATGTTCATGTTTTCTATATTCTTCTTTAGTCAAATTTAGTTTGTTTGTACAGAATATTCCAAAAGTCTTAGTGCAGTTTTAAGCTTAAATGACTTCAAGAGTATAAATGACATGGACTTATACAACAATGATCTGCAATTTATTTAACTTTTTTTGAATTTTATGGCTTCTGAATAACAAATTGTAATTTTTTGTTCCAATCAGTATTTGCCATATTTAGAGGAACTGAAACAAAAAATTAGAATTAAAAATTTATTATTAAATTTCTTTACAAGATTTTTTTTCCTCCTTTTTGTCTTGTGCAATTTATTTGTTGAGGAAACCAGCTTATTAGTCTGCAAAGTTTCCCACTGTCTTAGGAATTCCTAGACAACCCCCAGATTCAGTGACTCACTAGGAGGACTCACAGGACTCAGCATATAGCCATGCTCATGTGTGATTTATTATAGCAAAGGATACAAAGCAATACCAGTAAAGGGAAAAGGCAAATGGAGCAAAGTCTGGAGGAAACCAGCCACAAGCCTTGAAAAGTCCTCTGCTCATGGAGTCACACAGGATGAACCTAATTCCCTCAGGAACAAGTTGTGACAACACATGTGAAATGTCTACCAGGGAAGCTCACTGGAGACTTTGTGCCCAGGATGTTTATTAGAGGCTGCTTATCTAGGCATCCTCTGCCTGGCATATACAAAATTCCAGACTCTCAGAAAGAGAGGAGGTGTTTAGTTTAAACCACGTTGTACAAACTGTTTAGGCACAGTGACCTCTCTTATTAGTTCTGGGACTGGTGGCAACACTTCGAAATCCAAGTTCACAAGGCCAACATTGCAAACAGTTTGTTCTAAAAAACTTTTCTATTTCGAATTTGGGATTATAGAAGTTTTACTTAACATTTTTGGTTTTATGTTTGTGTTTTTTTCCCTCTTACGCTAAAACTCTTGGTTCCTAGTATAATAACATTAATGAAATTAATCTCTATTTTAATATCAGTGTAACAATACCAATGCTATTACTAACAATATGGTTACTGGGAAACAGTTTACAATTTTTTTACAGTTCTTTTGGTTCTTGCTGTATATCCCACTTAGAATTTATAATCAAATTACTCTGTTTAATGTCACTTGAAATAATTGTTCTCCATGTTTAAGCTAGCAACTTGATACATAAGTTAGTTTATTTCATTTTACTTTCAAATTTTGGGAATAGTTTTTAACATTCTTGATTCAGTTTTGCTTTATAATTATGTTAGAAATTTTTATAGTTTCAGAGTCAAAACTAGAAAATGAGGTAAATTTGGTGAAGTCTAGTTTCTATCCTTCTCACTTTGCCCTTTTCTCTCCTTTCCCATAGGTAAACAATGTAATTAGCTTTTGATTTATCTTTCTTTTGTGTCTGCTTTTAAAATGGAATTAAATTTGTATTGTTTTCTTAGATAAATGCAGGCATACTATTGACACTGTCCAGCCCCTAGTTTTTTTCATTTGATAATATTTCTTAGCAATTACACTATAACATTATATAAAATTCCTTACTAGCAGCTATTTCTTATCTGGCATGGGATTACCATCATACCATGGGCCCCAAACCTATCTTTAGGGTTTGATTGGTTATAGAAAACTTTTTCCTACCCAGAGCTTTTGGCAGAGAACTGGCAAAAAAACTGCTCTCCTGGGCTAGTGAGTAAATATTTTGTTTTTGCTTTTAATATCCCTTTTCAATGGAATAAGCCATCTTTTGAATATCTGAACCTTTTATTCAGGTACCTCAGTTATTTCATTCTAACTTCACTACTTACATGGGCCCCAAACCACATATCCTGTCCTGACAGATGGACCTTAAAACCTTAGCTACTGGCCCCTAGGTTCAGTTTCTACGTTATATGTTCTTAAGTTGTTATGCTGTCTGCATATACTCTTGTAACTTTGGCTTTGGGTTACCTCTTTGTTGAACCCTGGGTATTTCTAAGCTATATACCTTTTTTGGGGGTTAGATGTTTTCTAGCATTTCTCTGTGTTTGGAGAAAGCGCAGTTCACTGTCATGTTGCAAGTAGATCAAATGTGTTTACAGACATACCTCAGAGATATTGCAAGTTCAGCTCCAGACCACTGTAATATTAAAGTGGATATTGCGATAAAGTGAGTCTCACACATTTTTTGGTTTCCCAGTGCATATAAAAGTTATGTTTACACTATACTGCAGTCTATTTATATATGTGCAGTAGAAAAACATTATGTCTAAAAAAACAGTTTACATACTTTAATTTAAAAATACATTATTCCTAAAAATTGCTAACAATCATCTGAGCCTTCAGTGAGTTGTAGTCTTTTTGCTGATAGAGGGTCTTTCCTCAGTGTTGATGGCTGGTGACTGATCAAGGTTGTGGTTGCTGAAGGTTGGGGTTGCTGTGGCAATTTTTAAAAAATAAGACAACAATGAAGTTTGCCCTATCGATTGACTCTGTCTTTCATGAAAAATTTCTCTGTAGCATATGACACTGTTTGAGAGCATTTTATGCCACAATAGAACTTCTTTCAAAATTGGAGTTAGTTCTCTCAAACCCTGCTGCTGCTTTATCAACTAAGTTTATGGAATATTTCAAATACTTTGTTGTTCACAACAATGATACAATGTACATATAATAGCATCTTCACCAGAAGTAGATTCTATTTCAGAAAACCACTTTTGGCAGGGTATGGTGGCTCATACCTGTAATCTCAGCACTTTGGGAGGCAGAGACAGGTGGATCACTTGAGGTCAGGAGTTCGAGACCAGCCTGGACAACATAGTGAAACTCAGTCTCTACTAAAAATACAAAAATTAGCTGGGTATGGTGGTGGACACCTGTAATCCTAGCTACTCAGGAGGCTGAGGCAGGAGAATCACTTGAACCCAGGACACGGAGGTTGCTGTGAGCCCAGATTGCACCACTGCACTCCAGCCTGGGTGAAAGAGCAAGAACCTGTCTCAAAAAAAAAAAAAAATTCCCCCAAACAACAACAACAACAACAACAACAACAAAAACCTTACTAAAAAAAAAAACAACTCACTTTCTTTGCTCATTCATGAGAAGCAACTCCTCATTTTTAAAAGTTTTATCGTAAGATTACAGCAATTCAGTCACATCTTTAGGCTCTACTTCTAATTATAGTTCTTTTGCTATTTCTGTCATACATGCAGTTATTTCTTCCACTGACATCTTGAACCCCTCAGTCATCCATGAGGCTTGGAATCAACTTCTTCCAAACTCCTGCTCATGTTGATATTTTGATCTCCTTTTATGAAACATGGATGTTTTAATAGCATCTAGAATGAGAAATCTTTTCCAGAAGGCTTTCAATTGACTTTGCCCAGATCCATCAGAGGAATCGCTATCTATGACAGGTATGGCCTTACAAAATGTATTTTTTAATTAATAAGACTTGAGGTAGGGCGCAGGTGGCTCACACTGTAATCCTATCACTTTGGGAGGCCGAGGCAGGCAGATTGCCTGAGCTCAGGAGTACAGGAGTTCTGTACAAAAAATACAAAAAATTTGCTGGGCATGGTGGCACACACCTGTAGTCCCAGCTACTCAGGAGGCTTTGAGGCACTAGAATCTCTTGAACCTGGGAGGCAGAGGTTGTAGTGAGCTGAGATTGTGCCAGCATATTCCAGCCTGGGCAACAGAGCAAGACCCTGTTTCAAGAAAAAAAAATTTAGTAAGACTTGAAAGTCAAAATTACTCCTTGATCTATGGGCTGCAGAATGGATGTTGTATTAGCAGTCAAGAAAACAATGTGAATCTTTTTGTCATCTCCATCAGAGCTCTTGGGTGATCAGGTGCATTGTTAATGAGCAGTACTATTTTGAGAGGAATCTTTTTTTTTTTCCCCTGAGCAATGGGTCTCATTGAAAGGCTTAAAATATTCAGTAAAACATGCAGTAAACAGATGTACTGTCATCTAAGTTTTGTTGTTCCATTTATAGAGCACAGGCACAAAAGATTTAGCATAATTCTTAAGGGCCCCAGTGTTTTGGAATAGCAAATGAGCATTGGCTCCAACCTAAAGTCACCAGCTGCATTAGCCCCTAGCAAGAGTCAGCCTGTCCTTTGAAGCTTTAAAGTCAGGCATTGACCTCTCCTCTATAGCTGTGAAAGCCTAGGTGTCATCTTCTTTCAACCGAAGGCTGTTTCATCTACATTGAAAATATGTTGTTTGGTGTAGCCATCTTTGTCAGTGATCTTAGCTAGATCTTTGGATAACTTGCTGCAGCTTCTACATCAGCACTTGCTGCTTCATCTTGTGCTTTTTTGTTCTGGAGATGGCTTCTTTCGTTAAACCTCGTGAACCAACCTCTGCTAGCTCCCAATCTTTCTTTCGCAGCTTCTTCACCTCTCTTAGCCTTCATAGAATTGAAGAAAATTGGATTCTTGATGTGGATTAGGTTTTGGCTTAAGGGAATGCTGTAGCTGGTTTGATCTTCTATCCAGGCCCCTAAAGCTTTCTCTGCATCAGCAATAAGGCTGTTTTGCTTTCTTATCATTCATGTGTTCACAGGAGTAGCACTTTTAATTTCCTTCAAAAACTTTTACTTTACATTCGTAACTTGGCTGTTTGGCACAAGAGGCCTAGCTTTTGTCCTGTCTGGTGAGAGATGTGAGACTCTTCCTTTCACTGCAATATTTAGAGGCCATTGTAGGGTTATTCATTGGCCCAATTTCAATATGTTGTGTCTGGGAATAGGGAGGCCCAAGGAGAGAGAAACAGATAGAGGAACTGCTGGTTGGTGGAGCAGTCAGAATGTGTACATTTATTAAGTTTGCTTATGGGCATGGTCCGTGGTGCCTCAAACAATGACAATAGTAACATCAAAGATCACTGATCACAGATCACCATACCAGATACAGTAATAATGAAAAAGTTGGAAATATTGTGAGAATTACCAAATTGTGACCCAGAGACACAAAGTGAGCATATGCTGTTGGAAAAATAGTGCTGATAGACTTGATCGATGCAGGGTTGCCACAAATCTTCAGTTTGTAAAAGCAGTATCTGTAAAGCTCAGTAAAGTGAAGCACAGTAAAGTGAGATATGCCTGTACTTCTGTCACCCATGTGTCACCGTTTTCTGTAGTTAATTGGCTGAAGGAACACACACACATTCACATATTTGAAACAATTTTAAAGGATGTATCTTATAATTAAAATTATGACATTTCTTACCAAATCTTTTCCCTTTCTTTCACATGAAAAGATTACTGATTTTCTGTAATAGTTATTTTACAGTATTATTCAGTTATTCTGAATAGAATAGCATATTCTCATCCTTTTTTCTCCTCTCTGCCTTGCTTTTCCTTTTTATTTTTTCTCTAAATCAAAATAAATTTATGTAGAGGAACCTAGGTCAACTGATCTTAGTGCTTCTTTCATAAGGGTAATACATATAATTACAAGGCTTTTAGACAACATTATGGTGAATATAAATTCTTTTTAATAAAATAGAAAAAATTAAGTACAATTTGTGGATGCTGGTGCAGATTCGTAGATCAGGGTAGTTTCTCAGCCTCTGAAGAGCCTTTATCCAGTTACATTTATTCCTATTTGATTTTGTGTTTCTTTTACTTGTGTTCTCTTCTAACTTGTGTCTTCCCTGTTGCTTTCTTTTATGTGCCTCCTCTATTTGCAGTATAGATGTTTCATTGAAACTGCATCTAGTATTGGGATGCCATAGAGGAACCTTTGTATTTTATAAATTTCAACTAGATTTTTTTCTTTGTGCTGTTCTGCGAGTTTGAATATAGAAGCAATATTGATATGAAGTAAATAGCTTGGAAGTGTATAAGTCATAGTTTAGCTTTCAGAAAAATTCTTCTTTGAGGATGACACATTTACTTGCAACTTTGAGCCAGAAGTAAGAATTTTGTAAAAGTATGAGAAAAATTGGCCACTTTTAAGTTTCCTTAGGTAAAACTGATAGTAATTTTATTCCTATTTGTTTTTGCTAGCTTTATCATATAAAATGTTTTAGCTAGAGGAAAAAACAAGGCAAGAAAGACTATTAAATCTTTCTTTAGACTAAGTGGTTCCAAGGAAAGTTAATTTTCAGAACCTCCCAAAATATATTATTATTATTATTATCTTTTGGTTGTAAGACTTATTCTGTTTTAAAATTTATTTATTTATTTATTATTTCTTTTGTAGGGACTGAGTCTCACTGTGTTGCCCAGGCTGGTCTCAAATTCCTGGCCTCAAGTAACCCTCTTTCCTTGGCCTCCTAAAGTGCTGGGATTACAGGCATGAGCCACTGTGCCTGGCCATAAGACTTATTCTCTAAGAAACTTTGAGGCATAATACTTCTTCATTTATTTTATAAAAGAGCATGGAGAAAACCCAGTGCCAAAACGGTATATGTGCTATTTAAAGCTGTGCATTGATTGGCAAACTTGAAAATGAGATGTTTTATAATTGACCCTTGATTCCGATGATGAATTCATGCAGTTCTAGGCATTTATGGACATGTTTAATGAAAACATGAGGAATGCATGAAAGCTAATGAGAATCTTAACTTTGACTTCTGATATTTCAGGCTATGGCATTTGCCATCGTTTTTCTTCATATATTTATTATGTCATCTGTGTCAAAGTTACATCAACCTGGGTTTATGCATATTTATTACATTAAGTATACTTTGAGGATAGTATATAAACTTAAATATGAATTTATAGGTAGCAACAATAAAATATACATCAACTAATAAGAAAAAACAGGGTTCAACGAGATAATTCCAGGTCCTGTAGTTGTCACTGTTCCATGATGAGTTGAAATTAAGACAGAAAGCTCAATTTTCCATCTAATTGAATTTACCAAAGTAGGACCTTTCATCCACATGTTGAAAACCGGAGCATGTCTTTTCTCACAACCTGTAAACCAGCTAATGGAAAGATTGACAGCTGGGTGAAGAGAACACAACCTTATATTTGGTTTCAGCCAGCCAGAGTTTTAATCACAGCTGTGGTGATGAGGGGAGTGGGAAGATTTGCCTTTCACACAGCAACTTAAACAAACACAGCGTAATATCTCCATTGCTCTCCAAGTCATTTCCTGCTTCCGCATTCTTCATGCACGTCCTTCACATTGCATTTATGGAAACTCAATCAGAAAGCTAGCTTTTGGGTTATTTTGTTTCTATCATAGTCTATGGGAATGACAAGATAAAGTTACTACTAATCACTGAAGCATATGGAGGAATTAACTGAAAAAAAAAAGGCCTTTACTGAATGTATTACAAAAATTTGAGAAAGGGTTATATTTTAGAAGTCCACTCATTTGGACAGTGTTTGAGTCTTTGGGTTTCTTCTCATTCAGCTTTCTCTGCATGCAGGCTGCCTTATTGAAAGTCGGAACCATTGAATGCAGATGTTTTCTGTATTCACAGTAAAAAGGAGGCTAAAGCAAACACTTAGAAAGTGACCTGTGTAGCTGCATGGATTCTTTCTTTTGCTGGCAAAGATGTGACCGTCTCTTTATTATACATCCAAGAATGCTGACTCCTATAAAAGGATTAGATTCAGGAGAAAAGTTGTTATGCTTTGAGATACCAAATATGAATATCAATTAACAAGAGCAACAAGAGAAAAAATAATCACAAAAATTGTGGTATGTAAATTAAGAATGGCTGGGAGCAGTTACTTTATATGGCAAAGCCAGGAAGACATTGGAAACACCTGTATTTCTTTGTTTTCAACTCATGAACAAATAGATGTAGAAAACATGTTTATTTGTTTAACAGTGAAAATAGTTTTCATAATGTATAAATTAAAAAGGATGCCTATTTCATAATATCCAAGGTAAGAAGACATGGTAGAGGGAGAAGGAAATTATGACAGAAGTCCCTGAATAGAAGCAATTCTGACAAAAAGAGGGTGTGTCCTTCTACAAGGGCCAAGCTATGCCGTGTCTCACATGCTGATTTTTTGAATAGACTTCTTGCCAATATATATTTTCCCTGGACTCTAGAGTTTATAGGATGTGGTTCACTAATATTGACAACACAGCAGTTTCTTTCCCTCACAGACAAGCCTGCTTGAGCAAAGCAAGACGTAAGCAGCTAGAATACTTTGCTAATTATTTACATACAGACAAAGGTAGATGAAATGTGGGTTTTTTGTTTATTTTATATTACTATCTGATCTATGAATGAATAAAGGAATTGAAAGTTTCTTATACATTTCACTTTGATTTTATTTACTTGTAGGACCTCTAACAATGATATTGGAAGAATAGATACTAAGTCTTGGAGAGGTAATTCATTTTTTCCTTCTAATATTACATCATAGTGGTATTGAGTTTTCTCTTTATGTTCAAATCATAGGTATGTATGGTAATAATACCATCTATCTTCCATAACAGTTTTGAGAATATACATTCTACTTAGTTTGTAGTATCCACAAAACATTTTTTTCCTGCTTTTAAAGTTATAGCATAAATTCAGAAAATTTGACGAGAGCATTTCTAAAATAAGCGATAACTAGTGATGTTAGTGGACATCTAATTTTAAGAGGAAATAATTTCCTCTTCATCATATTTGTGTATATGATATACAAATCATCATATTTGTGTATATGATATACAAATCATGTTTGTATATATAAATAGTACCTTATTAAAATTTTATAAAGTACATGTATTTATGTTAAAGATTCAAAACTTTGAGGTCCAATTTTTTTTTCCAAATAGAGTAAAACAGTAGGTATTATCTTCAGATTCTTAACTTATCTCCATTACACGGTCAAGGCTAAAACCTGGTCATTTGTCTTTTGATGAAAAATCTGTAAACATTTAGGTTTCATTATGGAAACTGCACACTTTTATGGCTTGCAGCTTAATTAGAATTTTGGAGAGGTTCTCTCTCTATTTGCATTTTCCCTTTGTGCTTGGTCTTATTTTCTCAGTAAAAGAATTGTAATTTAATGCTAGATTTGGACATACAATTCTACTTTCTTTTTCTTAATGAGAAAAGACAAAAATCAAGCATCAGACAAGAGACTAAAATAAAACAGAATAAAGTATGGAAAAGAACAACCACATGTATGTAAACCCAAGAGACTAAAATAAAACAGAATAAAGTACGGAAAAGAACAGCCACATGTATGTAAACCCTATGGAGATTTTAGCTTAAATCCATGTAAGTATAATGTCATTATTTGCAAAATGCATGATGTTTGAAAGAATCAAAGAAAACCACACCAAATTGTATAAGTAGTTATTTATATAATAAATGCTGATTCTATCTTGGATTTTTTTTGTCATGTAGAAGGAATTTTTCTTGTTTGTTATCTGCTAATCTGCTGTCTATTGCTATGGATTTGCTTATTCTGGATATATCATATAAATGGAACCATACAATATGTGACCTGTTGTTCTACTTTCTTTCACTTGGCATATTTTTGACACACTTACACACACACACCCCAATACCACAATTTGTTTATCTGATTATCCACTGATGGGCATTTGAGCTGTTTTCACTTTTTTGCTGTTATGAATAATACTGCTATAAACATTCATGTGCAAGTTTTTGTGTGGACATCTTTTCATTTCTCTTAGTCAGATGGTAATTCTGTGTTTAACTTTTTGAGGAACAGCCAAACTGTTTTCCACAGCAGCTGCACCATTTTACGTGCCTACCAGGAAGTTACCAGGGTTCTTATTTCTATACATCGTTGCCAACTTTTTCTTCTTTTGAGATGGAGTCTTGCTCTGGTGCCCAGGCTGGAGTGCAGTGGCGTGATTTTGGCTCACTGCAACCTTCACCTCCTGGGTTCAAGTGATTCTTGAGCCTTGGATTACAGGCACACACCACCATTCCTGGTTAATTTTTATATTTTTAGTAGATACAGTTTCCCATGTTGACCAGGCTGGTGGTCTTGAACTGCTGGGCTCAAGTGATCATCCCAAAGTGCCCTCCCAATAGTGCTCAGATTACAGGCGTGAGCCACTATGGCTGGCTCTTGCCAACATTTTTTATTTTTTTGATTAAAGGTATCCTAATGGGTGTGAAATGGCATCTCATTCTGCATTTTCCTTAATGACCAGTGATGTTGAACATCTTTTCATGTGCTTACTAGAGATCTATATATCTCTTTTGGAGAAATGCCTATTCAGCTCCTTTGCCCATTTAAAAATTTGGATTGCTTATCTGTTTGTTGTTGAGTTGTAATGGTTCTTTATGTATTCTGCATATTAATCCTTTATCAGGTATAATTTAAGGGATATTAATTTCTTATCAGATATAATTGCAAAATTTTTTTCCCATTCTGTAATATCCTTTGATACACAAATATTTTAATTTTTATGAAGTCCAACATATCTGTTTTTACTTTTATTGCTCATTCTTTTGTGAAAGTTTAGGAATCCATTACCAAATCTAAAGTCATGAAGATTTAAGTGTATGGTTTCTTTAATAGTCCTATAATTGTAGCTTTCATATTTAGGTAATTGATCCATTTGGAGGTTTTTTTTTCTTTTAATAAGGAGTGAGGTAGGAGTCCAACTTTATTGTTTGTGGTTATACATTTGTTCCTGCATCATTTGTTGAAGAGACTCTTCTTTCTCTGTTGAATGGCCTTGGCACCCTTGTCAAAAATCAATTGACCATAGATGTTTGGGTTTATTTCTGGACTCTCAGTTTTATTCTGTTGTTCTATATATCTATTATTATGCCAATACCATACTGCTTGGGTTATTTTAGCTATGTAGTAAGTTTTGAAATTGGGAATTTTGAGTCTTCCAACCATATGTTACTTTTGAAATATTGTTTTGGCTATTTGGGGTTCTGTACAGTTCCATATGAATTTGAGGAACTGTAGATTGATTTGGGTAATATTGTTATCTGAACAATATTAAGTCTTACAATTCATGAACATGGGAAATAGTTTCACTTATTTAGGTCTTTTAAAGTTTCTTTCAGCGATGTTTTATTGTGTATTACACAATAAAAGACATACAGTGTATGTCTTTCACTTCCTTGGTTAAATGTATTCCTGGGTATTTTATTCTTTTGGGTGCTATTGTAAATGGAATTGTTTTTAATTTCCTTTTCAGTTTGTTCATTGCTGCTGTATAAAACACAACTGATTTTTGTGTGTTGATCTTATACCCTGCAAGTTTGCTGAATTTGCTTATTAGCACTAGTAGGTTTTTTGTGGATTGATTCTATGGAATTTTGTCATCTGCAAATAGAAGTAGTTTTATTTATTTGTACTTCTAAAGGTGTCATAAATTTGGATGCCTTTTATTTCTTTTTCTGGAATCATTCCTTTGATTAGAACTTCCAGTACAGTGTCAAATAGCAGTGGTCAAAGCAGGCATCATGTTTTCTTCCTGATCTTAGGGGAAAGCTTTCATTCTTTCACCATTGAGCATAATGTTAGCTATGGGTTTTTCATAAGTGCCCTTTATCGTATTAAAGAAATTCTTTTCTCTCCTAGTTTGTGAGTGTTTTTTTTTTTTATCATGAAATGATATAGAATTTTGTCAAATACTCCTTCTGCATGTATTGAGATAATCATGTAATATGTTACTCCATCCCCTTAATGTGGTGCATTATATTAATTGATTTTCATATGTTCAACCACACTTGCATTCATGAGTTACACTTCATTTGGTCGTGGTGTATGTGTTTTTAAAATATGCTGTTGGATTTGGTTTGCCAGTATTTTGTTGCAGAATTTTACATCTGTGTTAATAAGGGATATTGAGTTATAGTTTTCTTTTGAGGTCTTTGACTTTAGTATCAGAGTAATGCTGATCTCACAAAATGTGTTAGGAAGTGTTCCCTCTCCTGCTTTATTGGAAAAGTTTGAGAAGGAATGGTGTTAATTCTTATTTTAGTGTTTGGTAGAATTTAGTGTTTGGTAGAATTAATTCTTATTTAAGTGTTTGGTGTATTTATTTACTGAACTTCTTGATGAAAACTGTGAGTCTATCTAATTAGCTCAAAAAACAAACAGTGAAGCCATGTAGCACAGACTTTTCTTTGTTGGGAGGTTTTTGAATACTGAGTCTGTCTGTTAAGGTTTTTTCTTTAGATCTGTTAAGATTTTTTACTTCTTAAATCAGTTTTGATAATTTATGTGTTTCTAGGAATTTGTCCATACATCTAGATTACCTAATTTGTTGGTGTAAATAGTTCCAAGTATTCTCTTATAATTCTTTTAGTTTCTGTAAAGGTCAATACTAATATCTCTGCTTTCTTGTCAGATTTTAGTTATTTTCATCTTTCTTTTTTTATAATCAGTGGGGCTAAAAGTTTGTTGGTTTAGTTGATGTATTAGTCAGGGTTCTCCAGAGAAACAGAACCAATAGGATATATATAGATGGATAAGAGGAGATTTATTATGGGAATTGGCTTATGTGATTATGGAAGCCAAGAGGTCCTATAATATACTGTCTGCATGCTGGATAACGAAGAAAGCCCGTGGTACAATTCAGTCAAGAGTCTGAAGGCCTGAGAACCAGGGAGCTGATGGTGTAACTCCAAGTCTGAGGCCAAGGGCCTGAGAACTGGGGAGGCTACCAGTATAAGTCATGGAGTTTGAAGGCCCAAGAACCAGGAGCCTTGATGTCCAAGGGTAGGAGAAGATGAATGTCCTAGCTTGAGAAGAGAGAGAACATTTGCTCTCCCACCTTTTTCTTCAATTTGCGTCTTTAGTAGATTGGAAGATACCTGCCCATATTGATTAGGGCAGATCTTCTTTCCTTTGTTAACTGATTAAAATGCTAATCTCTTCTGGACACACTCTCACAGACACACCCAGAATAATGTTTTTCTAGCTATCTGAGAATCCCTTAGCCCAGTAAAGGTGACACAAAAAAATTAATCATTACAGTTCATTTAAAAAAAAATTTTGGTTTCCAGAACTTCATTCTGTTATCACTTTAGCTAGGACCACGGCCATCACCACCACCACCAGCACCACCACCCCCCCACCATCACCACTACCACCATAACCACAACCTTCATCAATACCACCATTACCAGGACAACTACCACCACCAACACTACCACTCTTATCACCACCATGACCACCACCACCACCACGACCACCACTACCACCATAACTACAACCTCCATCAATACCACCATTACCGGGAACAACCACCACCACTGCCACCACCACCACTACCATAACCACAACCACCATAAACACCACCATTACCGGGACTACCACCACCACCACTCTCATCACCAGCATGACTACAACCACCATCAACACCACTATTACCAGGAACGACCACCACCGCCACCACCACCACCACAGCTATCACTACCACCACCACCACTCCCATCACCACCATGACTATAACCACCGTCAACACCATTACCAGGAACAACCACCACCACCACCACCACTCCCACCACCACCATCACCACCACTCCCATCACCACCACCACTACCACAACCACAATGACTATCAACACCACCATTACCAAGTCAACCACCACCACTGCACCACCACCACCACCACTACCATAACCACAACCACCATAAATACCACCATTACCAGGACTACCACCACCACTCTCATCACCAGCATGACTACAACCACCATCAATGCCACCATTACCAGGAACAACCACCACCACCATTGCTATCACTACCACCAGCACCACTCCCATCACCACCATGACTACAACCACCATCAACACCATTACCAGGAACAACCACCACCACCACCACCACCACTGCCACCGCCACCACCACCATCACCACCACCACCACCACTCCCATCACCACCATGACCACCACCACCACTGCCACCATAACCACAATGACCATCAACACCACCATTACCAAGACCACCACCACTGCCACCGCCACTACCCCTATCACCACTACCACCACCACCACTCCCATCATCACCATGACCACCACCACCACCACCGTCATTACCACCTCCCTTTCTTCTCATCCATATGGATTTCTGGCTTGTTTCTAAAAGTTTTTGTGACAGTTTACACATAGTAGATAGCCCAAATATTTATTTACTGAACTTCTTAATGAAAACTATGAGTCTGTCTAATTAGGGAAAGCTCAAAAAACAAGAGAAGGAGAAATGGGGTATTTGACATTTAAAGGGCAATAACTTATTTATACATGTACAGTTTACATTGTCTAGTTTTCTGTAACTAACAAGCTAGAATCATCTTTATAACATTCTATTCATTTATTTAACAAGCAAGAATCATGTTTATAACAATAATTGCACCAAGTAACACATATGCTCAATCTGGATCTGAAGGGAGTGGTGGAAGGGCCAGTTCTGGAAATCCAATTTTCTCCATTTCACAGGTCCTCATCCAGAAGTCACATGGATTGACTGAGAGTCACCCATCCTCTTTCATTTTCCTTTTTCAGAAGAGTGCAGATTATATTTGCAGGAACATAAAATCACGAGCAACTGGGAAGATCTAGACCAAACATCTGACTATCCCATCATTTTAAGAATTGTATATTAATTAATACAAATTGGAATGCAAGATGTGATCTCTTACCGCGGTTAAACTGCCCTTAGAGAACTTCAACACAAGCCCCAAACATGTACTTGAGACAGGATTTGGTCTTTATCAGAACTCACACTAGCAAACAAATGGCTTTTTTGAGCAAAGGCATAGTGCTTTTTAGAGGTTTCTTTTAATTTTATTAAATTAGGCTGTCTCACTTCTATTGTGGCTTTGTGTTTCTCAGAAACTTTTCTCTAGTCAGCTCTTCAAATACAGGCATACCTCAGAAATACTGCAGATTTGGTACCGAACCACCGTAATAAAGGAAGTCACTTACATTTTTAGATTTCCCAGTACATATAAAAGTTATGTTTTCATTATACTGTAGTCTATTTTGTGCAATAGCATTATGCCTAAAAATATATATATATATATACCTTAATTAAAAATACCTTCCTCCTAAAAAATGCTAATGATCATCTGAGACTTTAGCAAGTTGTAGTCTTTTTGCCGGTGGAGGGTCTTTCCTAGATGTTGATGGCTGCTGACTGATCAGGGTGGTGGTTGCTGAAGGTTTAGGGTGGCTGTGGTAATTTCTTTTTTTTTTTTTAAATTATACTCAAGTTCTGTGATACATGTGCAGAACATGCAGGTTTGTTACATACACTTGCCATGGTGGTTTGCTGCACCCTTTAACCCGTCATCTACATTAGGTATTTCTCCTAATGCTATCCCTTCCATAGTCCTCCACCCTCCAACAGGCCCCACTGTGTGATGTTCCCCCACTGTGTCCATGTGTTCTCATTGTTCAACTCCCACTTATGAGTGAGAATATGTGGTGTTTGGTTTTCTGTTCCTGTGTTAGTTTGCTGAGAATGATGGTTTCCAGCATCATCCATGTCACTGCAAAGGACATGAACTCATCCTTTTTTATGGCTGCATAGTATTCCATGGTGTATATGTGCCACATTTTCTTTATCCAGTCTATCATTGATGGACATTTGGGTTGGTTCTAAGTCTTTGCTATTGTGAACAATGCTGCAATAAACATATGTGTGCATGTGTCTTTATATTAGAATGATTTAAAATACTTTGGGTATATACCCAGTAATGGGATTGCTGGGTCAAATGATATTTCTGGTTTTAGATCCTTGAGGAACTGCCACACTGTCCTCCACAATGGTTGAACTAATTCACACTCCCACCAGCAGTGTAAAAGCTTTCCTATTTCTCCACATTCTCTCCAGCATCTGTTGTCTCCTGACATGTTAATGATTGCCATTCTAACTGGCGTGAGATGGTTGGTATCTCATTGTAGTTTTGATTTGCATTTCTCTAATGACCAGTGATGATGAGCTTTTCTTCACATGTTTGTTGGCTGCATATAAATGTCTTCTTTTAAGAAGTGTCTGTTCATAAGTCTTTGCCCACTTTTTGATGGGGTTGCTTGTTTTTTTCTTGTAAATTTGTTTAAGTTCCTTGTAGATTCTGGATATTAGCCCTTCATCAGATGGATAGATTGCAAAAATTTTCTCCCATTCTGTAGGTTGCCTGTTTACTCTGATGATAGTTTCTTTTGCTATGCAGAAGCTCTTTAGTTTAATTAGATTCCATTTGTCAAATTTGGCTTTTGTTGCCATTACTTTTGATTTTAGTCATGAAATCTTTTCCCATGCCTATGTCCTGAATGATATTGCATAGGTTTTCTTCTAGGGTTTTTATGGTTTTAGGTCTTACATTTAAGTCTTTAATCCATGTTGAGTTAATTTTTGTGTAAGGTGTAAGGAAGGGGTCCAGTTTCAGTTTTCTGCATGTGGCTAGCCAGTTTTCCCAATACCATTTATTAAATAGGGAATCCTTTCCACATTGCTTGTTTTTGTCAACCTTGTCAAAGATCAGATGGTTGTAGATGTGTGGTCTTATTTCTGAGGCCTCTGTTCTGTTCCATTGGTCTATATATGTTTTGGTACCAGTACCATGCTGTTTTGAATACTGTAGCCTTGTAGTATAGTTTGAAGTCAGGGAGCATGATGCTTCCAGCTTTTTTCTTTGTGCTTAGGATTGTGTTGGCTATACAGGCTCTTTTTTGGTTCCATATCAAGTTTAAAGTAGTTTTTTCCAATTCTGTGAAGAAAGTCAATGGTAGCTTGATGGAGATAGCATTGAATCTATAAATTACTTTGGGCATTGTGGCCATTTTCATGATATTGATTCTTCCTATCCATGAGCATGGAATGTTTTTCCATTTGTTTCTGTCCTCTCTTATTTCCTTGAGCAGTGGTTTGTAGTTCTCCTTGAAGAGGTCCTTTACATCCCTTGTCAGTTGTATTCCTAGGTATTTTATTCTCTTAGTAGCAATTGTGAATGGGAGTTCACTCATGATTTGGCTGTTTGTCTATTATTGGTGTATAGGAATGCTTGTGATTTTTGCACATTGATTTTGTATCCTGAGACTTTGCTGAAGTTGCTTATCAGCTTGAGGAGATTCTGGGCTGAGACAATGGGGTTTTCTAAATATACAATCATGTCATCTGCAAACAGAGACAATTTGATTTTCTCTCTTCCTGTTTGAATACCCTTTATTTCTTTCTCTTTCTTGATTGCTGCGGCCAGAACTTCCAATACTATGTTGAATAGGAGTGGTGAGAGAGGGTATCCTTATCTTGTGCCGATTTTCCAAGGGAATGCTTCCAGCTTTTGCCCATTCAGTATGATATTGGCTGTGGGTTTGTCATAAATAGCTCTTATTATTTTGAGATACGTCCCATCAGTACCTAGTTTATTGAGACTTTTTAGCGTGAAGGGGTGTTGAATTTTATCAAAGGCCTTTTCAGCATCTGTTGAGATAATCATAAGGTTTTTGCCATTGGTTCTGTGTATGTGATGGATTACATTTATTGATTTGCATATGTTGAACCAGCCTTGCATCCCAGGGATGAAGCCAACTTATTGTGGTGGATAAGCTTTTTGATGTGCTGCTAGATTCGGTTTGCCATTATTTTATTGAGGATTTTCACATTGATGTTCATCAGGGATATTGGCCTGAAATTTTCTTTTTTGTATTGTGTCTCTGCCAGGTTTTGGTATCAGGATGATGCTGGCATCATAAAATGAGTTAGGGAGGAGTCCCTCTTTTTCTATTGTTTGGAATACTTTCAGAAGGAATAGTACCAGTCCCTCTTTGTACCTCTGGTAGAATTCAGCTGTGAATCTGTTTGGTCCTGGGCTTTTGTTTTGGTTGGTAGGCTATTAATTATTGCTGCAATTTCAGAACTTGTTATTGGTTTCTTCAGGGATTCGACATCTTCCTGGTTTAGTCTTGGGAGGGTGTATGTGTCGAGGAATTTATCCATTTCTTCTAGATTTTCTAGTTTATTTGCGTAGAGGTGTTTATAGTATTCTCTGATGGTAGTTTGTATTTCTGTGGGATCAGTGGTGATATCACCTTTATCATTTTTTATTGTGTATATTTGATCTTCTCTCTTTTCTTCTGTATTAGTCTGGCTAGCAGTCTGTTTTGTTGATATTTAAAAAAAAACAGCTCCTGGATTCACTGACTTTTTTAAAAAAATTAATTAATTTATTATTATTATACTTTAAGTTTTAGGGTACATGTGCACAATGTGCAGGTTAGTTACATATGTATACATGTGCCATGCTGGTGCGCTGCACCCACTAACTCGTCATCTAGCATTAGGTATATCTCCCAGTGCTATCCCTCCCCCCTCCCCCCACCCCACAACAGTCCCCAGAGTGTGATGTTCCCCTTCCTGTGTCCATGTGTTCTCATTGTTCAATTCCCACCTATGAGTGAGAATATGCGGTGTTTGGTTTTTTGTTCTTGCGATAGTTTACTGAGAATGATGATTTCCAATTTCATCCATGTCCCTACAAAGGACATGAACTCATCATTTTTTATGGCTGCATAGTATTCCATGGTGTATATGTGCCACATTTTCTTAATCCAGTCTATCATTGTTGGACATTTGGGTTGGTTCCAAGTCTTTGCTATTGTGAATAATGCCGCAATAAACATACGTGTGCATGTGTCTTTATAGCAGCATGATTTGTAGTCCTTTGGGTATATACCCAGTAATGGGATGGCTGGGTCAAATGGTATTTCTAGTTCTAGATCCCTGAGGAATCACCACATTGACTTCCACAATGTTTGAACTAGTTTACAGTCAATTCATTGACTTTTTGAAGGGTTTTTCATGTGTCTGTCTCCTTCAGTTCTGCTCTGATCTTAGTTATTTCTTTTCTTCTGCTAGCTTTTGAATGTGTTTGCTCTTGCTTCTCTAGTTCTTTTAATTGTGTTGTTAAGGTGTCGATTTTAGATCTTTCCTGCTTTCTCCTCAGGGCGTTAGTGCTATAAATTTCCCTCTAAACACTGCTTCAACTGTGTCCCAGAGATTCTGGTATGTTGTGTCTTTGTTCTCATTGGTTTCAAAGAACTTAATTATTTCTGCCTTAATTTTGTTATTTACCGAATAGTCATTCAGCAGCAGGTTGTTCAGTTTTCATGTAGTTGTGTGGTTTTGAGTGAGTTTCTTAATCCTGAGTTCTAATTTGATTGCACTGTGGTCTGGAAGACTGTTATGATTTCTACTTTTTTGCATTTGCTGTGGAATGTTTTACTTCCAATTATGTGGTCAATTTTAGAATAAGTGCAATGTGGTGCTGAGATGAATGTATATTCTGTTGATTTGGGGTGGAGAGTTCTGTAGGTGTCTATTAGGTCTGCTTGGTCCAGAGCTGGGTTCAAGTCTTGAATATCCTTGTTAATTTTCTGTCTCGTTGATCTGTCTAATATTGACAGTGGGGTGTTAAAGTCTCCCAGTATTATTGTGTGGGATTCTAAGTCTCTTTGTAGGTATCTAAGAACTTGCTTTACAAATCTAGGTACTCCTGTATTGGGTGCATATATATTTAGGATAGTTAACTCTTCTTGTTGCATTGATTCCTTCACCAATATGCAATGCCCTTTCTTTGTCTCTTTTGATCTTTGTTGGTTTAAAGTCTGTTTTATCAGAGACTAGGATTGCAACCCCTGCATTTTTTTTTTTTTTTTTTGCTTTCCATTTGCTTGGTAAATATTCCTGCATCCCTTTATTTTGAGCCTATGTGTGTCTTTGCCCATGAGATGTGTCTCCTGAATACAGCACATTGATGGGTCTTGACTCTTTATCCAATTTGCCAGTCTGTGTCTTTTAAGAGGGGAATTTAGTCTGCTTACATATAAGGTTAATATTGTTCTGTGTGAATTTGACCCTGTCGTTATGATGCTAGGTGGTTATTTTGCTCGTTAGTTGATGCAGTTTCTTCATAGTGTCAATGGTCTTTACCATTTGGTAAGTTTTTATATTGGCTGGTACCAGTTTTTCCTTTCCATGTTTAGTGCTTCCTTCAGGAGCTCTTGTAAGGCAGGCCTGGTGGTGACAAAATCTCTCAGCATTTGCTTGTCTGTAAAGGATTTTATTTCTCCTTTGCTTATGAAGCTTAGTTTGGCTGGATATGAAATTATGGCTGGAAAATTCTTTTCTTTAAGAATGTTGAATATTGGCCCCCACTCTCTTCTGGCTTGTAGGGTTTCTGCAGAGAGATCCGCTGTTAGTCTGATGGGCTTCCCTTTGTGGGTAACCCGATCTTTCTCTCTGGTTGCCCTTAACATTGTTTCCTTCATTTCAACCTTGGTGAATCTGACAATTATGTGTCTTGGGGTTGCTCTTCTCGAGGAGTATCTTTGTGATGTTCTGTGTATTTCCTGAATTTGAATGTTGGCCTGTCTTGCTAGGTTGGGGAAGTTCTCATGGATAATATCCTGAAGCATGTTTTCCAACTTGGTTCCATTCTCCTCATCACTTGCAGGTACACCAATCAAACATAGGTTTGGTCTTTTCACATAGTCCCATATTTCTTGGAGGTTTTGTTCATTTCTTTTTATTCTTTTTTCTCTAATCATGTCTTCACAGTTTATTTCATTGAGTTGATCTTCAATCTCTGATATCCTTTCTTCTGCTTAATCAACTTGGCTATTGATAATTGTGTAAGCTTCACGAAGTTCTTATGCTGTGTTTTTGAGCTCCATCAGGTCATTTATGTTCTTCTCTAAACTGGTTATTCTAGTTAGCAATTCGTCTAACCTTTTTTCAAGGTTCTTAGCTTCCTTGCATTGGGTTAGAGCAGGCTCCTTTAGCTCAGAGGAGTTTGTTATTACCCTCCTTCTGAAGTCTACTTCTGTCAGTTCTTCAGACTCATCCTCAGTCCAGTTTTGTTCCCTTGCTGGTGAGGAGTAGTGATCCTTTGGAGGAGAAGAGGCGTTCTGGTTTTTGGAATTTTCAGCTTTTTTGTGCTGTTTTTTCCTTATCTTCATGAATTTATCTGCTGTTGGTCTTTGATGTTGGTGACCTTCGGATGGGGTTTCTGTGTGGACATCCTTTTTGTTGATGTTGATGCTATTCCTTTCTGTTTGTTAGTTTTCCTTCTAATAGTTAGGCCCCTCTGCTGCAGGTCTGCTGGAGTTTGTTGGAGGTCTGCTTCAGACCCTGTTTGCCTGGATCACCAGCAGAGGCTTCAGAACAGCAAAGATTGCTGCCTTTTCCTTCCTCTGGAAGCTTTGTCCCAGAGGGGCTTCCACCATATCCCAGCCAGAGCGCTCCTGTATGAGGTGTCTGTCGACCCTTGCTGGGAGATATCTCCCAGTCAGGAGGCATGGGGGTCAGGGACCAACTTGAGGAGGCAGTCTGTCCCTTAGCAGAGATCGAGCGCTGTGCTAGGAGAGCTGTTGCTCTCTTCAGAGCCAGCAGGCAGGAACGTTTAAGTCTGCTGAAGCTGCACCCACAGCTGCCCCTTCCCCTAGGTGCTCTGTCCCAGCGAGATGGGAGTTTGATAATCCCCTGATTGGGTCTGCTGCCTTTCTTTCAGAGATGCCCTGCCCAGAGAGGGGAAATCTAGAAAGGCAGTCTGGCTACAGTGGCTTTGCCATGCTGCAGTGGGCTCTGCCCAGTTGGAACTTCCCAGAGGCTTTGTTTACACTGTGAGGGGAAAAGAGCCTACTCAAGCCTCAGTAATGGTGGACGCCTCTCCCTCCACCAAGCTAGAGCGTCCCAGGTTGACTTCAGACTGCTGTGCTTGCAGTGAGAATTTCAAGCCGGTTGATCTTAGATTGCTTGGCTCCATGGGGCTGGGGTCTGCTGAGCTAGACCACTTGGCTTTCTGGCTTTAGCCGCCTTTACAAGGGAGTGAATGGTTCTGCCTTGCTGTCATTCCAGGCTCCACTGGGGTATAAAAAAAAAACTCCTGTAGTTAGCTCGGTGTCTGCCCAAATGGCCGCCCAGTTTTGTGCTTGAAATCCAGGGCCCTGGTGATATAGGCACTGGAGGGAATCTCCTGGTCTGTGGGTTATGAAGACCGTGGGAAAAGCATAGTGTCTGAGTTGGAGTGCACTGTTCCTCATGGCACAGTCCCTCACAGCTTCCCTTGGCTAGGGGAGGGAGTTCACCGACCCCTTGCACTTCCTGGGTGAGGTGATGCCCCACCTGCTTCGGCTCATCCTCTGCAGGCTGCACCCACCGTCTAACCTGTCCCAATGAGATGAGTCAGGTACCTCAGTTGAAAATGCATAAATCACCTGCCTCCTGTGTTAGTCTCACTGGGAGCTGTAGACCAGAGCTTTTCCTATTTGGCCATCTTGCTAGCCACCCCGATAATTTCTACAGTTGATTTTTATCAACAAACCATTTTTTTTTGTTCCTATTGATTTTTCTCTATAGTTTTTCTCCTTTCTGTTTTATCTTTTCTCTAATCTTTATTATTTATTTTGCTTGTTTTGGGTGTAATTTGCACTTATTTTTCTAGTTTCTTAAGGTGTAAAATTAGGTTGTTAATTTGAGATTTATTAAAAATATAGGTGTTTACAGCTATAAAAATTTCCCCTGGATACTGCTTTTGCTGCCTCCTATACATTTTGGTATGTTGTGCTTTCATTTGCATTTTATCTGAAAGTATTTTTCTGTTTTTCTAGTGATTTCTTTCTTAACCTATTTTTTTTAAAGAATATGTTATTTAATTTCTGTGAACTTGAAAAGTTTCTAGTTTTCCTTCTTTTATTTATTTCTAGCTTCATTTCATTGTTGTTGTAGAAGATACTTGGTGTGATTTATATATTTTGAAGTCGATTGAAAATTGTGTTATGGCCTAAATTATGGTTTATTCTGGAGAATGTTTCATGTGAACTTGAGAAGAATACATATTCTTCCATTTTTGGTAGAGTGTTCTGTATATGTCTGTTAGGCCTTGTTGCTTTATAGTGTTGTTCAAATTGTCTATTTCCTTATTTATTTTCTGTGTGTTCTATCCATTACTAAAAGTGGGCTATTGAAGTTTCCAACTATTATTCTAGAGTTTCCAATTATTATCCTAATTATATAATTGTCCTGTCTTCTAGCCTGTTTTCTCTCTTCAGTTTTGTCACTATTTACTTTATATATTCTCAGGCTCTCTAGTTTGATGTGTATACATTTATAATTGTTATATCATATTGATGAATGGATCCTTTTATCCTTATAAAATGTATTTCTTTGTCTTTTGCAATAGTTTTTGATGTAAAATCCATTTTTTTCCTGATATCAGTATAGCCAGCCTGGCTCTCTTTTGGTTATTATTTGCATGGAATATTTTTTTCTATCCTTTCATTGTTAACTTATTATATCTTTGGGTCTAAAATTGGTCTCTTTTAAGCAGCAACTAGCTGGATCATGTTTTTAAAAAATTTTTTCTACAATCTCTGTTTTTTAATTTGTTTAATTCATTTACGCTTATAGTGCCAACTGATCATGAAGAACTTATTTTTGCCATTTTGCTATTTATTTTCTATATATCATGTCTTTTTTGTTTCTCAATTTCTCCAATATTGCCTCCTTTGTGTTTGATTGGATTTTTTAGAATAATATTTTGACATCCTCTTCATTTCCTTTTCAATATATTTTAAATTATTTTCTTAGTGGTTACCATGGGGGATTACAGTTAATATTCTAAATTTATAGCAATCTAGTTCTTAACTTCAGCAGCATACATTAATTCTGCTCCTACTCAGCTGCATTCTTCCCTTTATGTTGTTACTGTCACAAATTGTATCTTTATGCATTATGTGCCCATTGACATATATTTATAATTATTGTTTTATGCATTTGTGTTTTAAATCATACAGGAAATGAAAAGGGAAATTACATGCCCAAAATACATTAATACTAGGTTTTACATTTACCTATGTAGTTACCTTATCAGTGACTTTTATTTCATTGTATGGCTTTAAGTTACTGTTTAGTATCATTTTATTTCAGCCTGAAGAATTCCTTTAACATTTCTTGTAGAGCAAGTCTGTCAGTGAACTTTTATCTGGCAGTGTCTTAATTTCCTCTTCATTTTTGAAGTATTTTGCTGTATATAAATTCCTTGTTGGCATTTTTTCCCTTTCTGTATTTTAAATATTTTATTCCACTCCCTTTTGACCTCCATAGTTTCTCATAAAAATAGGTTGTTAATCTTATTGAGGATGGCTTGTATGTGATAAATCCCTTCTCTCTTGCTGATTTCAAGATTTTTCTCTGTCTTTGTCTATCAGCAGTTTGATTATAATGTGTCTTTGTGTGGATCTCATTGAGTTTGTCTTGCTTGGAGTTTGTTGAGATTCCTGGATGTGTAGCATCACATCTTTCATCAAATTTTGGAAGTTTTTGGATAATGTTTCTTCATTTCTCTCTTTTCTGTTTCTGTAACCCATAATGTGTATGTTGGTGCACTTGATGATGTCCTATAAGTCCTGTAGACTCTGTTTATTTTGCTTCATTAATTTTTTTTGTCTGTTCATAAGACTGGGTAAGTATAATTGTTCTGTCTTCAAGTTTGATAAACATTTCTTTTGCCTGAGCCCCTCTTCTGAATTTTTAATTTAATCTCTTATATTTTTCATCTCCATTATTTCTACTGTGTTCTTTTTAAAAAAAAATAATTTCTATTCCTTTATTGATATTTCTTACTCTTTTATATATAGTTTGCCTAATGTCATTTACTTATTTACTCATGGTTTCCTTTAATTCTTTGAGCATCTTTAAGCCAGTTAATTTAAAGTCTTTGCTTAGTAAATTCAACATCTGGGCTTCCTCAGGAATGGTCTTTATCATTTTTTTCCCCCATGAATGGGTCATACTTTCTATTTTTTGTGTGCTTCATAATTTTTTGTTGAGAACTGGACATTTTGAATACCGTAATGTGGCAATTTTGGAAATCAAATTCTGCCTTCTACATGAAGGGTTGTTGTTGTTGTTTGATGAAGGCAGCAGTTGTTCATTTGTTTAGTGACTTTTCCAAATTGTTTTGAAAAAACTATATTCCTTGTTATGTGTGGTTCCAGAAGCCTATGTTTTGTTATCTTCATGGTCAGTCAGCACACTGACAGAGATTTTTCTTAAATGCCTGGATTTTGTAAGAGAAGAAAAGTAAAGCATATTCTTTTTAATTTCCTTCAGCTGATGCCTGGGAAGCTGCGTCAGCCCATCATGGTTGAACCATCTCTGTACTGGCCCCTCAGTGAACTTCCAAACGGATCAAAATACAGAAACCCAATTTTTTTTTCAAGAGAAGGTTCCTGTTGTTCACTCTGGCACCAGCAAATTGCACCAGGCATACAGGCCATTGTCCCCATGCTGCTTTCCACAGGGCTTAAGGATAGTAGTTGTTATACATAACACTGAAATTCACCAAAATTTACTAGTCTCTTTCTTCATCAAGCACTCCTCTAGACACTGCAAATGTTCAGCTAGACTTGAGTTCTGAAGTAGTTGGTTATGACAGTTCGTGTCAACTCAACTGTTGTTTTGGTAAAGGGATTGATCCTACTCTACTGTCTTCCATGACATCACTTTCCTCCACGTTCATTCTTAAAAGCTTTCCAGTTTGAATGAGTTATATAGTCACTCATTGGTAATTGAATGGGAGGAACAAGAGAAAGAAATGAAAACAAGTTTCTATAAGAAAATATAAAACATGAGGATCATCAATAAATATTTATAAACTGTTCAAATAGTATAAACCTTCAGATGAATGCTACAGGATTTTCCTATTTTCAGTTCAGTATATAAAACTGCTCCTTTGGCTGGGCGCGGTGGCTCACACCTATAATTCCAGCACTTTGGTAGGCTGAGGTGAGTGGATCACAAGGTCAGGAGTTTGAGACCAGCCTGACCAACATGGTGAAACCCCATCTCTACTAAAAATACAAAAATTAGCCAGGCGTGGTGGCACACACCTGTAATCTCAGCTACTCAGGAGGCTGAAGCAGGATAATTGCTCGAATCTGGGATGCGAAGGTTGCAGTGAGCCGAGATCGTGCCACCGTACTCCAGCCTGGATGACAGAGCAAGACTGTCTCAAAACAAACAAAAAACAAACAAACAAAAAACAACAAAAAACCTGCCCTTTAGTAAGTTTTTATACAAGTGCAGCATTGATACAGTGGATGTCTTCATTGGGAGGATTGACAGATCATGTTGATTGCCATCCTGAGATTAGCATTGTCATTGTAACATGTGAACTGAGAGGTGGAGTCTGTGGAACAGTCTTTTCTCTTATTGCTGACATAGATTCCATATTGTATGTCTTTCTACTTACTCCCCCTTCCCAAATCTGTGGGTGGGTCATGAACAATTGCTTCATGGCTGTGTGCAGTCTGCAGGCCTTATGTTGTGTAGGCCTGCTATAGACAATGCTCTTTAATTGGGCAGAAAAGTTGCTGCATTGGCTTCTTTCCCATTTAAAAAAGCTGAGTACATGCTGTTATTGCAGCATTTCCAGTCTATGCCAGCTTGAGGAGCAAGTCCCAGGATTGGAAATCAAACTAGGGGCTCCACATGGTAATACATAGCACTGCATTTTGACTGTTGAGTCTGATTATATTTATAATTATGAGAAGGCACTTTATTGAAAGTAGATTAATATGTGTTTACTCATTCTGGAAATTCACTAGACTTCAGATGCTTTTTGAGTTCCACTTAAGATGATTTTCATTAAAGTTTTTGGTAACTACTCAGAAAGAATAATAGAGTACATTTGGGGAAAAATGCTTTCAATGAGAGATTGTATTGGCTGGCTGGCTAGCTGCCTCTCTCTCTCATTGCTCCTCAGAATGCTACAGGTGATAGCAAATTTCATCTTTTAAAGATGTGAGTGAATAAAAGTGGCAAAGTGGAAGAGACTTGTTTACCTTTTTTCTTGATCTAAATTAAATATGAATTTTGGTGAAAATAAGTAAAATAATTTCCTATTTATATAAGTTGTTACATTTCATGTTGAATTCTAAACTGCAGAAAGGGGGTTGTGATGGAATGCTTATCAAAATATTAGCTATATCATGAAAAATTGCATATAGTATCTTGATAGTGTAAAAACTTTCCTTGAAAAACCCTTTTATTGTAATTAAAATGTCTAAATTTTAATCATCTACTAAGAAACAAATAGTTTTAATCTTTTTCATTGTTCTCCATGTGATGTTAATGTTGTGTACATTAGCATTGATGTTTCAGTTTAATATTACTTTCTCTGGAACTGAAATTGCTAACACCATAGCTTTGGTAATGTACATTTGAATATTTAATTATGTTGCTATAAACAGCTTCTCTAATGCTACATTTTCATTGTATACATGGGCCTTCTGTTAGTGCAGACATTTAAGCAATCTTGCTTTCTATTTCCTGTTATATATACAATGCAAAGTATTCCCACCTGATATTTCCCCGAAGTTTCACTTGGGAAACAGAACATGATTTGAAAGATGTTTTTGTTTTATGTTGCTCAAATCAAGCTTTGGTTTGAATCAAACCAAATGATGAAAACTTAGTGCAGCCTTCTTTCCAGCAGAATGCAATTACCTCTAAGGCCTATAGTAAAAAGACCAACTAATTGAGAACACTTGTCTTTGTTTTCATTTAGCAAAGATTCTTATTAAGAAATGTCCATTTTTTTTTTCCAATTCAAAAAGGTGGTTTATAGTTAATGAACTAAGAGTTAGGAGTTCTGAAAAATCAAAGCATGTGCAGGTTATCTTCTTCCTCAAGGGGATACCTACTACTGCTGTGCTCGTGTGAAGTAATAATGAGATACCATAAGCAAACAGTAGATGATTCATGTCAGATGGTTCTCCAATAACGTTAGGAAGGAAAAGCAGCTGATGTATGGGATATTGAAGGCAGATTAAGTTGTTAATGTATATTAGTATATTCTTAATTTCCTTTTAATTGAAAAAGACATATTGACTTTAATTAGAACCATTTCACAGGAACTGTCAATTAGCACATGTCAAACTAGTTAATTCAGAACAGAATTCTTTTAATTAGGGTCTGCTTTCCTTTAACTGTGGGGCCAATGAATTCAGCCTTTCCTTATCTAGATTTTAAATGTCTCTAAGACATATAATACAAATGTAGACTCTTATCTATTATTAGAAGCCCATATGGATAACATTAAAATGATGATGCTGGCATTGTTCATGCAGCACAAATCAGAGTCCCTTTATGACTGTTAGAAAAAAAGATGGCTTTGAACAAAGGCTACTTTAAATACCAGATTTATCCTACTTTAAAGAGACTACAAAATTTATGACATGCATGTTCACATTTAAAGTATTATTTAATATGTCTGCTCAAATAAATGGGCCTATTCAAGCGTTTTGTGTGTTCTATCAGTCGAAGACACACAAAACATTGTCAAACCATACAGCAACATTTTTCCCTTAAATGAACTGTAATCAAAAAGAGAAAACAGACTGAATGATTTTTTTGGCACAACATAAAAATAGCATTGTTAACTTTCATTGCATTCAAAGATTTAATACCAATAGTTGATACAGTGACTAAACTCTAGTAGTGAACTAATGTGATTTTAGTAGTCAGACAGTGTAAAATCTGAAACTTGGCTATTGCTTAATTTAATGATGTGGAATTATAGCATTTTAGTTACTGGCATGAAGTACATACAGTGAACGTGGGGGGTCAAGGCTGTATGGTGCTCACCTTCAAAACAGGTGTGCTCAAAATTAAAGGAAGAAAATTAAGTGATACTGAAAGGGGCAATTAATGTGAAATCTAGCTTTCTTTCATCATATGAGTTTTAGCAACTGTTTTACTGAGTTGGAGCAAATGATTATGACAAAAATTAATGACAGGAATATTTAATAAGCTAAGCTCTAGATTCGAAAGGAATTATCTAGTAAGATACTTGTTCATCCTACTATAGGTACATTTAACTTAATGAAAGCAGTTGTGTTCCCTTCTAGGGTGTGCTGTACTGTAATTCTATCAGTGGCTGCATTTGTTCCACTGAAATCAAATGAAGAATTGTAGTAATCTGCTAATTCTGGTTAATGTAGGCAGAATAACAAAGGCAACAAACAAACAGGTGAAGAAAAGCAACAAAATTCCTTTGTTTTTTTTCTAGAGTTGACTTTCCTTCCTCTTCTCATCTATTTCTAGAGGTGCTTTCTGCTGTGTGTTTAAAAGACACGGCCTGTGTTCAGCCATCCATATTTTGTGCAGGTCCATAGCTTTTAACTTTTTGGATCATATAGTCCTTTGAGTCCCTGATGACAGGTACGGATCTTTGTCTCAGAAAAATCCACATAGGCATACACACACTAAAATTTTCAGGATGGGAAATCATCTTTTTTTTTTTTTTTTTTGAGATGGAGTCTCGCTCTGTTGCCCAGGCTGGAGTGCAGTGGCACAATCTCGGCTCACTGCAAGCTCCGCCTCCCAGGTTCACGCCATTCTCCTGCCTCAGCCTCCCCAGCAGCTGGGACTACAGGCACACACGGCCATGCCTGGCTAATTTTTGTATTTTTAGTAGAGACGGGGTTTCACCGTGTTAGCCAGGATGGTCTCGATCTCCTGACCTTGTGATCTGCCTGCCTCGGCCACCCAAAGTGCTGGGATTTACAGGCGTGAGCCACCGCACCTGGCCGGGAAATCATCTTTGCTATAGACTGAATGTCTATGTTCTCCCCAAATTTGTATGTTGAAACCTAATCTCCAATGTATTGGCTTGGCCTTTAGCAGGTAATTAAGTCATGAGAGTCATGATTAGGGTAGGGAGATTAGGTCATAGGAGCCCTCATGAATGGTATTAGTGCCATTATAAAAATACACCCCAAGAGAACTGCTTTGCCCCTTCTGTCATGTGAAGACAACGAATAAGTAGACACCCATCTATGAGTTAGGAAGCAGGCCCTCACCAGGCACTGGATCTGTTAGTTCCTCGATCTTAGACTTCCCAGCCTCCAGAGCTGTAAGAAGTAAGTTTCTGTTGCTTATAAGCCATCTAGCCTATGGTATTCTGTTATAGCAGCCTGAATGGACTAAGACATTCTTAAAAAATAATTTTGGTACAGCCTGCTGAAAGATGTAACTTCAATTTAATATTATTGAGTATTGTACTGTTATAGGCAGTATACTTGGTTCTGGGAATCTAACAGTGGGTAAGATGAACCTGAGCAAGTAACTGTGACAAGTTATTGACATGTTATTAGAATTACTATACAATTCTTTTTCTTAAGCCTTTTTTACTTTCTAAATCGATTAAAATTTGGTCATCTTAACAAATCTTGTACAGTAATACATGTGATAAGATTGACAATTTTGTATACAAAGTGCCTGAAAAATATAATTATTGAAACATTAGAGGAGATAAATTTTGTGTTATAAGTTTAACTCAACTGATTTAGTTAATCCTTTCCGCTTTATTTATAATTATGTTCTGGTTAATAATATCAAGTAATAATAATATAGTTTTAATTTATCTTTTAGCTCTGTTTATTAATCTAAATTCTATAATTTATAATTATTTACAAAGAAGACATAAAGGATACTGATATTTTTATAAGCTAGTTTCATTTGAACTCAAAGCAAATTATATAAATGATCTTGGAGAGTTGCTAATTAATTTCTCAAGTATCCATGAGTAGGTTATCTATGCTGTGCCACTATTTAAATTTGAATAGTGGCTAAGCAAGGTCTACTTTCCAGAATATCAACCAGAGTCTGTTGTTCTGTGGGATAGTCTCAATTCCTTTGTATCTCAAAAAGGGATTTGAGTGTGTGTGTGTATGTGTGTGTGTGTGTTTGGTCTTTAGGAATATACTATAGCATTCTTCAATATATATATTGAAGCATACTTTATATATATAATATATATATTTAAGGGTATATTAAAACCTCAAATAAGCCTGGCAGATGGGAAAGGGGATACCAACTTCAGTTAACTTAATCATTAATAATAATTGAAATCTTGGAGTAGGAAAAAGTGTGTGGGGAATGTAACTAATTATATACTTGTGAGGCAACGGGAGGCTTCCAAAGAAACCTCTGTATATTTAATATTTTCCCTTGGGATGACAATACTGATTAAGTAGGTAAGAGTGAACTGTAAGTATTTTTAGATAAAAATATTTTAGAATTAATTTATTCTATCGCTAAAGATCAACAGAATATATTGGCAGAAAAGAATAATTCATATCTTTATTACTCAGAAAGAAACTCTGGTTTACCTTATATATGGCAGATTTTAGTGCATTTATCTGACAGTATCCATATCTGTTCATTTTTCTTGGTGCATCAGTAACATATTGTTTTTATTCCCAATTTGTTCCTTGATTGTCTGTAGCAATTTAAACTGTAAACTAAATAATAGCAAGGAAAAGCCCACCCTTGCTGCATTTGGCAGCAACAAAAATATTTGAACTTTGGAAATTTACATGACACATGGGCCTTAACTTGGTTTAATCATCTTAATGGTATAGGTGGTATATGTTTTATATATTGGTAAAAATAGGCAAAAATTGTTCAGGTCATGTTTAAATCAAAACAACAGGCATTTAATTTTGATTTAACAGCATTTTAGCAGGTTATTTAAATGATTAGGAGCTATTATTTCAAATATCCAAAATAGGAAATTTTTAGATATCACTGGAATGCTTTGTTTAAAGGGAAGGTAATGTTCAGATTAAAAATTTTAATTATTACATTTTCAGAGTTAAAATGGAAACATTCTTAATTATTTTATCCATTCTAGATTTTTATTCAATATAGTGTTGGTTTGCTTAGGTACTAAATGTACCACTCTGTGTGTGTGATTTCTGTTTTTTTTGTATATATGTGAATATCTCTTCACCCCCAAAAACAACCCACAGATTTTTCTACCTAATGATTAGTAGTCTGAAATGTCAATTAAATATTTTACATATATGTATAATCATTTAGCAAATTTAATTTTTTATATCTTGAGTGAGAGTATATTCATGTAGCTTATGGAGAGTAGCTAAGAGATATTTACATATTTCTATTTTTATTTTAGTCAGTATCAAGTTAATTTGGTTCAATAACACAAGTATTTATTGCACACCTACTATTTCCTGGCACAAGATATTAGGCATTATCTTGTTGAACATTAATTAAAACATTTGTCTTTCTCTTAACTTAATTATGTGGACTCTGTCAAAAACTATTAATGATCAGCAAATTCATGATTGTCTTTTCAAAATTATTTATTTAATGCTTTACAGTTGAAATATTTTCAAGTTCATTATCTTATGCAAGCCGAACAATCTCATCATTACAGTGTAATTTCCTTCATTGATATCATTAAGGATTCTGCATATGAAAAGGCTGGGTTCAAATTATAGCAACACTATTTACCAGCTTTGTGAACTTATATAAGTTATCTAATCTCTCTGAGCTTCAGTTCCCTCCTCTGAAAATGGATAATAATACATACTGTATAGTACTGTAAGGATTAAATGAAATAAAGGGTTTAGATTGTACTTGTTACATACTCAATAAATGAATATTGGTTCTATACCTTTTTCAAGCGGTTTTGTTGTATTAACTGTCCCTAGTGAGATACGCAGCTATTGGTTAAATAAGTTCACCTTTGATGGAAATACAAATTGTTAACATAAATGCTCTCCTAATTTGATTATTGATAATTATTAACCGGGGAACCTTTACCATTGTCCATGGTGCTTCAGAAGGAGCCAGCTGATTACAGTCATCAACTTATGACCAACAGTTCTTTCTTTACTGTGCATGTGAAATACAATACGACTATCACTCATTAAAATGGCTTCTAACAATCTTTGTTTATACTAGTTCAGTGTAAAAAATTCAATTATTCTTGAATAGCAGTCTTATAAACTCCTAAAAATATGAAAAATGTAAGTTATCACCTGTAACCAAAGGTGTAATTACTACAGAAATTTTTCATATATTTTATATACATTTTCTGAAAATTTTATTAGGTTATTATATTCTATTCATATTGTGATTTAAATGGCTGCATTGCATTCATTTTTAAAAAATTAAACTCTTTTTGATGTTTGGATATTTTTCCTTGTCCAGTAAATAATGTTGGAATGCACGTCTTTATACATAAAACTTTGTTGCATTTCTGAATATTGCCTTAGGATAATTCTTAGGAGTAGAATTACTGGTCAGAGAGAATGAACATTAACACAACATATCTTACCAAATTGCTTTCCAGAAAAGTGCCAATGCATACTTCTGCCCACCCCAAATGAGACTTTCGGACAGAAGAATGGATGGCTTTTTGAATATACAGTTTGGCTAGTTGTTAAGTCAGTTGATCAGTATATAGTTTTTTGCTAATTGATTCTTGTCTAATTGATTCATTTTGGCACTAATTTAGAAAGAGGCCAAATAACATTCTAATGACTATGTGATCTAGCCTGGGATTTTCAAAAATATATCTTTAACTTTTAAAGTAATGTTTAAAAGTAAAATTTGGTATAAATGGAAACTAGTATACCAGTTTGACATAGTCATATCTTGATTTTTGTATGTGTTATAAGTTCTCTTCAGGGCTAATTTCTATGGCAATTTTTAGAGTAAAATGAGATTTTTCTAATGAGCAATTAAAGTATTTGTATTATCGGCAATATACATTACAGAAAAACTTAAGGGTAAAAGTAAACTCATTTTATTTTGTAGTAAAATCAGAAATAGTAAAAATATGCTAACATGATAATATCTAATAAGGGAAATGTTCCATGCAAATGTCTGTTTTTCTGTTAATCCCTAAAATGACTGTATGCTTTCATCTATATGAGTAGTGTCAGACACAGGCATGTTACTAGGAGTGATATATCCACTTACAGGACAAGTAAACATGATAGGAGATTAGAATTTTCATAAATACCGTTTTAAAGGTGATTCAAATCTTTAGATAATGTAAGATTTGAGATTTCAACAAAGATGTAATATATATATATATAGATATGCTACTTCTGAGAGTTGTTTAGATATTTTTCTCTTGGTTAGCTGCATTTAGTACAGCTTCCAACATAGAAAGATGAGAACTGGGTCCTGTGCAATGGGTCTTTTATTAGTCACAGAGAAATATGATTTTGTTTAGTTATTTTTAATGCCTGCATCTAGGCACACTAACAATTTTTTATTATAGTATGTAGATAACAAGGTCATATGCTCTCAAACTAACACAAAAGACATATGAAAGGAAAAGTAAAAACATAATTTTTGTTTTTGCTGTCATTATTTGGGATTTCCATAATTTCTAAGTATATTAGGTACCCTTTCATGTTTATTGTATTATGCTGATGGCAATGTTATATTTCATTAACATCAAGTTGGTAAAAATAAAAAGCAGAAAAGTTTTCTGCTATTACTATTGTTCTAGATTTCTGTCCTGTAAATATTTACCTTTTGTGGCTATGAGTTATTTTCAGAATATGAATGCTTTTGGAAGATGTATCTTGTTTTAAGTCAGATTAGACTGCTAACCACAATTTGAACTGATTCCTTTACTTTTGATAAATATGTTGTACTAATACTATAAACAGTTGTTATATTTTGCACTTGTCACATTTTCTATTAAATATATGTCACTGAAGGCATAGCTTTAATGAGGGTTAGGGAGAGTCAAATATCTATAGTCACCCTTTTGCATTGATATTAACAGCCTTCGGTCTTAGAACTGCTACTGTGCTAGCTATATCCACAATAACTGACAGGGAGTGTGGATGTAGGGAATAGGGAAAAATCTAGAGGAGATTTATGCATCAGATAGAGGTTCAAGTATCTATTGATTCAACATGTATTTCTTGAGTATTTACTGTGTGCAAGGAAGGCATGGTGCAAGCTGTTGTGGAAGATAAATAATCTGGTTTCTAGCCTAAGAAAACTTACAAACTAGATAAACTTCAAGGTCTTTTCCTACACAGAGGTTCTGTTAATACTGTGATTGTTTACTGAGCTTTAGTTGGTTTTTCCTATGACCGGGTTCTCTGTATACACAGAATATAATTTGCTTTTGTTAGGTAAGGTAATGCACTGCGTGATGTTTCAGTCAATGATGGACCACATAGAGGATGGTGGTCCCATAAGATTATAATACCTTAGTATTAATGAACCTTTTCTATGTTTAGATATATTTAGATACACAGATACCATTGCATTAAGATTTCTTACAGTATTAAGTACAGTTACATGTTCTATGGGTTTGTAGCCTACAATAGGCCATACCATATATCCTAGGTTTGTAGTAGGCTGTACCCTGTAGGTTTGTGTAAGTACACCCCACGATGGTCACACAATGACGAAACCACCTAATGATACATTTCTCAATACATATCCCCATCATTAAGCAACTCAAATGACTATAATTTAGAGAGTATCAAAAATAAGCTTTTCCACAAATATCTTTACCAATGAGCCAAAAAAGCCCTGTTAAGCATTCCTTTGGGTTAAAGAATTATCTGTTGGTGACATATACATCAGTGGAACAGAACAGAGGCCTCAGAAATAACACCACACATCTACAATCATCTGATCTTTGACAAACCTGAGAAAAACAAGCAATGGGGAAAGGATTCCCTGCTTAATAAATGGTGCTGGGAAAACTGGCTAGCCATATGTAGAAAGCTGAAACTGGATCCCTTCCTTACACCTTATACAAAAATTAACTCAAGATGGATTAAAGACTTAAATGTAAGACCTAACACCATAAAAACCCTAGAAGAAAACCTAGGCAATACCATTCAGGACATAGGCATGGGCAAAGACTTCATGACTAAAACACCAAAAGCAATGGCAACAAAAGCCAAAATAGACAAACGGGATCTAATTAAACTAAAGAGCTTCTGCACAGCAAAATAAACTATCATCAGAGTGAACAGACAACCTACAGAATGGTAGAAAATTTTTGCAATCTACTCATCTGTCAAAGGGCTAATATCCAGAATCTACAAGGAACTTAAACAACTTTACAAGAAAAAAACAACCCCATCAAAAAGTGGGCAAAGGATATGAACAGACACTTCTCAAAAGAAGACATTTATGCAGCCAACAGACACATCAAAAAATGCTCATGATCACTGGTCATCAGAGAAATGCAAATCAAAACCACAATGAGATACCATCTCATGCCAGTTAGAATGGCGATCATTAAAAAGTCAGGAAACAACATGCTGGAGAGCATGTGGAGAAATAGTGCTTTTACACTGTTGGTGGGAGTGTAAATTAGTTCAACCATTGTGGAAGACAGTGTGGCAATTCCTCAAGGATCTAGAACTAGAAATACCATTTGACCCAGCCATCCCATTACTGGGTATATACCCAAAGGATTATAAATCATGCTGCTATAAAGACACATGCACGTGTATGTTTATTGCGGCACTATTCACAATAGCAAAGACTTGGAACCAACCCAAATGTCCATCAATGATAGACTGGATTAAGAAAATGTGACACATATACACCATGGAATACTATGCAGCCATAAAAAATGAGTTCATGTCCTTTGCAGGGACATGGATGAAGCTGGAAACCACCATTCTCAGCAAACTATCACAAGGACAGAAAACCAAACACTGCATGTTCTCACTCATAGGTGGGAGTTGAACAATAAGAACACATGGACACAGGGCAGGAAACACCATATGCCGGGGCCTGTCAGGGCATAGCATTAGGGGAAATACCTAATATAAATGACGAGTTAATGGGTGCAGCAAACCAACATGGCACATGTATACCTATGTAACAAACCTGCACATTGTACACATGTACCCTAGAACTTAAAGTATAATAATAAAAAAGAATTATCTGTTGGCTGATCCTTAAATTGTTATCTAACAAAGGATTCTACCAGAATATTGAATTTGTTTAGCAGAATAGTTATTTGAGATGAGGAAACTGAAATAGTAGAACACGAAACAGATAACATTTTGATGGCAGTAGTTGGGACTTAAAGTCAAATCAACTGAACGGAGCACTGGCCTGATGAGGGCAAGGCTTAGAGAGACAAATTTATGTGTGGGGTGGTTCCTGGGAAGCTAAGAAGTATGAGGGCCTTAGAAAAGGGTGCTAAAAATGAGGAGAGGATGCCTTGGAAAATTGAAGAGTGAATGGCATAGTTCAATGATACAAGTCTTCTCTGGGATGAACTTGGCCATAAAAACTGGAAGGGGTGATGAGGAAAACCCCTGCATCATATGAGTTTTTTTCTAATTCTGTGAAGAATGTCAATGGTAGTTTCATGGGAATAACACTGAATTTATAAATTACTTTGGGCAATATGGACATTTTCACGATATTGATATATTCTGGAGCACTTTGGGAGGCCAAGGCGGATGGATCACTTGAGGTCAAGAGTTCAAGACCAGCCTGGCCAATGTGGTGAAACTGCATCTCTACTAAAACTACAGAAAATTATCCAGGCATGGTGGCAGGCGCCTGTAATCCCAGCTGCTTGAGAGGCTGAGGCAGGAGAATCTCTTGAACCTCTGAGGTGGAGTTTGCAGAGAGCTGAGATTGTGCCACTACACTCCAGCCTGGGCACCACAGTGAGACTCCGTCCACCCCCCCCCCCCCCAAAAAAGGGATATTCTGGAGAAGGAAAAGAAGAAACTTTAATCAGATGAAGCCCCAAAGCATTCAGTATTCCTGATGTAGGAGGTGAAAGAGAATGGCTTTATGATTGTTTGTTTCATTCTGTTGCCTTCATAATGAGTACTTGATAGTGTGGATGATGTCAATGTTCTTTTTGACATGTAAAGGAATATCAGATCTACTCTTAACAGTTTCTTAATAGAGAACTTGTCTTTTACTGAGGCTACTGATTAATAGCAAAGGAATTCTAGGTTGGGTGTGGTGGCTCACACCTGTAATCCCAGCACTTTGGGAGGCTGAGGTGGGCGGGTCACTTCAGGTCAGGAGTTTGGGACTAGCCTGGCCAACATGGTGAAACCCTGTCTCTACTAAAAATATAAAAAATTAGCCAGGCGTGGTGGTGGGCGCCTTTAGTCCCAGCGACTTGGAAGGCTGAGGCAGGACAATCTCTTGAACCCAGGAGGTGGAGGTTGCAATGAGCTGAGATTGAGTGCGCCACTGCACTCCAGTGCCTGGGTGACAGAGCGAGACCATGTCTCAAGAAAAAAAAAAAAAAGAATTCTTTGAGGGCAGTATGTGATTAAAAAAATTATGGCAGTGGAAGCAAAAGAGGAGGAGGAAAAGAGATGGCAAAAGTGGGTGGATATTATTGGAGGAAACATGAGAGGAAGGAAGATGAGAAAAAAGAATGGGTGGAATGAGAAAAGATTGTCTTCATTCTGTTGCGAAGGCCTCAACCATCTGAGGGTTGACCTCTCTTTTGCTTCCATCCCTCCTAGCTTCCTCTAGCTAGTAACAATCTTTTTTTTTTTAATTATACTTTTAAGTTCTAGGGTACATGTGCACAACGTGCAGGTTTGTTACATATGTATACATGTGCCATGTTGGTTTGCTGCACCCATCAACTCGTCATTTACATTAGGCATTTCTCCTAATGCTAACCCTCCCCCAACCCCCCACCCCACAACAGGCCCCCATGTGTGATGTTCCCCTTCCTGTGTCCAAGTGTTCTCAATGTTCAGTTCCCACCTATAAGTGAGAACATGCAGTGTTTGGTTTTCTATTCTTGTGATAGTTTGCTGGGAATGATGGTTTCCAGCTTCATCCATGTCCCTGCAAAGGACATGAACTCATCCTTTTTTATGGCTGCATAGTATTCCATGTTGTATATGTGTCACATTTTCTTAATCCAGTCTATCATTGATGGCATTTGGGTTGGTTCCAAGTCTTTGCTATTGTGAATAGTGCTGCAATAAACATACACGTGCATGTGTCTTTATAGCAGCATGATTTATAATCCTTTGGGTATATACCCAGTAATGGGATGGCTGGGTCAAATGGTATTTCTAATTCTAGATCCTTGAGGAATTGCCACACTGTCTTCCACAATAGTTGAACTAATTTACACTCCCACCAACAGTGTAAAACACTCCTATTTCTCCACATCCTCTCCAGCATCTGTTGTTTCCTGACTTTTTAATGATCGCCATTCTAACTGGCATGAGATGGTATCTCATTGTGGTTTTGATTTGCATTTCTTTGATGACCAGTGATCATGAGCATTTTTTGATGTGTCTGTTGGCTGCATAAATGTCTTCTTTTGAGAAGTGTCTGTTCATATCCTTTGCCCACTTTTTAATGGGGTTGTTTGTTTTTTTCTTGTAAAGTTGTTTAAGTTCTTTGTAGATTCTGGATATTAGCCCTTTGACAGGTGAGTAGATTGCAAAAATTTTCTCCCATTCTGTAGGTTGCATGTTCACTCTGATGATAATTTCTTTTGCTGTGCAGAAACTCTTTAGTTTAATTAGATCCCATTTTTCTATTTTGGCTTTTGCAGCAAAGCTGCAAGGTGTCAGGAGAATTCTTAGGCAGGTATGCAGTAGCATTTATTAATATAAATACCACTGTAGGAATGGGAGATGGTTATTCAGGAACAGCTTGCGCTAGATGATACTACTGAAGGTCTGTTTTACCTTTGGAAGAGTACTGCAGAACCATGATGGAATAGGTGACTTTTCCTAGCAATTTCTCATTGATTTGTTCTTTCAAAGGCCAACATCAGTGATGTTGAGTGGAAGTAAATGTTGGCCAATTCAGTAAATATTGTTTTGTGGGCTTATGTATCAGGTGCTGCTAGATGTTTTTGCAAATGTTAGGCTGCATGAATATTTGTTTCCGTTTTCAGGAGAAAAAAACCTGAAGCTCAGAGGCCCTATTGGGCCATAGCTACTTCAAGTACTTGATTAGTTATCTGAATATTCCTACTAAAATAGGTTCTTTGCCTGAATTCTTAGGTAATTGCAACATTGTAGATATGGTTCTTAATCATATTTAATCATGTGCTGTTAATCACATGATTTTAAAATACTTAAAAAACTCTTAATCAAATTTAATCATGTGCTGTTAAATTTCTAAGACTATATTAGAAGGGTAATTGAAAACATCTATTTTAAAACACATTTTCTAATTTTCTAGTAAATAAAGGGCTTTGTGGTTGTATTAGTCCGTTTTCATGCTGCTGATAAAGACATACCCAAGACTGGGCAATTTAGAAAAGAAAGACATTTAATGGACTCACAGTTAATCATGGCTGAAGGTAAAAGGCACATCTCACATGGCAGCAGACAGGAAAAGAGAGCTTGTGCAGTGAAACTCCCCTTTTTAAAACCATCAGATCTCTTGAGACTTATTCAGTATCATGAGAACAGCATGGAAAGACCTGCCACCATAATTCAATCACCCCCTACCAGGTTCCTCCCATGATATGTTGAAATTGTGGGAGTTACAATTCAAGATGAGATTTGGGTGGGGACACAGCCAAACCATATCATTCCACCTCTGGCCCCTCCGAAATCTCACATCTTCACTTTTCAAAACCAATCATGCCTTCCCAACAGTCTCCCAAAGTCTTAACTCATTTCAGCACTAACTCAAAAGTCCACCATTTAAAGTCTCATCTGAGACAAGGCAAGTCCCTTCTGCCTATGAGCCTGTAAAATCAAAAGCAAGTTAGTTACTTTCTAGATCCAATGGGGGTACCAGCATTGGGAAAATAGACCCATTCCAAATGGGAGAAATTGGCCGAAACAAAGGGGCTAAAGACCACATGCAAGTCTGAAATCCAGCAGGGCAGTCAAGTCTTAAAGCTCCAAAATGATCTCCTTTGACTCCATGTCTTGCATTCAGGTCATGCTGATGCAAGAGTGGGTTCCCATGGTCTTGGGCAGTTCCACCCCTGTGGCTTTACAGGGTACAGGCCCCCTCCTGGCTGCTTTCATGGGCTGGCATTCAGTGTCTGTAGCTTTTCCAGGCACATGGTGCAAGCTGTCGGTGGATCTACCACTCTGGGGCCTGGAGGATGATGGCCTCTTCTCACAGCTCCACTAGGCAGTGCCCCAGTGGGGACTCTCTGTGGGGGCTTCAACCCCACATTTCCCTTCCACACTGCCCAAGCAGAGGTTCTCCATGAGGGCCCCACCTCACAGCAAACTTCTGCCTGGACATCCGGGCATTTCCACACATCCTCTGAAATCTAGGTGAAGGTTTCCAAACCTCAGTTCTTTACTTCTGTGTACCCACAGGTTCAACATCATGTGGAAGTTGCCAAGGCTCAGGGCTTTCACCCTCTGAAGCCATGGCCTGAGCTATACCTTGGTCCCTTTTAACCATGGCTAGAGTGGCTGGAACACAGGGCACCAATTCCCTAGGTGGCATACAGCAGGGGGGCCCTGTGCATGGCCCATGAAACCATTTTTTCCTCCTAGGTCTCTGGGCCTGTGATGGGTGGGGCTGCCGCAAAGGTCTCTGACATGGCCTGGAGACATTTTCCCCATTATCTTGGCAATTAACATTTGGCTCCTCATTATTTATGGAAATTTCTGCAGCTGGCTTGAATTTCTCCTCAGAAAATGGGGTTTTCTTTTCTATCATGTCATCAGGTTGCAAATTTTCTGAACTTATGTGCTCTGTTTCCCTTTTAAAACTGAATGCTTTTAACAGCACCGAAGTCACCTTTAGAATGTTTTGCTGCTTAGAAATTTCTTCTGCCAGATACCCTAAATCATCCCCCTCAAGTTCAAAGTTCTACAAATCTGGTGGCAGTGGCTAAATGCCACCAGTCTCTTTGCTAAAATATAGCAAGGGTCACCTTTACTCCAGTTCCCAACAAGTTGCTCATCTCCATCTGAGACCATGCCTGGATTTCATTGTCCATATCATTATCAGCATTTTTGTCAGAGCCATTCAACAAATCTCTAGGAAGTTTCAAACTTTTCCACATTTTTTTGTCTTCTCTTGAACCCTCCAAACTGTCCCAACTTCTGCCGGTTACCCAGTTCCAAAGTTGCCTTCACATTTTTGGGTATCTTTACAGCAGCACCCCACTCTACTGGTACAATTTACTATATTATTCTATTTTCATGCTGATAATAAAGACATACTAAAGACTGCATAATTTATAAAGAAAAACAAGTTTAATGGACTCACAGTTCCACATGGCTGTGGAAACCTCACAATCATGGTGGAGGGTAAAAGGCACATCTCACATGGTGGTGGACAAGAGAAGAGAGCTTGTGCAGCGAAACTCCCCATTTTAAAAACCATCAGATCTCGTGAGACTTACTATCACAAGAACAGCTTGGGAAAGACCTGCCCCCATAACTCAATCACCTCCCACCAGGTTCCTCCCATGACATGTGGGAATTGTGGGGGTTACAATTCAAGATGAGATTTGGGTGGGGACACAGCCAAACCATATCATTGGTCATTTTAGAAAAATTAGAAAATACAATTTTTCACATATACACATACATACATATTTTGTGCTAATTTCTTTGCTTTCTCTGTTAATGCCTCACACCAACACTTTCCCCAATGCAAACCAGTGGATTTTGGTGGTATTGTTATTGAACTTGTTTAAATAGTTGCAGAATGAGTAAGTTTTACTCATTTTGGCCAGTGTTACTAATCATCTAGACTTGTCATAGATAATTTATTACCTACAAATGGGTTTGGGAAACTGAAAAACTGTGTTTAGTAACTCAGCTTGTCTAGTAAAATTATTATAGATGTCATCAGAAGAGCCTACTTCTATAGTCCGTTAAGTAGTAGTTATTCAAAGTGTTGTGCTTTGGTGGCCCATCTGTAGTGCATATTTAAAAATCCAATATTTATTTGGCATAATTAATCTAAAAAATAAATAAAATAAAATGCTTCCATGTTCCTTTGAGAACCTCTTTGCTTTGAAGGTAATACAGCAGTCTGTAGAACTACATCTCACTCTACAACATCAGATGTTCAAGGATTATACTTTTTCTTATTTTTTTTGTAACTCAGTTTCTATTTTGAGCCCCTGTTCTTCCCAGGTGACTGAATTTTTTTTTAATTTCCCACTTTTATTTTAAGTTCAGGGGAATATGTGCAAAATAGGTAGGTTTGTTACATAGGTAAACATGTGCCATGGTGGTTTGCTGCACAGATCATCCCATCATCTCAGTATTAAGCTCAGCATCCATTAGCTGTTCTTCCTGATGCTCTCCCTCCTCCCATATCCCACCCTCTGACAATCCCCAGTATGTGTTGTTCCTGTCAATGTGTCCATGTGTTCATCATTTAGCTCCCACTTATAAGTGAGAACATGTGGTATTTGGATTTGTGTTCCTCTGTTAGTTTGTGGAAGATTATGGCTTCCAGCTCCATCCATGTCTTGCAAAGGACATGATCTCGTTCCTTTTTATGGCTGCATAGTATTCCATGGTGTATATGTACCACATTTTGTTTATCCAGTCTATCATTGATGGGCATTTGGGTTGATTGCATGTCTTTGCTATTGTGAAAAGTGCTGCAATGAACATATGCATGCATGTATCTTTATAACAGAGTGCTTTATATTCCTTTGGGTATATACCCAGTAATGGGACTGCTGGGTTGAATGGTAGTTCTGCCTCTAGGTCTTTGAGGTATTGCCACACTGTCTTCCACAGTGGTCAAACTAATTTACACTCCCACCAACAGTGTAAAAGTGTTCCTTTTTCTCCACAACCTCACCAGCATGTGTTGTTTTTTGACTTTTTAATAATAGTCATTCTGACTGGTGTGAGATGGTACCTCACTGTGGTTTTGATTTTCATTTCTCTAATGATCAGTGATGTTGAACATTTTTTTTTCATGTGTTTGTTGGCTGCATGTATGTCTTCTGATAAGTGTCTGTTCATGTCCTTTGGGTGGCTGAAATTTTAATGTCAATTAGAGGCCTCACTTTCCTGGTGCTCTGATAATTCTTGGGTGAGAGTAGTGGGTTGTACTAGTTGTCTTCATCTTTTCATGGTGGTGAGTGGTGGCATCTGTAGAAATGTTGTCCTTCATTTTATTTCTGTAGTAGTTGATCATCACAGGTTGCTGCTGACTCATCATTCTCATTGACAAGTTTTTATCTGGTAAAGCAACTCTTTCTGTAACTTCCATGCTATTAATTGCATTATATTCTTTCTGTGGTCCTCAGACTACTCTAAAATGTGGAGAACTCCCTGAGACTGCCATTTGTTTAAGCCTTCCCGGTGCTGCGTGGGGTCTGGGAAACTCTATAAGGCTAATACTTTGCCCCACATATTATCCATCCATTTCTTCTGTGGTATCTTTCTGCCTTCCTGAGTCTGTACCTAAGAAATGGGACACAGATTTCTCTGTTCTCTTGCAAGAATAATGTCTATATCAGTTGTTTCTTTGCATCTTCTTATCCTCATTCCAGGGCGTTTTCATCAAGTCTGGAGGGTGAGAAATTTTTTTTTTAAAGATGTTTGCCAAAATCTGTCTTCCATGCCAGGTATTGCAAATCGATGGACTGAATTTGACCCACAGAAGTGATTTTGTTTGGACAGTATTTTAAAATTTTGGAAAATTCACATAAAAATTTGAATTTTCAGGATACTTTTTGGGTAAAAAACAATCTTGCAGCATTTTCATATGGTAGAATCAGCTGGAGCTTCATAGTGGCTCCTTGTAGGGTTTCCTTACTCCAGTTCCCACATTCCCTTTTCACCTGCCTGGCTGTTATAAGTGTAGTTCTGAGTCCTTTCCACTCAGAAGATAGGCCCAGGATTTTGAAATTCATGGGTCAAGAAAAAGACTCCTTACTTCTGCTTTCTACTGTCACTCCTTTTCTGAGACAGTATGAGGCTTTCTGCTGGTTGCATGGATGACGAATCTAAGGACAATTAGGGGAAAAGATTGGCTAGTATTTAAAAAATGTTAAACTATTACAAGGTATTATCAGGATTTTATTTTACTAATTTAAAAATGTTTTGTCAAGTCAACTTCTAAAACTCAGCTTTACTGAGGTATAAATTACATAAAATAAAGTTCACCAATTTTAAATAAACAAACTATTTTATTAATGGTTGTATATGCCACATTTCTACCAGCGATGTATGAAAGTTCAGTTGCCTCAAAGTCTTATCATTTGGTATTAATATTTTAATTGTAGTCTCTTTAGTGGATATATTATGACTAGTTATATCTCATTGTAGTTTTAATTGGCATTTTTCTAATGAATAATGATATTGAGCATGTTTTCATGCGCTTATTTTCTTGTATATCTCTTTTTTGGATAAATATCTGAATATTTCAGATATTTGAATATTTCAAATATTGAATATTTCAAATATTGAATTATCTGAAATATCTGAATATTTCAGATATTTAAAATAGATAAGCTTTAAAGCTTGTCTATTTTAAAAAATTGAGTTATTGTCTTATTTTTGAGTTGTAAGGACTCATATATTATGGATACGAGTCCGAAGTCATTTATCAGATACATCTTTTGCAAATATTTTCTCCCACTCTGTGGTGTGCCTTTTTATTTTCTTTTTTTTTCTTTTTTGAGATGAAGTCTCACTCTGTCGCTCAGGCTGGAGTGCAATGGTGTGATCTCGGCTCACTGCAACCTTTGCCTCCTGTGTTCAAGCGATTCTCTTGTCTCAGCCTCCCGAGTAGCTGGGATTACAGGTATGCGCCACCATACCCAGCTAATTTTTTTGTATTTTTAGTAGAGATGGGGTTTCACCATGTTGGCCAGGCTGGTCTCAAACTCCTGACCTCAAGTGATCCACTCTCCTCGGCCTCCCAAAGTACTGGGATTACAGGCATGAGCCACTGCGCCCGGCCTGTGCTTTTGTTTTCTTAACGGTTTTTTGAAAAACAAAAGTTTTTACTTTAGTGAAAGGCAGTTTTCTTATTTTTGGTTTTTTGTTTTATGGCTTTTGTGTCTTATTAGAATTTAACTCTAAGTCACAAATATTTCCTCATATATTTTCTTCTGGGAGTTTTATACTTTCTACTCTTATATTTAAATCTATGATACATTTTGAATGAATTTTTATATAATTTCATTATATGCTTATCTTACACTATAAAAGGTGGATGTCTAGTTCTTCTTGTTCTCTTTTTTAAAGACACCACTTTTTCCCTACTAATTGTGCATTTGTACATTTGTTGAAAATCAGTTGATCACAAGTGTATTTTCAGTGCTATTCTGTACCATTAACTTAGGTATTTCTTTAAGCCAGTATCACATCATATTGGTTATGATAGTTTAAGTACTGAAATCAGATGGCTTTAAGTCCTCCAATTTTTTTCTCAAAATTTATTTTGAAATTTGAAAAATTCCTTTAAAAATTAAAAATGTGGCCAGCGCGGGTCCTCTGTATGCTGAGCGCCGGTCCCCTGGGCCCACTTTTCTTTCTCTATACTTTGTGTCTCTTTCTTTCCTCATGTCTTTCATTTCACCTGATGAGAAATGCCCACAGGTGTGGAGGGGCTGGCCACCCCTTCATTTGGTGCCCAACGTGGGTGCTTTTCTCTAGGGTGAAGGTACGCTCAAGCGTCGTCACTGAGGACAAGTTAACGAGAGATTCCCGAGTATGTCTACAGTCAGCCTTGCGATATTTGAAGTTGTACAATGAACCCATCAGAGATGCAAAGAAAAGCACCTCCATGGAGATGGAGACACCGCAGTTGAGCACCATCGACTCACAAGATGAATAGAATGGTGATGTCAGAACAGATGAAGTTGCCATCCACCAAGAAGGCAGAGCCACCGACTTGGGCACAATTAAAGAAGCTGACAGAGTTAGCTAAAAAAAAAAAGCCTAGAGAACACAAAGGTGACACAAACTTCAGAGAACATGCTGTTTGCAGCTTTGATGATTGTATCAACGGTGTGTGCAGGTGTACCTAGCAGCTCCAAAGAGACAGCGACCATCGAGGACAAGCCATGATGACAATGGTGGTTTTGTCAAAAAGAAAAGGGGGAAATGTGGGGAAGAGAAAGAGAGATCAGACTGTTACTGTGTCTATGTAGAAAGAAGTAGACATAAGAGACTCCATTTTGTTCTGTACTAAGAAAAATTATTTTGCCTCGAGATGCTGTTAATCTGTAACCCTACCCTTAACCCTGTGCTGGCAGAAACACGTGCTGTGACGACTCAAGGTTTAGTGGATTTAGGGCTATGCAGGATGTGCTTTGTTAAACAAATGCTTGAAGGCAGCATGCTTGTTAAAAGTCATCACCACTCCCTAATCTCAAGTACCCGGGGACACAAAACACTGTGGAAGGCTGCAGGGACCTCTGCCTAGGAAAGCCAGGTATTGTCCAAGGTTTCTCCCCATGTGGTAATCTGAAATATGGCCTCGTGGGAAGGGAAAGACCTGACCGTTCCCCAGCCCGACACCCGTAAAGGGTCTGTGCTGAGGAGGATTAGTAAAAGAGGAAGGCCTCTTTGCAGTTGAGATAAGAGGAAGGCATCTGTCTCCTGCTCGTCCCTGGGCAATAGAATGTCTGGGTGTAAAACCCGATTGTATATTCCATCTACTGGAGATAGGAGAAAACCGCCTTAGGGCTGGAGGTGAGACATGCTGGCGGCAATAGGCAATAGTGCTCTTTAAAGCATTGAGATGTTTATGTATGTGCACATTAAAAGCACAGCACCTTTTTCTTTACCTTGTTTATGATGTAGAGATGTTTGTTCACGTTTTCCTGCTGACCCTCTCCCCACTATTACCCTGTTGTCCTGCCACTCTCCATTGTCTCCCTGTTGTCCCCCTCTCCGATATGGTAGAGATACTAATGAATAAATACTGAGGGAACTCAGAGACCGGTGCCGGCGTGGGTCCTCCATATGCTGAACGCCGGTTCCCTGGGCCCACTTTTCTTTCTCTATTAAAAAAAAAAAAAATTAAAAATGTAAAAAATTATTTGAGTTGTACTAGTTATTTTGTATTTTCATTTAAATTTTAGAATAAGCATGCCAGTTTCTACAAAAAGGCTTACTAGGATTTTTACTGGAATGGTATCAAATCTATAGATTAACTTGAGGATAATTAACATCTTTAAATAGTATGGGATCTTCTGATCCATAAACATAGTACATCTCTTCATGTATGTGGGATGTCTTTAATGTTTGTCAGCAACATTTTATAGTTTTCATTGTACAGATCTTTTACATAGTTTGTTAAATTTATTCCCAATTATTTCCAGTTTTTTGGTTGCTATTGTAAATTGCATTGACTTTTGAATTATAATTTCCAGTTATTTGTTCTTAGAACATGGCAATACAATTGATTTTTGTACATTGACTTTGAATCATATGACCTTGCCAAACTCATTTATTAGTTTGGTAGGTTGTTGTTTTCTGTTTTACTTTTTTGTAGATTCCTTACATTGAAATAATTATAAATAATCATGCCAGCTATCAAAAAGACAGTTTTATTATTTCCTTTCCAATCTGTGTGCCTGTTATTATTTTTTTCTCTAGGATTTCCAGTACAATGTTGAATAGAAGTGGCTAGAGGATATGTCCTTGCTTAGTTCCTAGTCTTAGGGTGATAGCATTCAGTCTTTTTTCCATATGTAGGACATCAGTTCCTCAATGTTAGTTTGAGGAAGTTCCTTTATATTCCTAGTTTGTTCAGGGTTTATTATGAATAGGTGTTGGATTTTGTCAGATGCTTTCTCTGCATCTTTTCAGGTGTGTGTGTGTGTGTGTGTGTGCGTGTGTGTGTAGTTAACATGGTAAATTTTACATTGATTTTTTTCATAAGTTAAAACTACATTTCCAGAAAAAATGCTTTTTCTATGTCTTTTGAGATGATCCTTTGTGTTTGTATATGTGTGTGTTACTTAATATGATCCCTAGTAATATTCTTTGATCTGAAGTCTACCTCATCTGATATTAATACATACTCTCCAACTTTCTTCTAATTCGTATTTATATGGTATATCTATTTGCACTTTTTACTTTTAACCTATTTGTGTCTTTATGTTTAAAGTAAGTTTCTCTATTCCTTTTTGTTTTTCCTTCATTTTAAATCCGATCTGGCAGTCTCTAATGTTGTTATTGGTATGGTTGAGTTTAAATTTATTATCTTGCTTTTTTTTCCTATTTGTCCCATCTTCTCTTCTGTTGACTTATTAACCATATACCTCTTTGTTTTAATTTACTAGTGATTGCTCTGGGGTTTAAAACACACATCTTTAACTTATCACAGTCTATCTTTACATAATATCATACAACTTTACATATGGGGAAGAATCTTACAATGTTGCTAGTGTCGTACATTTTACTTCTTCATATTTTGTGAATCTTTAAAAGAAAAAGATAAAACTTTTTTTCCTCCTCTCATATATTTAACAGAATGCTGAATATTTCACTTGTGGTCATCAAACTGTGTGTGGGGATTGTCACAGGTTAAGAGGCAGAACCACAAGACCTCACTTCACTTCAGATGCCAGCCACAAGTCCAGGTTGTGACTTGCACTTTTGACTAACCAGCTGTAAATCAGTGGTTCTCATGACCCCATCCTTGGGTTCATTAATTTGTTGGAGTGCCTTACAAAACTCAGGGAAACACTCTACTTCAGTAAATGGGTATATTTATTATAGAGGATATTACAAAGGATATAGATAAACAGCCAGTTGGAAGAGATGTGTAGGACAAGGTGTGTGGGAAGAGGCATAGAGCTTCCATGGCCTCTCAGGGTGCACCACCCTCCAGGCACTTCTGTGTTCAGCAGTGCAGAAGCTCTCTGAACCCTGTACTTCAGGGATTGTTATGGAGGTTTCATCATGTAGGCATGATTGATTAAGTCATTGGCCATTGGTGATCAACTCAACTTTTAACCCCTTTCCCCATCCCCGGAGATCTGAGGGTAGAGCTAAAAGTTCCAACCTTCTATTCACATGGTTGGCTCCCCTGGCAACCAGTCCCCATTCTGAGGCTATTCAGGAGCCCGCCAAGAGTTACCTCGTTAGAGCAAAAGATGCTACTATCACTTAGGAAATTACAAAGGTTTTAGGAGGTCTGTGGCAGAAACTGGGGTAAAAGACCAAGTATTAGATCAAAAGTTTTTTCTAGTACTCCTAGCTGCAAAGGTTTTAGGAGTTCTGTCTCAGGAACTGAGGGCAGAGACTAAATATATTTCTTTATATCACAAAAGCTTACTAAATATATTTTTATTAAATCACAAAAGCTTACAATACCTTGTAATTGCTTTTGCCTTGGGTAATCTCCTTTATCTTTTTCTTTTATTTTATCTTCTTTTTATGAGACAGGGTTTCCCTCTGTTGCCAGGCTGGAGTGGAGTGAAGTGCAGTGGTGCAATCATGTCTCACTACAGCCTCCACCTCCTGGGTTCAAGGGATCCTTCTACCTCAGGCTCCTGAGTAGCTGGGACTACAGTCACATGCCACAATGCCTAGCTAATTTTTTAAATACTGATTTTCAGTAGGGATGAGGTCTTGCCATATTGCCCAGGCTTGTCTCAAACTCCTGGGCTCAAGCAATCCTGCCTCGACCTCTCAAAGTGCTGAGATTATAGGCATGAGCCACTGCACCCAGTACCTTTATCTTTTAAAAAGATTAAAATATGAGGAAAACATTTATTTTTACTCACATATTTACCATTTCTGGTACTTTTTTCTTTTTTGTGTAGAGTTATATTTCTTTCTGGTTTAATTTTTATCCTTGCTGATGAACTTTAACATTTCTTGTAGTGCCAGTCTGATAGCATCAATTTCTCTCAGTATTTGTCTGTCTGGAAAAGGTCTGTATTTTGCCCTCATTTTTTAAAAGATATATTTTTTCCTGTATAGAACGTGTGTTTTTTTATTTGTTTTTTGTTTCAGTACTTTAAAGATGTCACTCCATTGTCTTTTGACTTACCTAGTTTTTGATGAGAAGTTTTCTATCATTCTTGATTTTATTCTTCTGCACAAAATGTGTCTTTTTTTCCTGCTCTCTGGCTGCTTTTAAGATATTCTCTTTATTTCTCATTTCCAGAAGTTTGATTATGTTGTGGTTTGGTATGATGTTATGATATTATTATTATGTTATGATGTTATTATATGTGGATTTTTTTCAGGTTTATTCTGCTCAGAATTTCTTGAGCTGATTTGCATCTGTTATTTATTTATTTTTACAGAATTTAGAAAATCCATGGTGATTTTTTTCAAATATTTTTTTCTTTGTCCTTTTCTTTCTGGGACTCCAGTTACATATATATTAGTCTGCATGATATGGTCGTACAGGTACCTGAGACTATTTTGGGGGGTCTTTTTCTACTTGTGTTTTGTTCTGGGTAGCTTCTATTTTGATGTATTTAAGTTCACTGATCTTGTATTCTGCCACTTTTATTCTGTTGTTTATATGATCCAATGTAATTTTCATTTTATATTTTATAATTCTCACTTCTAGTAGATCTTTAAAAATATCTTCATTATTTCTTCAACATGTTCATGTTTTCTACTGCATTCTTGAACATATTTATGATAGTTGTTTTAGTGTCCTTTTCTGCCAGTTCTACTTCTCTTGTCATTCTATTTATTTCTTTTTCTCTAGGTTTCTATTGATTGTGTTTTCTTTGGATTATGGGTAATATTTCTTGCTTTGTAATTTTTTTTTGAACAGATGCTGGATATTATGAATTTTATGTTGTTGCGTACTGGGTTTTGTTTTATTCCTTTAAGGTGTGTGGGACTTTTTTTGGCATGCATTTAAATTACTTGGGGTCAGTTTTATCCTTTCATTGTTTGCTTTGTTAAAGGGTTCCAGAACAGCCTTTAGCCTATGGCTAAGTTAGCCTTACTGCTAACTCTACAAATACCTCCTGTACTATATGGCCTCTCCACTCTGGCAAATGAGAATTAATTCTTAGCTCTATGTGAACTGTGGAAATTATTTGGTATACTGCTTCCTGATGTTTCTTTCCTCAGCCTTGAGGAGTTTCACTTTATGCATATGCAGATGAATAGTCAGCCATAGATTACAGAAGACCTTCTGTAAGATCTTCAGAGTTCTCTTTCCATTTAGCTACCTCCTGTCTGATAATCTCCACAAATTCTAGTTGTATCAGCTTACCCAGATCCATGTCTCTGTCTCCTGAGCTCACTGTGACTGCTGGGCTCTGTGTGGATTCTGCTCTGCAGTCTGGAAAATGCTTCTGGGTGATAAGCTGGGGCAATCAGAGGGCTCAGCTAGTTTGTTTTCCTTCTATTATCCAGTGTCTGAAAACTATTGTTTCATATATTTTATTCAGTTTTCTGTTATTTATGATTGGAAGGCAGTTCTCATAGTTAATCCTTTATAGGTGAAAATGAAAGTCCTTGTCAAACTGTTTAAGATTTTTGTTAATGTTCCATAAGAGTAACAGTGTTTTTTTTTGTACTTCTGCTAAAAATATGAATTTTAACAAAGTTATAGTATTTCACATTATAGTATAATTTATTGTTTTTAAAACATAGTGTATTTCTTAATAGAGACTGTTCTCAGTTATCTTTATAATTGAAGGCAGGAAATAGTATGCATGGTATAAAACATTAGATAATTCTAAATTAATTTCCAGTGGTCTTTGGAATGTATTGTGTGACTTTATAGCACAGTAGAATGACCTTACAATTATGTAAATACATGTCCGTGAGGTCCTTGCCTTCAGAAGCCTCAGCTGTAAGCAAAGCAGAGGGCCCACTGCCCTCAAGCATGCTTGACAATGTCAAAATTATGTCTTGATTACGCTAATACTTAAATTACTTTTTATTTACTGAACATATGCCAGGTGCTTGGTAGGGAAAAAAGGAGAGATGAAATGTGCTCAGTGGTAGGGAAAAACCAATATAGAATTAAATATGTTATAGTCAGGCCAGGTGCAGTTGTTCACATCTATAATCCGAGTACTTTGGGAGGCCAAGGTGGACAGATCACTTGACCTCAGGAGTTGGAGACCAGTCTAGGTAACATGGCAGAACCCCCCCTCTACAAAAAATACAAAAATAAGCCAGGCGTGGTGGTACATGCTTGTGGTCCCAGCTACTTGGGAGGCTGAGGTGGGAGGATCACTTGAGCCCAGGAGGTTGAGGTTGCAGTGAACCATGATGGCACTGCTGCACTCCAGCCTGGGTGACAGAGGAAGACCCTGTCTCAAGAAATAAATGTTAAAGTCATAATCAAGAAATGACTGTGTATTATACTTTTAATTCACCAAAAATTTAATAGTTGCCAGCTTTTTTTTTTTTTTTTTTTCAAAAACCCTACTCTAAAACCTGGTGAATTAGACTTAGATAGTATTTTCCATATGGCTCTCAGGTTATCATTATATTAATCAAAACTCAGACTTCCAACTTGTTTCTATTGTATTAAAATGGAGTTATTAGTAATTCTTTCTTAACTAGGAGTACTTTAAAAATACCTGGGGTATCACTTTCCTGAAAATGTTAACTAGATTATCTCAATGACAGTGGCAGGTGGATGATAGTAAATTAAATCACCTCATTAGTGTTTGAGATCATATTGATCAGATTATTGTTTTTACAGAATATTAATGACCTACAACAGTTAAGAGTTTTGTTAAGAGTTTCAGTGTTAAATAAGTTTGAGAAACATTGCTTCCTATCTCTCTCTCTGTTTTTTTTTTTTTTTTTTTTTTTTTGAAGCAGATTCTTGCTGTGTTGCCCAGGAGAGAATGCAGTGGTGCAATCATAGCTCACTGCCCCTGAAACTCCCCTGCTCAAGCGATCCCTCCCGAAGTACTGGGATTACAGGCGTGAGCCACTGCACCTGGCCTGTATCTTGCTCTTGAGTATTCATTTTGGACATACAAGTTCTGAGAAACCTTGTAGTGAACAATCCTGTTTGATTTTAACTCAGCATTTTCCACTCTTATTTGACTACCACCCCTAACCACTTTCTGCCCATGAATACCTCTTAAAATCCCTTGACACACTAGTGTTCCACAGAACATAATTTTGTAAATGCTACAGTGATTGTGATATAGATCTTTTAGTTACATTGTAGCTATATCTGGCCCTATAGTTATAAGAAATGTTAAGGAAAAGATAATTGAGAGTATGGAAATATTTTGCTTAGAGTAGAGTCAGTTTAAACCAAATTACCAATTTGGAGGCACAGGTTTTTATAGTAACTTTCTCTCTTCAAAATAAGAGTGTTTCAAAATGTTATAAAACGAAATTTCATAAGGTATTTTGGTATTTTGGACAACAACTAAACTCTTATAAAATAAACTTTTTATGAGAAAAGTGAAATGTAAATGAATCAGAAGCAACACATGAAATAAATTGCTTTTGAATTATGCCTATGTATAAAATTTGAGAAATGACTTAAAATCAGCTTTGGCCAAATGTGTTTTGGGTTTTGCTAAATTCAGATATTAAAACATTCAGCAAGTGCATGATCCTTATGAAGAAGTCATCCATTTCTAACTTAAAATTCGAGAAAAGAGTTAGAAAATGAACATTCATATTCAGAAGGTGCTTAACAGGTTTCAATATGCTACAAAGCAATTCTTTGAGGCCACTAAAATCTCCTCACAGAACTTCCTAATAGTCTATCAGAACTACCCACTGAAATTTCAAGTTGAAACACTAATCTCCCAGAAATATAGATATGATACATTATCTTTTATTTCTTTTTGGTGTCAAACAGGGATAAGTCATAGGGTCTTTAAAAAGTTACTGTTTCCATTAAGTACCTCCCCTCCAGCTATTTGTTGTTGGTCTTAGTAGGCTGCTCTAATAGGTATTTCCTTGTTAATGCAAGACAATAATCAGTAATGTCAGCAGGCCTTTGGAAGTAGAATTTCTTAACTTGTGTTTACTCTGCTGGATTTGAAAAACAGGAGAAATCTTTGTAATTGTGTAAAAACACTTTTCTTGCCTTTTATAAAGGGTGAGGTTTACAACAGAATTTTAAAATAAAGTAAGATTTATAGTAAATTGTCTATAAATGATTAATTTCTATAATCATAATACTTTGTTATCTCTAAAGTTTTCAAAGGTGAAGAAATATTAGGTTTAGTAAAAATGTAAGAAGGTGAATATTAGGAGCATATATTTAATAAATGGTCTAGTATTGGTATTTTGCAAGATTAAAACATACATTCCTATTGGGTTTTTGGAGTAAAGGAGTAAAGTAAGATGATCTACATTGTTGCTGTATCCAGGCCTTTACTGTTGTAAGAAATGTTGGAGTGTTAGTTGAGGGAAAAAGTATGTATTGGTAAATATAAACTCTACTCATACTAATGAGAGTTTTTGATATGGTCTACTTTATGATGGCTTCAAGAAAAGGATGTAATCTAGCATATAACCCATTATTTTTAAGAGCCCTGGGTAAATTTTAGCCTTTGTCATATATAAACTTGTTTATATATTAGTGTATGTAACTTCGGAGGTACTAATTCTAACATAGAATTCTAGTATTTTAGAGTGTACAATTTCTCCCTTAGATACTTTATATAAACAGTTTTTCAAAATCCTAATTTTTAATCCATCTATGCTGCAACAATAAAAAAACTTTGTAAATATTATTGGTATATGCTTGATCCTTGATACTTGATAGAAAATAAGATTCAAAGCTACCTACCTACTGTGATTATTCATTTTATGTATCAATTTAACTGTACCACAGGGTGCCCAGATATTTGGTCAGACTCAATTCTGGGTGTCTCAGTGAGGGAGTTTCTGGCTGAGATGAGCATTTGAATTGGTAGACTGAGTAAAGCAAGTGGCCCTCCCTGGTGTGGGTGGGCTTCAGCCTGTCAACTGAAGACCTCAATAGAACAAAAAGGCTGAGTAAGAGGGAGCTCCTACCTGACTACTTGAGCTGGAACAGTGGTCTTTTCATGCCTTTGGACTTGAGCTGAAACATCAGTCTTTTTGGGTCTCAAGCCTGCCAGCTTTCAGCTGGCAGCAGATGTTGGGACTTGTCAGCTTCAATAATTATGTGAGCCAATGCTTTATTATGCAAGTACCACACCTAAGCTATCAGGTAGTTATAGAGAGTTGGATTTTGCATATTGTTTTGCATCCCCATCCCTATCAGATGTTTTTGGCTATATCCACTCACAATTGAGGCTAGACAAGGAGAAAGAGCCACGAGACCAGCCATTGTCTTTGTGTGCATTTCATGTTAAATTTTTGAGTATCCTAAAGCTTATTAAAATGCTTTTGATTTTTTTCACACTATCAAACAATTTGACAGGTCTATCTTGTCAGATGATTTGGGACCCCAAGGACAGAAAGGCAGGAAAGCTTATTGGGTTTATTAATTGTTTAACATGAGATTGTGTTATTTTACAAGTTGTGGTGAAATCTGTGTTATAAGTGGGAGTCAGCAAGCATTTTTTTTTTATACTTTAAGTTCTAGGGTACATGTGCACAATGTGCAGGCTTGTTACATAGGTATACATGTGCCATGTTGGTGTGCTGTACCCATTAACTTGTATTTTACATTAGGTATATCTCCTAATGCTATCCCTCCCCCTTCCCTCCACCCCACGACAGGCCCTGGTGTGTGATGTTCCCCACCCTGTGTCCAAGTGTTCTCACTGTCCAATTCCCACCTATGAGTGAGAACATATGGTGTTTGGTTTTCTGTCCTTGCTATAGTTTGCTCAGAATGATGGTTTCCAGCTTCATCCATGTCCCTGCAAAGGACATGAACTCATCCTTTTTTATGGCTGCATAGTATTCCATGGTGTATATGTGCCACCACATTTTCTTAATCCAGACTATCATTGATGGACATTTGGGTTGGCTCCAAGTCTTTGCTATTGTGAATAGTGCCGCAATGTGGGCATGTGTCTTTATAGCAGCATGATTTATAATCTTTGGGTATATACCCATTAATGGGATGGCTGGGTCAAATGGTATATCTAGTTGTAGATCCTTGAGGAATCGCCACACTGTCTTCCACAATGGTTGAACTAGTTTACAGTCCCACCAACAGTGTAAAAGTGTTCCTATTTCTCCACATCCTCTCCAGCACCTGTTGTTTCCTGACTTTTTAATGATTGCCATTCTAACTGGTTTGAGATGGTATCTCATTGTGGTTTTGATTTGCATTTCTCTGATGACCAGTGATGATGAGCATTTTTTCATGTGTCTGTTGGCTGCATAAATGTCTTCTTTTGAGAAGTGTCTGTTCCTATCTTTTGCCCCCTTTTTGATGGGGTTGTTTGATTTTTTTCTTGTAAATTTGTTTAAGTTCTTTGTAGATTCTGGATATTAGCCCTTTGTCAGACGGGTAGATTGTAAAAATGTTCTCCCATTCTGTAGGTTGCCTGTTCACTCTGATGGTAGTTTCTTTTGCTATGCAGAAGCTCTTTAGTTTAATTAGATCTCCTTTGTCAATTTTGGCTTTTGTTGCCATTGCTTTTGGTGTTTTAGTCATGAAGTCCTTGCCCATGCCTATGTCCTGAATGGTATTGCCTAGGTTTTCTTCTAGGGTTTTTATGGTTTTAGGTCTAATATTTAAGTCTTTAATCCATCTTGAATTAATTTTTGTATAAGATGTAAGGAAGGGATCCAGTTTCAGCTTTCTACATATGGCTAGCCAGTTTTCCCAGCACCATTTATTAAATAGGGAATCCTTTCCCTATTTCTTGTTTTTGTCAGGTTTGTCAAAGATCAGATGGTTGTAGATGTGTGGTATTATTTCTGAGGGCCCTGTTCTGTACCATTGGTCTGTATCTCTGTTTTGGTACCAGTACCATGCTGTTTTGAATACTGTAGCCTTGTAGTATAGTTTGAAGTCAGGTAGCGTGATGTCTCCAGCTTTGTTCTTTTGGCTTAGGATTGTCTTGGCAATGTGGGCTCTTTTTTGGTTCCATATAAACTTTAAAGTAGTTTTTTCCAATTCTGTGAAGAAAGTCATTGGTAGATTGATGGGGATAGCATTGAATCTATGAATTACTTTGGGCAGTATGGCCATTTTCACGATATTGATTCTTCCTATCTATGAGCATGGAATGTTCTTCCATTTGTTTGTGTCCTCTTTTATTTCATTGAATAGTGGTTTGTAGTCAAACCTTGAAGAGGTCCTTCACACCCCTTATAAGTTGGATTCCTAGGTATTTTATTCTCTTTGAAGCAATTGCGAATGGGAGTTCACTCATGATTTGGCTCTCTGTTTGTCTGTTATTGGTGTATAGGAATGCTTGTGATTTTTGCACATTGATTTTGTATCCTGAGACTTTGCTGAAGTTACTTATCAGCTTAAGGAGATTTTGGGCTGAGACGATGGGGTTTTCTAAATATATAATCATGTCATCTGCAAACAGGGACAATTTGACTTCCTCTTTTCCTAATTGAATACCCTTTATTTCTTCCTCCTCCCTGATTGCCATGGCCAGAACTTCCAACACTTCATTGAATAGGAGTGGTGAGAGAGGGCATCCCTGTCTTATGCCAGTTTTCCAAGGGAATGCTTCCAGTTTTTTCCCATTCAGTATGATATTGGCTGTGGGTTTGTCATAAACAGCTCTTATTATTTTGATGTACGTCCCGTCAATACCTAGTTTATTGAGAGTTTTTAGGATGAAGGGCTGTTGAATTTTGTTGAAGACCTTTTCTGCATCTATTGAGATAATCATGTGGTTTTTATCTTTGGTTCTGTTTATATGATGGATTACATGTATTGATTTGCATATGTTGAACCAGCCTTGCATCCCAGGGATGAAGCCCACTTGATCATGGTGGATAAGCTTTTTGATGTGCTGCTGGATTCAGTTTGCCAGTATTTTATTGAGGATTTTTGCATTGATGTTCATCAGGGATATTGGTCTAAAATTCTCTTTTTTTGTTGTGTCTCTGCCAGGCTTTGGTATCAGGATGATGCTGGCCTCATAAAATGAGTTAGGGAGGATTCCCTCTTTTTATATTGGTTGGAATACTTTCAGAAGGAATGGTACCAGCTCCTCTTTGTACCTCTGGTAGAATTCGGCTGTGAATCTGTCTGGTCTTGGATTTTTTTTTTTGATTGGTAGGCTATTAATTATTGCCTCAATTTCAGAGCCTGTTGTTGGTCTATTCAGGGATTCAACTTCTTCCTGGTTTAGTCTTGGGAGGGTGTATGTGTCCAGGAATTTATCCATTTCTTCTAGATTTTCTAGTTTATTTGCGTAGAGGTGTTTGTAGTATTCTCTGATGGTAGTTTGTATTTCTGTGGGATCGGTGGTGATACCCCCTTTATAATTTTTTATTGTGTCTATTTGATTCTTTCTTTTCTCTTTATTAGTCTTGCTAGTTGTCTATCAATTTTGTTGATCCTTTCAAAAAACCAACTCCTGGATTCATTGATATTTTGAAGGGTTTTTTGTGTCTCTATCTCCTTCAGTTCTGCTCTGATCTTAGTTATTTCTTGCCGTCTGCTAGCTTTTGAATGTGTTTGCTCTTGCTTCTCTAGTTCTTTTAATTATGATGTTAGGGTGTCAATTTTAGATCTTTCCTGCTTCCTCTTGTTGGTATTTAGTGATATAATTTTCCCTCTACAGATTGCTTTAAAAGTGTCCCAGAGATTCTGGTATGTTTTGTCTTTGTTCTTATTGGTTTCAAAGAACATCTTTATTTCTGCCTTCATTTTGTTATGTACCCAATAGTCATTCAGGAGCACATTGTTTAGTTTCCATGTAGTTGAGCAGTTTTGAGTGAGTTTCTTAATCCTCAATTCCAGTTTGATTGCACTGTGGTCTGAGAGACAGTTTGTTATAATTTCTGTTCTTTTACATTTTCTGAGGAGTGCTTTACTTCCAACTATGTGGTCAATTTTGGTATAAGTGCGATGTGGTGCTGAGAAGAATGTATATTCTGTTGATTTGGGGTGGAGAGTTCTGTAGATGTCTATTAGGTCTGCTTGGTGCAGAGCTGAGTTCAATTCCTGGATATCCTTGTTAACTTTCTGTCTCATTGATCTGTCTAATGTTGACAGTGAGATGTTAAAGTCTCCCATTATTTTTGTGTGGGAGTGTACATCTCTTTGTAGGTCTCTAAGGACTTACTTTATGAATCTGGGTGCTCCTCTGTTGGGTGCATATATATTTAGGATAGTTAGCGCTTCTTGTCGAATTGATCCCTTTACAATTATATAATGGCCTTGTTTGTCTCTTTTGGTCTTAGTTGGTTTAAAGTCTGTTTGATCAGAGACTAGGATTGCAACCCCTGCTTTTTTTGTTTTCCATTTGCTTGGTAGATCTTCCTCCATCCCTTTATTTTGAGCCTGTGTGTGTCTCTGCACCTGAGATGAGTCTCCTGAATACAGCACACTGATGGATCTTAACTCTTTATCCAATTTGCCAGTCTGTGTCTTTTAACTGGAGCATTTAGCCCATTTACATTTAAGGTTAATATTGTTATGTGTGAATTTGATCCCATCATTATGATGTTAGCTGGTTATTTTGCTCACTAGTTGATGCAGTTTCTTCCTAGCATTGATGGTCTTTACAATTTGTCATGTTTTTGCAGTGGCTGGTACCGGTTGTGCCTTTCCATGTTTAGTGCTTCCTTCAGGAGCTCTTTTAGGGCAGGCCTGGTGGTGACAAAATCTCTCAGCATTTGCTTGTCTGTAAAGGATTTTATTTCTCCTTCACTTATGAAACTTAGTTTGGCTGGATATGAACTTCTGGGTTGAAAATTGTTTCCCTTAAGAATGTTGAATATTGGCCCCCACTCTCTTCTGGCTTGTAGAGTTTCTGCCAAGAGATCTGCTGTTAGTCTGATGGGCTTGCCTTTGTGGGTAACCCAACCTTTCTTTCTGGTTGCCCTTAATATTTTTTCCTTCATTTCAACTTTGGTGAATCTGACAATTATGTGTCTTGGAGTTGCTCTTCTCGAGGAATATCTTTGTGGTGTTCTTTGTATTTCCTGAATTTGAATATTGGCCTGTCTTTCTAGATTGGGGAAGTTCTCCTGGATAATATCCTGAAGCATGTTTTCCAACTTGGTTCCATTCCCCTCATCACTTTAAGGTATACCAGTCAGATGTAGATTTGGTCTTTTCATATAGTCCCATATTTCTTGGAGGCTTTGTTCTTTTCTTTTTACTCTTTTTTTCTCTAAACTTCTCTTCTCACTTCATTTCATTCATTTAATCTTCAATCACTGATACCCTTTCTTCCACTTGAACGAATCGGCTACAGAAGCTTGTACATGCGTCCCGTAATTCTCGCGCCATGGTTTTCAGCTCCATCAGGTCATTTAGGGTCTTCTCTATGCTGTTTATTCTAGTTAGCCATTTGTCTAATCGTTTTTCAAGGTTTTTAGCTTCTTTGTGATGGGTTCAAACATCATACTTTAGCTCAGAGAAGTTTGTGATTACTGATCATCTGAAGCCTTCTTCTCTCAACTCGTCAAAGTCATTCTCCATGCAGCTTTGTTCCATTGCTGGTGAGGAGCTGCATTCCTTTGGAA